>NC_000002.12:14304583-14611339 GCF_000001405.40 Homo sapiens
ATCTATTCTCTTCTTGAAAAATCTAGTAGAAGTTTCTTGAAATTTCCCAAAATAACTGGGATTAATTAACATAATGATCAAATAGTTTTTCATAAATCAAATTGCATTATTTTGTACTTTATTTCACTCACATTTCTTCCTTCACTAACACTGATGTCTACGTTCATCTCTTGGTATTTAGAATTCTATTCAATCTTTGATTTAATTTATTTTCATGAATGGTATAGCATCAGAAGTAGCATAGAGACTCCAAGAATACTTATATACATAATCCAGTAAACTATCCCTCTGTGGCTTCAGTAAAACACCGTGGCCCAGAATTATCAAGTGATTTGCATAAAGAAGACACAATTAATGACAGCATTGGTACTAAAATCAAGGACTTCTCACTCCTAGTCTAAGACATAGTCTACTATACCAAGCTTTGATGAATTAGTTCCTGATAGGATAGACAATTAGGAGATGAAGGCCATTTTCATAGGATGGGATTACTATTGATGTAGATGCTTCAATTACTATTTCTTCTTTAAAGTCTGTTTGCAGCAGTAGCTAAATGGAAATCAACTAATTTTCAAAAGCATAGTCTGCCATAAGGCGGATTTATGAGAAAATGGTGAAAAAAATAATGTATTATTGATCTCAGGAAGCTATTTTTACATTTTTCTCTTTAAATAGTAAATGCACCATTTTCAAACTCACTTTTGCCATTTCGCCATCATTGTTTATGGGGAGCTGCCTACATCTTTAATAAAGTCTGATTTAATTCTACTGATGCCTTAATACTGATAAGGTGCCTACTATGGGTTGTGTCACCCCAAAAGATATGTTGAAGCCCTAACTCCCAGTACCTTAGAACGTGGTATCATTTGGAAAGAGAATCTTTATAAAGGTAATCACTTTAAAATTAGGTCGTTAGGGTAGACCCTAATCCAATATGACTGGCATCCTCATAAAAGGGAGAAATTTGGAGACAGAGGCACAGATACAGAGAGAACACCATATGAAGATGAAGGCGAAGGTCAGTGTGGTGCTTCTACAAGTCAAGGTATGGCAAAGATTGCCAGCAACTATCACAAGCTGTGGGAGAGACATGGAAGTCTCCCTCACATCTTTCAAAAGGAACCAACCCTGCCAACATCTTGATCTTGGACTTACAGCCTCCAGAACTGTAATACAGTATGTTTCTGTTGTTTAAGCCAGCTACTTTGTGGTGCTTTGTTAAGGTAGTCCTAGCAAACTAATATGGGACCTCTGCTAGAGAACAGAGATATTCCTGAATGTGTTCATTCTCCTTCACAAGTTAACCCTTGACTCTAAAAATTTCATGGATGAGCTGTGAAAAAATGGCAGTGGGTATTCAGTACAGCCTCAGGGAACTCTGTACCTCTCATATCTTCTCTCTAGCCATAATGACTGCAGCCTCACCCTGTATACCTGGGCTCCATTCCTTAGTCTTCAGCTGCCCCCCAACTTTCCAGTCAAATGTCCTACCATCATGTGTAGGTAATTAAGACTCCGTGTCCGTCCTTTTGTAAGAAAAATGAATCTTTGATTCCTTATTTATTTATTTTTTTGAGATGGAGTCTCACTCTATTGCCCAGTCTGGAGTGCAGTGGCACAGTCTCAGCTAACTGCAACCTCTGCCTCCTGGGTTTAAGTGATTCTCTTACCTCAGCCCCCTGAGTAGCTGGGACTACAGGCACCCACCACCACTCCCAGCTAATTTTTATATTTTTTGTAGAGATGGGGTTTCACCATGTTGGTCAGGCTTGTCTTGAACTCCTGACCTCTGGTGATCTGCCTGCCTGAGCCTCCCAAAGTGCTGGGATTACATGTGTGAGCCACGTGCACCTGGCCTTGTCTTTGTATCTTTAGGGAAATACCCTAAGCTTTACCAATTAGCCCAAGCATTCAAAAGTGTTTATAAAAACTCTCACGCAAATCGACTTTCAGATTCCTCATTATCACTTTCATTTTTAAATTGAGTAGCTAAGAAAACTCTTCTTTTTCCTACACTCTGTACTTCCATAAATGCAATTACATATGTAAAGTTCTCCCACTCAGTTTTATTTTATGCTCTCCTTCTATAAATGGGCCATGTATATTTTCATACAATTTGTCAATGCAAACATTGCAAAGGAGATAGTCCTGTAGCATGTCATTAACAGAGTTTCTCTAGGATGGCAACTGTCCATTTGCTGCCTTCACTGGATGAATGTTTAACCAGCTTTTAATCTACTGTCTTCATCTAGTCAATAGACATAGCCTGAGTAATGTTGTCAAATTCCTTTTCCTTGTTGGTGCTAAGATTCACCATGTTTTTGGTATTTTCTTGTTTCACTGAACAGAGAGAACATGAGAGAGAGAGATTTAAAAACTGTAGAGATGGATTTAAAAATGTATCCCCCTTGCAATGACTCTTCTGTCAGATGCCTCTCTGACCCTCTTTTCTTAGTTTTTCAAACATTTAACCTTGTGAATTCAGATGGGTTCCTTCTTCAGACCCACATGATGTTTTAAGGCAATTAATAATCTCTGTCATAGTGACAGAAAATTGTTTCTAGGAAGGACATTGATTTAAGTGTCTATAGTCTATTGCATAAAAATCTTACTAAATTCCATTCACTTAAGTTTAATCTCTTTGTGTTAAACAAGTCAGATTTTCCTTCTTTAAAAAACAGATTATTATATCTGCCTGTTATTTGGAGAAGAGACATGTGAAATCACCTATATAATCTCACTATCAGAAACTGCTTCTTTTCCTGCCACTGAGATATATAAATCACGTTTAGAGTTTTCTGAGAATCTATCAAAGCTGAAAAGATTTCATAAAATTGCTAGCTGCCTCTAATTGACTTCTACCAATATGGAGATGGTACAGTAGCAATTTTGTCAAAGATCATTATACCTAAATGTATCTACCTGTTCATTCTAATAATTATGGAAAACATATTCAGAATTGTGCTCTGTGCTGTGAGAAATATAAAGATTTACGAGACACTGATTATGTCCTTGAAGAGGACATAGTTAATTAGAGAAGAGGATATACATTTAAATAAGGTGATACAAGGAAGACCCTATGTGTCCATGAAGAAATGGTTGCATACAAGCGCCAAAGTTAGGTGTAAAAGTGAAATAACACTTGAATAATTAACAATGTGATAAATATTCAATTAGTGAGATAGAAAGAATAAAGTCTCCTGTGGAAGAACTCAAACCACTCATGATAGGAATATCTAGGAGCTCACTCTGGTTGGTATAAGAGCTACATGATGTTGAGTAGTTGGATCACACTGCTGTCATGCATCAAATCACATCTGCATGCCAAATAAGAAGGACGGCTTCTTTGTGCAGGAGATGGGTTTGCAATGAGGACATTAGAGTGGTGAAATTTATGACAGAAACATGAGAACATATCTCTGCTTATTCTTAGAACTTCTAATGAGCAACATCAGACAAAAGTCCAAGTTCTTTAGAGATTCCATTAGTTGAAAGCAAATTAGAATATTTTTATGGGTGCCTCGAGTAGTGCCATGATGGCCCTAAATATTTTTTTAAACTGTGGAGCCCTTACAAAATTAAAATTCCTACTGGGAAGAGACTGAGTGTTGGGGTTGGTGAGACCAGATTTCAAATGTGAACTCTGACTTTATGAAATGTATAGATTTGGGCAAATTACATGACCTCATCTGTAACACAGGGAATTAGCTATCTCTTTGGTGTGTGTGTGTGTGTGTGTGTGTGTCTATGTGTGTTTAGGTGTGTGTTTAACATATATCATGATGTAATGTTTTAAATAGGCCAGGTGCCGTGGGAGGTTGAGATGGGCAGATAGCTTGAGCTCAGGAGGTCAAGGCCAGCCTGGGCAACATGGTGAAACCTTGTCTCTACAAAAAAATACAAAAAATGAGCTAGGCATGGTGGCTGGTGTGCCTGTGGTCCCAGCTACTCAGAAGGCTGAGGCTGGAGGATTGTTTGAGCTTGGAAGTGGAGGTTGCAGTCAGCCGAGATTGCACCACTGCTCTCCAGCCTAGGTGACAGCTAGAACCTGTCTAAAAAAAGAAAAAAAAAAAAAGAAAGAAAGAAAAGAAAGAAAAAAGAAGGTATAAATAATATAATATGCCAGAGATAGCAGAGATGTGAAAGATACCAAAAATGCTCATAAATTCAAACTAGCTGACTGGTGTAAGATGCATGATATGCAGAAAATCTTAGAAGAAAGTGGTAAATTCCCCCACATTTTCTTTCCAGGAGTACTTGGAAAGAGAAAAAAATTGCATACATAGATTAATAGATCAATTATTTCAGATCCTGTTGGGAAGAATAGCAGCAAAATGTATGAGGTCTGGTGACATTTTTTTTCATATACAACAAGTATGGAATACAGGCTCCAGGAATAAAGGAATGGTATTGACATCTGTCTAAACACAGGATATCTGGCACACTTAAAAAACGAAAGCCCCCTCTCCTGCCTTTGTGTCTCCAACCATCCTGCCCCAGTGGATTGGTCCCCTTCCAGGAGCAGCCAGAGGCAACACTGAGGATATGATAGGATTGTCAGAAGGCACAATCTGTTGCTCCTATATAAAGTGAGAGGTAACAGCTTTCCAGAAGCAGACAAGGGACATCTTTATACAGGCCAGCTCAGCCCGTCTAAACTAGGTTTCTATTTGTTTTATGGTTCTGTCACTTTTCTTTCTAACAAAGCAAGTCTCTCCTTATCCTCAGAATTTATTTGAGAGTAAGGGTGCTTTATACCAATATTCACCTTCTATGAACCAGCAGAGAGTTTACCTTGAACCTAATGAACCTTAAACTCAGAGCCCCTCACTTTCTTTCTTTCTTTTTTTTTTTTTTTTTGAGATGGAGTCTAGCTCTGTTGCCCAGGCTGGAGTGCAGTGGTATGATCAAGTGATTCTCCTGCCTCAGCCTCCCGAGTAGTTTGGATTACAGTTACCCACCACCACGCCCAGCTAATTTTTGTATTTTTAGTAGAGACGGGGTTTCACTGTGTTGCCCAGGCTGGTCTCGAACCCCTGACCTCATGATCCACCCACCTTGGCCTCCCAAAGCGCTGCGATTTCAAGTGTGAGCCACTGTGCCCAGCCCAGAGCCCCTCACTTTCACAGATCTGCATTTAATTTTGCATTAGTACAAAATACAAATATAAATATTATTTAACTCATCAAAAATACCCTCAATCATATGAGCTTTAGGCCCCAGGATTCCCCCGGACATACAATATTGGAGTGACCAAGTAAATTCCCACTTTCATATCCTCCATCAACTCCACTCCCTATACATGAAGTACCAATGACTCTGGCCAACTTCCTCCACAAGACTCATCTGTTAACACTCCCTTTCATTCACCATTTACCCTTGTATCACTACTTGACCATGTCACTTTACATCCTGGGATTTCTACACCAACTTTTCTCTCTAGCTAGAATGCCATTTTCCCTGAATCAAACTGGAGGAGCCTTTCTTACCCTTCCTAATCTAATTCAAATGTTCCCTCTGCAGGCCAGGCACAGTGGCTAACGCCTGTAATCCCAGCACTTTGGGAGGTCAAGGAGGGCAGATCACTTGAGATCAGGAGTTCTAGACCAGCCTGGCCAACATGGAGAAACTCGTCTCTACTACAAATACAACAATTAGCTGGGCATGGTGGTGTGCACCTGTAATCCCAGCTACTCGGGAGGCTGAGGTTTCAGTGAGCTTGAACTTGGGAGTCAGAGGTTGCAGTGAGCCAAGGTTGCTCCATTGCACTCCAGCCTGGGAGACAGAGCAAGATTCCATCTAAAAAAAAAAAAAAAAATTCCCTCTGCAAAGTTCTCCCAGATCCTCTAGAGGAAAGCCTTCAATGCCTGATGTGCTTCCAGAGCACTCTTTACTCTCTATTCTAGCACTTGCCACATTGCCTTGTAATTAGCTATTGTGTGCCTTTTCCACACAGAAGCTCCAGGAGCAGGTAGCACATCTTGACTGCTTCTTCATTCCTGGAGCCTAAAGCAGTGCTCGGCACAGGCAGTGTTCAGTAAGTAGTAGCTGGTGGAGTGCCTGGTTTCAGAACCCCTCCAAGGACCTCCACACGACCTCATCATGTCCTACAGGTTAGAGTCAGGAGGAAAATTACTCACTGATCTTGCTCTCTACCCACAACCAAATTTTCATATTCTCTTAGGTATCAGCATTATCAAACCCCTTACTTTCATCTCTCCTCTATTTCAGTTGCAAAATCCTATTTCAGAATAATTTTACAACTTCATCTCCTCTTCTACAAGGTAAGGGCATATGCAAATTTGAGTTTAAAAAGTAAATGCTTTGAATACAAGTTTTCTGCAGCACAAAGGCCAATTGGTATTAGCTTGGCTTATGTTTGACCTAAAAGAAGTTGGGCAACTTCAATGGTCTTTCTAATGACCACATCTATCCATATATCTGAATAAGTCAGTAACCTTCCCATGTGTGGACATGGGCAGACACTGAACTCAGCAGAAGAAAAGGGATAGGGGATGCTGACCTCTATTTCCCTCACCGATTGATTTCTTCATCCAAACATTTAGCAAACATCTGTTAAATATTCAAAAAGTACATGCCAGGTACTGTGCCAGAAGTTGTGAGTACAGAAATTAACTAGACACAGTCCTTGCCTAATCAAGAAGCCTACAATTCAGAGTAAGGAGAAAGGACATGTATAAATAGGTACAGTGCAACTTAAGAAATGCTGTAATAGTGCTTCAGGGTGGGTTGATGTCCTAGTTCATTTTCTGTTTCTTATAACAGAATACCTGAAATGGAGTAATTTATTTTAAAAAGGAATTTATTTCTTACAGTGATGAAGGCCAAGAAGTCCAAGGTTGAGGGGGTGTATCTGGAGAGGGCGTTGTGGCCAGTGGAGACTCCCTGCAGAGTCCTGAGGAAGTGCAGGGCATCAAATGGCAAGGGGATTGAGTGTGCTAGCTAAAGTCTCTCTTTCTTTTCTTATAAAGCCACCATTGTCATTCTCATAGGGAGTCATTAATCCATTAATCAATTAATCCTTTAATTTATTAATCCATGAATAGATTGATCCATTCATGAGGGTAGAGCCCTCATGACTCAATCACCTCTTAAAGCCTCCACTTCTCAATACTGACACATTGGGGATTTTCAACATGAGTTTTAGGGACTCAAACCACAGCAGGTGAGTTGAGAAAGACTTAAATCTAAAGAAAATTTCTATTGAGTTTTGAAAAATGAATAAAATTTGAACTATACATAAGACAGATACCATAAGGGGTTTGGACTTTTATCTTGAAAGCATGGATATCCATTCAGAGGCTTAAAAAGGAGAGATACAATCTTTAGGAAGATCACTCTGGTAGAAAAGTAGAATACAATATACGGCTGTCATGGTGTGGAGAACAGTTAGAAGATATTTTCATAATCTACATGATAATCATGAAATTCAAAGGTATTTATAGGCACAAGAATCTATAGGACAATGTCCTGGTTGAATGGCAAATGTAAAGAAGGAGTCATCAAAACTGCTTCTAAGATTTCTAGTTGGCTCTGAATTAGAAGGTAGAGGGGATGAGGAAGATCTAAGCTAGTGATCATTCAGATAGGTGGAAGACAGTAGAGCCAGAAAGATAAATCAAATAATATCTAGGAAGAAGCTTACAGTCACCTTGGAGGAGCTAGGGCAGAAAATGAGGTTGAACATAGAAATGAATTTATGAGACAAAAAGCTTACACAACAGAGCAACAGGAGATGGGGGAAAGAAATGAATCTGAAAAATCAGTCCATGAGCAACATTGTGAGGTGTGAAGAGTCTGGTTTTATGTGATGCTAGCTCTGTGAAAGAGAAGATCTCACAAGCATGTCATTCCCCATCGTAAGCATATACATCTACCCCATCTCTCAGATCAAGACAGAGGGGAGGGAGCCTTCTGGTGAGGGCAGAGAATGGTGGGGTCCTGTTCTCATTGGTAGATCTACTTAATAAAATATCTGGAGTCGATGATTCATAAGATTTGGGAGTTAAAGTCAGCTTTATATTAGATATTTATCCATAAGTAGCAAACTGGAGACTAGGGGAAACCATCCTTGAGAAACCAGCTTCATCTGTAGAAAAACTGCACCTAGAGTAGGACACATGATGAGGGAGCCCACAGTTCATGACTGGGGGTGAGGATTCTAAGCATAAAAATTACTATTGTTAATGCCCACAGCAATGTTGATTAGAATGTTATAAGAAAGAGCTATAGAATTACACTACTGTGTAACTGGCCCTTTCATGATTTAGCTGTGTAACATTAATATTGCCACTTATTTCTGTTGACTTGGTTTTCTCATCTGTATATTGGCCATAATGTACTTTTTCTGAATGGTAAACAGAACTAAATGAGACTTAAAGGGCCTAATACGATGCCTCGTCCATAGTGAGTACTCAATGCTGACCATTAGTCCTTTTTTTTTTTTTTTAATCAATTGTTCATTGGTTTTACTATGCTTTGTTTGCATATGAACCAGCCCAGGCTGGGGTGTAGAGATGAGCTTTGCATTGGAACAATTCATAGCTCTATCTATGAAAGGCTGGGGATAGAATGACAAAGGCAGGGGAATTCAGTTCTGGGGTTGACAGAATTGGATTACTCACAAATTAATGTTTTCTTGAACTGAAAATAGATTTTCATGGAAGAGAACAATGAAAGACTGGATGTTTCTGCCAAGTCTTCCAATGATGTGCAATCCCTGAAACCTGAGGCTGTGCCATTAGAGAAGATTCAACATGGCCAGGGATGGCCCTTGAATATGACCAACTTCCTAACCATCCTGAGATAGGGCAATTACTTAATTTTTATGGACAGCTAATGCTAACCTAGCAGCTTGCTTGAAAGAAACCTCCTTTTCAATGCAAGCTGTGTAATGAGGGAGTTGCTTGACTAAGCAAATTTTGGGTTAATGAAAAACAGACGCTTCTGTCACCATGAACAGCGTCTGCCTGTGTTAAGACTAAATTGTGTATATTGCTGACTGCCCTACATTTTTGCATCAAAAAGAGAGTGGAGAGATGACATTTGCAGTAATTTGGCTAAGGGCTATAGCAACCTAATTAGAAATGTTCAGTTCTACAAGTTTACAAAATTGTATTGTGGCAATCGCTCTTGAAAAATTCAATTCTGAAAACGCAATAAACAAAACCCAAAACGGGTAGATAACACACTTTCTGAGGATAAGTTCTGTAATAGAAGCAAGAGAACAAAAGCTCTATGCCCATAAAGCAGTGAAAATGGAGCCTCTTTGTTCTGAAAGCCAGACTGTCCTGCCAGGTCTGCCTGGTTTCTGGCCACTGCAGCCCCTGTGCCCCCAGCCTGAGCCACTTTTATCTGCACGCAGACTTTCTCTCTATTTCCCATTTAACTCTCCTTCCCTTCCACATTCTCCCTGGGACACTGTCCCATTCTCCCAGGGACAGCGGTGCCTAAACTTCAGTTACAGTACTTGTGAATGACCTGGAATACTTG
The DNA here is from genome assembly GCF_000001405.40 of Homo sapiens. Taxonomy (NCBI): domain Eukaryota; kingdom Metazoa; phylum Chordata; class Mammalia; order Primates; family Hominidae; genus Homo; species Homo sapiens. The sequence continues at coordinate 14,314,097 of NC_000002.12, forward strand.
ATTAAAATGTTCAGCCTCTTTGGATAAGTTTCTCCTCTTGTTCACTCAATGTATGATTTTGAATGTCTACTCTGCCAGGCACTATCTTCCTATCAGATTTCAACATTTTAAGTTACATTTAAGAAAGACCACTATAATTTTAATCACTGTGGCCACTACAACACCATGGATAATATCTCACACATGACGGATACACAGTAACTGTGAATCAATGTTTTTCTCTAGACCAATGATTCTCTGACTGATTATGCATGAAAATAAAAGTAGGAAACTTCTAAAACATACCAGTGCTTCAGCCCCATTTCAGATCAATCGAATTATAATCTCTGGGGTGAAGCCCAAGCATCAGTATGTTTCAAAAGCTGCCTGGATTATTTAATGTGTAGCCAGGTTTGAGACACACTGTGCTGCATCTCTGGATCTCAAATTTGAGTGTGCAGAGAGTCATCTGGAAGGTCAGATAGTTTTGCATACTCCCAGGATTCAGGTGTAGAAATTCCAGTTCAGGAGGTTTGACAACACAAGATCTGTTTATGTTATGAAGCTGCTTCTGGTGCAGGTGACCAATGGACCGTACTCAGAGAACTTCTCTTGGACAAATTCTGACTGCACAAGAAAGATTTAGGGAACTTGGTCTGATCCTTAAGCTTCTTTGCTGTTAAACATATTAGTCCCTCAAGCTAGACACACCTACTCATCTTCAAGACCCAGAATTTCCTGTAAACACTTTATGATGTACCCTCCCCATGAGTAATTAATCTCTCCCCTCTTATATCTTTATTGTAGCTATAACATAGTATGTAATCTACTCTGGGAAATTTGGCTTATATGTGAATCTTCCTTCCTAATCTTTGAGGCCCCCAAAGATTGAGGTATCTCTGTACCCTTACCTCCTGGTGTGTCTTAGAATATAGAGTAGGTGACTCTTAATACACAGATAGATGATTAAATGACTCAGGTTGGGGTCAGGGTTTCTATGGTCAGCTGTAACCTTGTGACTCAAGGAAGACGTATTTCTTCAATCTAAATACCTATCCTGGCACCCTGTCAAGCATCCTGGGACTAGGGTCTTTAGACGTCATGTCCTGGCTTATTTTTATCATCATGGAGACTGGAGCCCTGGCCTTAACCCTTAACTTGGTGTCTGGAACCTGACTATCCAGTAACAGACTTCACCAATACAAGCCTCTTTTCTGCATTTCTAAATTTTACCTGTGAGTTAGTCATCTTTGCTGCAGTAACCCATTACCTCAGAATCTCAATGGCTTATGAAAACTGAGTCTTACTCTCCACCTCAAGAAATGTGGGCTAAATGGCAGTGTGGGCCTGAATGTACTCCACATCTGAAATAAATGAGTGTAGACATTCTGTTAGCAGAAGATAAAAGGGAATTGCTGACAGAAGCATGAAATATTTCAGAAAGATTTTGATCCAACCTAGCATTACATCATGTGTGCTTAGATTTCATTAGTCAAAATACATCCTTTGGCTGAGCCTGATAATGCGGCAGGAACCATACTCCCATGGAAAGGTCCCAAAATTCACCAGGCAATGAACAAGGATGTGTAATTCTTTCACATGGAAGGGGAAGCAAATGTCTGGGTAATACAGTGAGCTACGTGTGCTTCTGTTTTCCCGGTCACGATGAAGTCTCTGCCTAGGACTCTCTCCTCATCCTTCCTATTAATGCTCATGGTGCCAATCATTTGGTCTACAACTGCAATTCTGCCTTTTGGACTATGCTCATTTACCTGTAGCTGGAGCTATCTTCACAGCTTTTTTGTAGAAACATCTTTCTCCAGTTTCTACCTTCTTCCAGTGTGTCTCCTTAAGGTAATCATGTCAGGGTTCAGCCAGGATCTAAAACAGAGGTTGCCTGTGGACAAAATCCAGGCTTCTCTCTGTTTTTGTACAGCCCACCCGCGCTGCTCCAGAGGACTAGCATTTTGAGTTGTGGAAACAAAGCTGGGTTTCCCTTTCATCCTGTTCCCCATTCTCCCCAAGGCTTTGCTACCCTGGCCAGTAGCTAAGCCTCACCATTGGTCCACACCTGCCCTAGTTGCCATCTACATGTTGAGGTCTCTGTCACTGGCAACGTCAGGCATGGGGCAATGAAATCTCTGTCTAGAAGTTGGTAACTCACTGAGTCTCCTTGCTCCAACCAGCTTGCCTAGTTAAGAAGGCCAGACTTCCCAAGAGAAGAAAGAGCATGCCTAGATCTGGTTGTCACTGGGACAGAAGCAACTAGGGACAATCTCTTTCAACCCAGGCCGGCATTCCATCTCCTCTGAAGAACGTCAGCCAATAGATGGACCCAAACCATGCTCACCAACCCAGAGGTCTGTGGACCACCCAAGGGAAAAAAGCCAGCAGGGCAAGCTTTGTCTCTGATCTCTCTTGTTATACAGCACTCATAGAGTATCCTCAATGTGGCCTCTTGGCCCACAGATTCAAAATATTTAATATCTGTTCCTTTAGAGAAAAAGTTTGCCAATTGCTTCTCCCAAGTACCATAGGCTCTCCTTTAAAAAGTAAACTTCAAAAATTGTTTCTGAAATTGGTCCCAAAGACTCATTGTGTTTCAATACCCTATCTGGTGCAATTGTTATGAAACAAGTATGAAATAGATTTCATCTAGGGCTGCTGGCTTCTTTTTCATTTTCAACATCTCCTGGGAGAATAGCTCCAGGCCTGTGGAGTCTCTGTCTGTTTTTCTAAGTACTGATTGAGACACAGGGTTTGAAAATGAAGTGGTGAGGAACAACAGAGGCTTTATTTGTGGTTACTAACATTTGCCAAAACAGTTTCAATTTTGTCTGGATTTGCTGAGGACCAAGTGTAGCTCTCCATGAAAGTAAATAATTGCACCAACCTGTCTCGAGGTGTTCTTGCTTCCTGCTCTCACTGGTTGGTTTCTTGGCCATCAATTGGGTGGATTAATCCTTTGCACTGGTAAAATCCCATGACCAGATTCTTGTTTCATTGCTTTCTAGAGAAGGAAATGAGTCTGCAAGGCATAAAAATGAATGGACCTAGTTAAGCTCATATATTTCCTTCAGGATATACCTGTGAGTGAAGAGTGATTGCAAGTGTTGGTGTTGGGTGAGGGCAAGCTTTCTGGCTCATGGAGAGCATCTTCTCACAGTATGCTCACATGGCTCAAGGGGCAAAAGAACTCTTTAGGGCCCTCTTGTAAAAGAGCATTAATCATATTCGTGAAGCTTCCACCCTCCAGACCTAACCATCTCTCAAAGGCCCTGCTTAATACTATCACCTTGGGGGTTAGAATTCCAAAATTCATGTATTGAAATCATATAAATTTTGGAGGAACACAAACTTTCATACCATAGCAGATCCCATCAGAATTTTTGAGACAGTTCAAAGAATGCTATTTCCAGAAAAATTTTTAGTATCCCTCTTCATTATAAGTTAAAAAAAATCACATTTACCATAGGTATCATGCCTGAGTGATTCATTTCCACAATGGCTTTTTATTTTTTTATTTTATTTATTTATTTATTTATTTATTTATTTATTTATTTATTTAATTTATTTTTTTGAGATGGAGTCTCACTCTGTAGCCCAGGCTGGAGTGCAGTGGTGCAATCTTGGCTCACTGTAAGCTCCACCTCCTGGGTTCATGCCATTCTCATGCCTCAGCCTCCCAAGTAGCTGGGACCACAGGGGCCTGCCACCACACCCGGCTAATTTTTTGTATTTTTAGTACAGACAGGGTTTCACCGTGTTAGCCAGGATGGTCTCGATCTCCTGAACTCCAGATCCGCCTGCCTTGGCCTCCCAAAGTGCTGAGATTACAGGCGTGAGCCACCGTGCCCAGCCTCCACAATGGCTTTTTACCCTTTTCTGTTGATCAAAAACTTATTCTTACAACCAGAAATTTCATTAATCAGCCAATCAACTAATCAATAAATTACCTGCTTCTGAGTATTTGCCAAAGTCATTTGTGTGATCTGTCATGCTGGATTTGGGTAGGATGAGGAGGTCTGTATTAGATGTTGTGTGCTGATGTTAGAGGGAAGACGATGGACTAATGCCTGAAGCAGGATTCATTCTGCCTCTGATACAGAAATATCCATCTCCAATCAGTTGAATATTGACCACCTGCTTCACTTGTTTCATGGGTCTCTGGAGAAAATGTCAGGGATAGAGAGCTTATATGCTATTTTCTCCCACTTGCACTGGATACCACTGAACCTGAGGGGCTATTTGGGTATCTAGACAACACTAAAATCTTGGGTGAAATACACAATGCTGTCTGTCAATTGCCTTTTTAAATTGAGGGAATAAGGGTAATCCATGAGTCTTCCAACATTTTGGCATTTATATTTCAGGGTTTGTATGACAAAGCAAACCCCAAGAAGATACATTCAATTTACAATCCTTACCAGCATTTTTAGAGTGCAATTATATTTACTTTTTCCATGTAGTTCTTGTAATTTGGTGTCTCAAACTTTAGTGATGAGGACATAATAACTTGATACATTCCCAGTGCCTGATCTCAAAGTGAAAATGCAATAAATATTCTTAAGCACCTATTGCATGCATTGAATGATGCTATGTCTTGGGCTTACATAGTTAAAGAAGCTGAAGTTTTCTCTATCAAGTAATTAAATGATTCATTGGATAAAGTTAGAAGATCTAGATCTATTCGCAAAGTTTATCTTCCGAGTTATTCTGCACAGGCTGACTTTATTATAAAGGCGACCTTTCACTTTCCAAGCCTTAGTTTCCTTGTCAATGAAATGAAGATAATAGTACCTCCTACCTTAATTAATTGTTGTTGGCTTTAATGATAATGTATATGTTATGTATCAATTCGGCAACTTTCACATTATTGGAACCTGATTAATATCAGGTACTGTTACTAGTAATCATGTTATTAGTAATATTATAGTGATCACAAATGCCATTTTGGTTTTTCAAAAGTATTTAGTAAGAAAAATGTTTCAAAAAAAGATATAAATTTAAAAATATAAAATTATCACCTCCCATAAAGAGAGTTATTTTGAGATTAAAAAAAAAAAGTGCACAACATATTCCAGGAGGGTTAGCACAATGAACTCCTACCAGGTAAAATAGCTCCAATTTCCCGGAGCTTTCACACCTGTTTTTCACAATGGCAAAAAGATTAAGACAGCTCAATCTCTGAATGTGCCAAGTGCTTTTTACTTGGAGGCTGTGGAGCTGGAATGTCAGGAGTTGGGGTGAGGAGTAGTCCAGGAGCCAGGAACAAGTGAGTTCTCCAAAAGTACACACGTCTAAGTGTACCCAATGGCAAACCATTGCTTTCCTGAGCCACATTTTTAGGTTCTTTTCTATCCCACACTCCATCTTCCATATACAAATGCCTGAGAGACAGCACAAGGAAAGGAATGTCAAAATGCAGTGCCTTTACTCCTGGACAGAGTATCTGTCTAGATCTTCCAGTTTCCCTAGCCCGGAAGGCCAGAAAGTAATCCGAAAGATGCTGTCTTCTGTTTTATGAAGCCCAAATCCAGACCTGAGCCACCAGTCTCTGCTTCTTTACTACTTAGTCTTGCCCCAGCCTCTTCCTGTGTCAAAATGGCCTCCCAATATAGAGTTTCTATTTTCTCCCACCATGTGTCTACTTCAAATGATAATTCAAGAGCCTTTCAAGACCAATTGTGTATCTCAGAGGACATCGTTGGACTTCCAATAAGAAACCCATTGAACAGTGCTGGGAACTACTTTTGGTACTCAATGAGTATATGGATGCATTAACACAAAAAATATGAAGGATTAAATTAAAACACGGCCTTATACCCTAATAGGAAGGTAAAACTGAGTTACTTAAGTTCTGTGTTTCTTCAATTACTTTTCTTTAAAACATACTACCCCTTCTCCTGATGAACCTATAGTTTTCTTGTTTCTGCTGGAGCAAATTACCACCAAATTAGTGGCTTATAACAATATAAATATAGTCTCTTAGAGTTCCAGAAGTCACATGACTAATAGCAAAGCATCCTCAGGGCTGCCTTCTTTCTGTAGTCTCTAGGAGACAGTTCTTTTCCTTGTCTTTTCAAGCTTCTAGAGGTCACCTACAATCCTTGATTCTGGGTCTCTTCTTTCATCTCCAAAGAGCATCATTCCAACTTCTAGTTTCATCATATCTTTTTCTGATGTTAACCATATGCCTCCCTCTCATAAAGACCCCTGTAAATTCACTGGGCTCACCAGGATTGTCCAGATGGTCTCTCAGTCTCAATATCCTTAACTTAATCATACCAGCAAAGACTTTTGGCCATAAAAGGTAAGATATTCGTAGGTTCCAGTAGGGTGTGGAGTCCTGCTGGAGTCTATTAGTTTACCTACCAAGGTCCTCTGTCTTATTAGAATTCTGTGAGAGTTACAAAAAATATAAGAATTAATGGTAATTGATTTTTTTTTATTTTGTACACCTATAACCAGAATGGATAAAAGATAAAACATAATTAACCTTTCTCCAACACATCTGAGATTGGAATATGGAAAGAAAAATATGGATTTTGCTTCCAATATTCCCAATACTTTTTTCTCTTAGTCCACAGAAGTGTTTAGAAAATTCTACTTTTAGCCAAGTTGTACGTGTTTACTCTGTCCTTGGAGAATAAGCCCCTGCTTTGGGCTTTACAAGGTCACTGCCCCACTATATGTCTCTGATTCTTATGCATCCTCTGGGGTCCAGAAATGGGCAAATCAATCCACTAAGAACTACATATCTAAGAGAGAATTAAGAAAAAATAAGAAGGTAAAAAAGGAGTTTTATCAGAAATGTTCTGTATTTTCTCTTGTATTGACTGTTGGGAGAAAATGTAAATAATATACTCCTTACCACTGAGTGAAGAAGGCTTGTTTATGCTTGACTCAGTGAACAATACATAATGGTTCAATAACAAATAATAAATATGATGCACAATTTTCATCTCAAATGGGAGGAAACTGTTAGAAATGGAAAAACTCATAAATTATGACTTGAAATACCTGGCCCTGGGCAAATCATTTAACACTTTTGAGTCTTGTGTTTTTCACTTGTAAATTAAAGTCATATTTTCCTTAACTTTCTTATATAGTCATTCTTCAAGTTGCCTAAGAAAGTAAAGAAAACATTTTGTAAATTATAGTAGTTTGGATACCATCTCCTTACTCATGACAGCATGAAATTTGGAGCAATATTCTTCCTTATTGGCCACTCTTGTGGGGTCTCTGAGGTGATCCTCCTGGATCTATTCCCTGGGCACATAGAAGCCATCACTTTGGTTTTTCTAGAACTGAAAAAAATACAACTTCTCTGAAATGAGTGTGTGATTCTCAAATCGAATGCTCCTGCATCATGATTTTAATGTAGAATCAGCAGAGGATGGGAGAGGCTGGGTAGCAAAGCCATTTTAGCCCTTCGTTGGAGTGGTAGCTGCTTTCTTTCCTCTTTTTTTGCTTAGTCATCATCTCATGCTGGGGTATTTTGATAGGCAGAACATGACTTCCAATCTAACTTGGAAGCTCTCTTCCCAAACAATTTGCCATCCTTCTTCCCTTTCGAGAATACATGATAAACATTCAACATTGGCATGCCACGGCACAGGGTGGAGCTCTCTAATCTATGCCTAATGAAAGCTTAGATTTACTCTACATATTCCATTTACTTACTTCATATTTGTTAGGAGTTATTAATTAATAACTCTATTTTCTGATCACCTTCTGGCAAAGTGTTAGAAGTTGGAGCAAGCTGTGTTTGTTCTTTGTTTCGAGTGTCTCTCAGAAAGAAGGGGTGACTATGAACACAACAGCCATGGCAAACTCACAACAGTTTTGGTTAGGTTAGACTGGGACCAAACTCCTTTGCCTTGAAAAGTCCAGCAGCTTGTAACATATGTAAGACTCTTGACTTCTATCTCTAGGGATGTCCCAGCCCTCCTTCCTTATTACCTACCATTCACCTAACAAATATTAAAAGAAGCATGCAATGATACTTATATTTTTGTTTCGGCATTGTCAGATCAAACAATTCTCCAGTAAAGAAATTTCTGTATCTCACTGTTAATAATAATTTTATTGGAAAAAGGGGCAATCTAAATGAGAAATAGCTGAAAATAACCACAGTATCAATATTTCATTTATTTTTTTTAATAATTAAAGTTAAACTTTTAAGGTAGATTAATGAGTAGAAATAACACTGATCTGAAGCAGAAAGTATTTTCGTCTTGATTTAGCTAGTTATTACCATTGCAACATAACACTTGATATTTATAACAGTCTAACCTTCTCACTGGCTGATAATACATATGAAATTAAGTGCTATGTAAGTGCTTTGTAAACTTTAAAATAAAATACAAATATAAAAGACAATTATTAAAAGAGAGTGAAACATGCTGTATGATTGGTTTTCTCCCCGTCTTGTTCCCCTTCCCCAGTCAAGAAAATATTTCTGGACCTCACATTTCACATCCATAAAAAGATGCTTGTAGAAAGTGAAACTAAGGTCCTTTCCATTTCTAACATTAGATCATTCTAAGTGGGTTGGACATTTCATCCAAGAGATTTTAAGGGAACAAAGCACTTTCTTAGTCTAAGAACTTTTCAAAAGAGAACACTTTGAACCTTTCTTATGAGTCATTTCACAGTTGGGGGACACCTTCTAATTTTATTTCCAACCATCACCAATCAATCACTGAAGGAAGGAAAATAACTGGAGTTAGAACTTTTAAAAATCCTTAACAATTCAGCCTAGCAGAAAATATCTCTAAGGTTTAGGGAAATCACTTATTTCCATAAGATTTGGAAATTCAGACTGTCCACTAAGTTGAGAGCATTTAAGGGCAAATGCAACTGAACAATTTGCCAGAAAAGTATATAAATAAGATATCATAACTGCTTCCCTTAAGAGATCATAATCAGCCCTAATTATAGCAGAATTATCCTCATCCTTGTCCTAAGGCAACTTTAAAGAAGGCATAAGGCTTCCAAGAACGCATTTAACAACACCTCCATTAATGTTATAGATAAGGAATAAGATTTAGAAAGATGAAGTGACTTATCCAAGGTCATACAGCAATTCAGCAAATGGAACAAAATTAGATACCAGTTATAACTCCAATTCTAGTACTGTTTTCCTATATAACATCTTTAATGGGAAATTGCATTTCTGGAAGATCCATATTCCCCATGCCTCAGAAATTGAATAGTAGCCAAAACCCCACATCTTAGAGTTTCCTGAGCAGCGGGTTTTGAATAGTCTGACTTGATTAAAAATGCTTTGGTGATATCTCTTCTCATGATGTGAATTTGGGGTAATTATAAATTATAGTTCATTGATTGATAGATCTCTTGTGTATACTGCAGAATTACAGAGAGCAGCTGCCTTCTAACCTTAGACTTTGGCTCTCCCACTGAACAACCCGGAGATCTTATATAAATTAGAAACTGTCATTTCCAGTTCTCATATCAAGCTAGTTATACTTGATATTGAAAGTGCAAATATTAGAAGGGACCCCAGAACTTTCTATCAGTTTTCTCACTCATGAGTCCCTACCCAACTCCTTCAAATCCTGTGATAATGATGTTGACACAAGTTATCGGACCTCAATGATTCTTAAGAGGCTCAATTCAGGATGCTGCTCAGTTCCTAACACTCTTCACTACTTTAGGAATGAGTTGTAGTGAAATAATGACCTCTACTTATGACTTCCCATAGTCTATTTTTCAGAATATCAGACCTGGAAAAAGAAATTTCTACTGTACCAAGGGGCATCAACCTTGTTATAACCAAGCAACTCTCTTTTAGTTTTGCGGAGAATTTTACATACGACTTTTAGAAACCAAATGTCTACCAAAAAAACTGCATTTATTCTATAATGGTTGACTCTTTTTAATTTCCATTTGTTATTGGGCAAATAAATATATAACAGCAATCAGCATGCTCTTGCCATTTGTAACCATTTCAGCCAACTTAACATTCCAGTAAATTTGTGTAATTTCATTGAGAGGTAATGCATAATATCCATCTTAGTATTAGACATATTGAAAAGTTGAATAGGGCTTCTCATATTACTATTAGCAAGTCTGAAGAATTCCTGCTAAAACTAGGAATTATGTCCCTACATCTCCTAGAGTTGAGAAAGTCGACTATGTTCTGATACTTCACGGAAAGACCTAAGTAGATAACTGGAATATATTCAGAATAAAAGAAAAAAAATTAAATACCAGGAAGAAACTGAGATATTCAGGTTTTACTCATTTTTAATTAGACTATACACTTTCAGGTGAAACACAGTTTCTTGGTTACATTTTGTGGGGGTGTTAATGCATTCTTAACTTATGATGAGTCAATAGTATATTTTAGGAAAATGTTGAAATTGTCTCCAGTAAAACTTGGGAACTTGGAGAACCCTGCGGTTTGAAGAGTCTTCTTTTAGAACTCCTGCCTCTAACCATATGGGTTGCTGAGTAATATATATTTTTATGAAGACAGCACATACTATATAACCATTTCAATTCTGGTAAAAATGAAGTGACTAACTCTTCACAGTCATACATAAGCAGCATTTAAAAGTCCTGTGCTCGCTCTGAGGGGCTTAGTTCTGCAACTCCAGGAAGCCCCTCAACATCTTCAGGACAGTTTCTCCATCTATCAAGTGAAAAGTTGAACTAAATTCATTTGAACACTTTAGGAAATCTGTACAGTCCTTTGCAGATCTAATGTTTTCAGAGTCACAGGTCTATATATTTTGTCCTCCAAATTTGGTTTTTCAGACATCACAATTCTTGCTTTCTGGAGCTGAAAATCATTTGACAAGCAAATATTATCAGTTATACAGTGTTTCACTTTATTTCATGTGTTTATGTATTCATTCCTTCACTCAATCATTCAACAACGTTTTATTAAAAACCTACTCTTTGCCAGGTACAGAGCTAGAAATTACAGACAAAGGAATTGTAAAGTCACAGATGCTGTCTTCAAGTAGCTTAGGAATAGTAGTTATTAACTCAAGTAATCAGGTAATTACAGTGGAATGTGTTAAGAGCCCTAACAGAAAGTCACTGGTGCAGGTGATCTACATGGTAGACACACTTACAGCAGGAAGGAAATCCCAGGAAAAAAAAAAGTGAGTCTCAAAGATGAATACCAGTTAGTTAGATGAAGAAGGGATATGTGTCATGGACACAGCCATACAGATATTGAAGGAAATGGTGAGAAGTTTACTGAAGTTGAAGGGTAAGGTGTGTGATGGGCAGGAGGGAAGTATTGGCTGAATACAGAGCTAAGGAATCAGACAAGGCATCTTGGGGTTAGAAGTGACTTTGACTTCCAGCTTAAATCAGAGGAATTCCAGCTTAAAGCTGAGGAATCAGACATGGCATCTTGGGGTTAGAAGTGAATTTGGCTTCCAGCCTAAATGTAATGAGGAATCATTAGAAATTTTAAGTGCATAGTGGGCTGACATGTCATATTTGTATACTGAACAGATCACTTGGGCTGCAAAAGAAAGGTAAAAAAAAAAAAAAGGGAGGAAAGAAGGAGAAGGGAAAGAGTGGTTGACAGCAGAGAAATTCATTATAAAGCTTTTGCTGAAATTCAAGAGAACGATTGAATTTAACAGCTGCAGGAAAAAATAAAGCCTTGAAATTTGAGATATATTAAAGGAAAATAATGGATAGAACACAAGGACACTAAAGGGTGAATGTTACAGTTAAACTCTTTGGATCTAAAACCTAGTCTCAAATCACCTTATAAATTAGAGCAAATATAATTGACCACATATTAAGCTTGTAGATATCCACAGCTGCACTTTGCATCTTTCTCTGTGGTCCTTCTACTGAGTTTTTAATGATTGGGAAAAAGCAGCATGACAAAAATCGTTTACTGAATGAAAATATTCCCAATCCCCATTAGACAGTATGTAATGAAATGTTCCAAATGGAGGATTACAAGGAAAAAACATAAATGACCGTAAGTCCAAGGGGAATCAACTCTTCTTTCCAGATTATAGTCAACTTTAATAAAGAAACTTAATAAGCTCATGCATTCCTGCCAGCTTTAGACATGGCTACTGCTGATCAATAGTATTTATTTCTAGAGAGAAAGGGGGCTAGGGAGGATGTCAGAGCAGCTTGTTGATGCTAAAACATGCGAGTAATGACACAGTGTGGTGGATAATGAAGATTTGATAGAGGAAACAGCCCAGCAAGCCTGTCTTTGGCTCGGAATATCAAACTGTGTGCCTCTCCTCCAGATCTTATTAACACCTCTTATTCTAACAACTGGGTTTTGAGCTTCATGTCATCTCAAAGGAAAACTAAAAAGAGAAAGCTGTTTATTTTTCCCTGGGTTTATGATTCTAAATAAAACCTAAAGCTTTGAATTTGGAAATGAAAGTTTTTTCTGAGATACATTTCACCTAACAGGAGGATGAACTTACAGATAATCAGAGTTGTCTCTCAATAACACAATCTGTCTTGAGAGAGAGAGACTGATTTTCTTTTCTTTTTTTTAAATTTGACTTAATAAGTTCTGGGATACATATGCAAAACATGCAGGTTTGTTGCATAGGTATACACGTGCTATGGTGGTTTGCTGCACCTATCAACCTGTCATCTACGTTGTAAGCCCCACATACATTAAGCATCTGTCCTAATGCTCTCCCTTCCCTTGCCCCCCAACCCCAGCAGACCCCAGTGTGTGATGTTCCCCTCCCTGTGTCCATGTGTTCTCATTGTTTAACCCCCACTTATGAGTGAGAACATGTGGTATTCAGTTTTCTGTTCCTGTGTTAGTTTGCTGAGAATGATGTTTTCCACCTTCATCCATGTCCGTACAAAGGACATGAACTTATTCATTTTGAAGAAATTTCTAAGTGAAAAAGAATTCAAGTTCCAGCATTATCGCTTACTACTTTTGTACCTTCAAAGCAGAAACTTAATCTGAGTTTGTCTTTTCATCTCTATAAAGAAAATGTTGATACTGCTTCCCACTTTGTTGTGAGTCTTAATGAAATGATGCAAACTAAAATGTTTTGTAAATTGTTATGACTCATGCACAAGTAAAGAGTTATTGTTTCTACAGCTTGTATATGAAAAAAAAAAATTTTTTAAAGTCATTGGGATTCTCACAATCAAGCTACCAATTAAATTCCCAAGGGAGCAATGCCTTTGAAATGTGGACAATATTTTTCTTATACAGAGCCATGTTCCATAGTAGTCTCAAGAATGCAGTAGAGAAAGAAAATATAGGAAAGAAAAACGGGCATTGCTACTTTTTCTTTACCTTTCTGAAGATTTCTGAAAAAAAAATCTAGAGATAAAGAATCACAGTAAAAGGGAATTCTGGTTATAGATACTAGTAAAATAAAAGAGAGAAATGTCATAACCCAGGTAAATCAACATACTGGAGGAATCCAGTCTAAAACTAGAAGTAACCTTAATGTCATTCCCTTATTTTCACAATTAGACTTTAAGATACTAGTAAAGTGTTTCTAGTGGCAAAGGCTAGAGAAGAAAGGTCTAAGATAAAATAAATTATCTAAGGCAAGGTAGAGTGAGGAAATTTTATGGCTGATGATCAGAAAAAGTGTTATTGTACAAATAGAGAAAAACTTCAAATAACCAGAAATTTCAATCAGCCAGAAATTATTTTACTTCACAATATATTTATGTAGAGATATTAGCAATAAAAGAGAATATACCAGATTACAGTCTGGGTCTCATGTCACCCTCATTCCAGGTTTCTAAATCTTCTATAGAACTGAAGCAATTGTATTTTTTTCATGAAGTCTTTCTTGATGCCAGAAATTGTTTTCTTCTCTTGTCTCAGAGACATGATTCATTGTTTCATCCCTCTCTAATGATCTGTATTCAATCCTGCCTATCTCTTTAAGTATGTGTACATTTCATTCATTTGGTCATTGACTCAAAACATTTTACCACACATATTCTATTATATCTTAGAATATCCCTATACCATATTGAGGCATAGAGAGGATATATTGCTTAGGAGAAGATTAAGGTATTTGTTCAACCAATATTAGAGGTGTACTGAGAGACACATAGGTTGTGGTAGAGAAACAAGGTCAATTCTATTTAGGGTGATAAGAGATCATAAAATGTTATACAAAAAAAGGTGGTATATGAGAGATACAAGGTATCTTAAAAGCTAAGTGTTAGTCAAGGAAGTTTGTATAGAGGTAGAAAACTTCTTGGAGAAGGAAAAAACAATGGAATTACTTCAGGCATTGAATGAGAAACATCTATGTGATTAGAAACTGCAAGAAATTAGATGGTGACTGATAAAAGAGAAAAGGCTGAAAACAAGGATTATGACATATAATGGGGATTTTGAACGTCATGTTTAAGAATTTAGGGTTTAAAAATGACAGACATGAGTGGAGTCCACCAGGAAGGTGATCTGATTTGTATTGTGAACATGGCAACCTACACCAAATGGATTGGAAGGAGAGCAAAACGAGTGCATGTGTGTATGTGCCTGTGTATGAAAGAGGGAGAGATTGAGGAGAAACGAGAGAGATAGGAAGCAATGAACCAGTTAACAGGTTATTGTAATACAGGTAAGAGCAAGAGCTAAAAGTCATATCTATGCATGAGTTGTGAATAGAAACTACAGGGCTAGGTAACAGATTGGATTGATTATAGAAGAGCATATGAGAGAAGAAGGGTGCCAGGATGACTCCAAAACCTCCAGTGAGGTAGCTGCCTGGTTCTTGGTGGCAGTCACCACAGGCAGGAAATGCAGAAAGAAGAGCAGACATTCCTTCTACCTGTGCAGATCTTATGTGCTATGAAGCTCTCAAATGGAGCAATCTCTCAGGCAGCTGGATGTTGAGGTCTGGTGCTCAGGGAGTTTGGGCTGAGAAAACAGATTTGCAAATCATCAGCATTTGGCTGAATTTCAAGTTATAAAAGAGGCTCTATGAGGAGGCTGAAGGGTAAGACAAATGCCAAGACAGACTTCAATGTAAAGTATCAGAGTAAAAAAGAAGACCGGGCAAAGGAGCCATAACCAATGTCAGAGACAGGAGGAGAATCAGAAGAGATACACGAAACATGGAAGAATGAATCAAAAAGAGTTGCAAATGGAGTCAAGTTCATCAAAGAGGAGCTTAGAAAAGGACGAAAAAGTGCTCTACGGATTTGGCAATTACAAAGCCCCCGATGGTATCGAATGAGGGTGTTCTGGAGGAGGGAGAGCCAAATGCAGATGAGTAAACACTGGATCCACATTCAGGGTATGGAGACCAGGGTTTGATGAAGGAGCTTGTATGTAAAGGGGAGAGATGAAATGGCATCTCACAGGGAATGGAATGTTAAATAAAGGATATTTTAAGAGACATTTGTGATGTTCCCAGTCCACAAATAAGAAGCCAGCTGACTGACAGTGTTTAAAATAAAGGAAAGAAATGTCAGAACCAAGGTAAATCAACATTCCAGAGGAACCCAGTCTAAAAGTAGAAGTAGTCTTAAACAGAGTCATTGCCTTATTGTCGCAAGTAGATTTTAAGATTTCTGAAATTTAACTCTTTTTACCTTCAGTCACCAGAAACACTTCTTAGTATTCAGAAAACATATGTCACATTTGATGAAAATTATACTAAAATCAGTATAAATGACACTCAGATATTTAAATCAATAGAGAATTTGTATGTTCTTGTTACTTTATTGAATGGTGTGAAGAAATATGCCCACAATTTTTAGAAAGCCCCATTTTCACATCAGTTTATTTAATGGCTGCTGTATTGTAATTATAGTAGCCACTGCAATTACATAATTGTAAGTGTTGCCTACAGATAAAATTGTATAATGGGCCAAATACACCCTTGGAACGAAATCCTACATATGTGAAAGGCACCTGAGTAAAAGGCCATACAGCTGACAATTCACACATATGCCTTCATAGTCACTTGTATTTAAGAACAGTTGTTATTTTATTTCACTTAAAAAGTTGAAAAAAACTATCTGCCTCCAAACTGACATGTTCTGAAAGTGAAACGTGATACTTGAATAAAAGAAAAAGGCTACTTCATTAGCTCATTAGGGGAGCTTTTATTAGTTGTTTTGTTTGTTTGTTTGTTTCTTTTCAGTTTTCCTTTTTTTCCCTATGCTTCAGTAAATTACTGGGTTAACTCTTTGAGTGTATATAATGGCTCATTTACTCTCCCAGGATGCAGTATTATCAAGGGCAGGAATCTGGCTGAAACGGTGACATTAGAGACTGATGGCATAAAGTAGGTGTTGTGCAAATTCAGGAATTCTGAACATAAGTCACCTGAGAAACAAAGAAGGTAATTGAGAAGTCAAGGAAAGGCATCTAGATATTGAAAGGAGCCAACACTGCAGAAATATCAAACGTAAATAAATTTCTTTCTCCCCATGTGAGCTTGGCCAGAATATCTTCTCTTCTAAGTCTATGTAGAAAAATAATTGAATCTATAACATATTCAGTTGAATATTACATATAACGAATATATAATAATTTAATATATAAATGAATATATGAATCATTGAATATATAAATAAGTAAATATATAAAGGACTATATATATCATATCTGTGTTTTTATTATCAGACTAAATTTATATGGCACTTTATTTAATGTAGATCAGTACAGGCCACTTAAAGTTCTAACATATATCAACAATGCATTTCCTCCAGATCTATATACTCTAACAGACTGAATTGTGCATCCACCCCACCCCCAGTCTCTACGTTGAAATCCTAACACCCTAATGTGACTGTATTTGGTAATAGGGCCCTGAAGGCGGTAATTAAAGTTAAGTCACAAGGGTGGGACCCTAATCCAATAGGACTGGTGTCCCTATAAAAAGATGAAGAGATACCAGAGGACTTGCTTGTGTTCTCTCTCACTTTCTCTCTCTCATTCTAGGAATGCATAGAAAAAAGGTTATGCAAAAACACAGAGAAAATGGCCATAGACAAGTTGGAAAGTTGATGGAGTGGGATGCATTGTGATTCCAAACAAAAATGCATGACAATGGGCAGGAATGTATAGTGCTCTAGCAGGGAAGTGGAGAAGGAGCTAACTGTAAATGGCAACATAACCTGCCCCAAAGTTCTTACAAGGATTGCCAGACATAACACTTTCTCATGTTACATTCTTGTTACTATTTTAGTAAGAGCTCAGATCAGATACTATCCCTTCTTAGGAGCCCTTCATGACACATCTCTACCTACCCAGGACCCCTAAAATGGTGAGTTACTCCCCGCTATAATAAAGTTTTTCATTCATACATGCTGCTTTGCAGTTCTCTTCTGTTCATGTTTTTTTCTCTTCCTTGATTTTCAGCTTCAATATTCAATGACTGCCGTATTGTTTTTCTGGATGTTTAAAACTTTAAAAAGATTATAGGTGACACCAAAGGGAAATTATTTTACTCGTTTTAACATTTATTCTCCAAACACTCATGGCTCCACCAATAATGCTATGAGGCTTCACGTGACCTGAGAGGATGTGGCTGAAGTAAAATAAATGTTCTGGAATACACAGGGTACGGGAAATTCCCAGAAAGGTTATTGGTCAAAGCCTTCTGATAGGCTTTTTCTTAAAACCAGGTTCAAATAAGTAATATCTAGGGATTTGACAATTTACTTGATAAATACAGCTTAGACCTAGAGATTCTGGAGTTAAAAAGCTGTAAGGTAGCTGGGGTATCATTCTCAATTCTTTTGTTTGTTGTTTTTTAATTAAAAAAATTGTGGGTACATAGTACGTATGTATATATATATTTATGGGATACTTTAATATATCCCATAATGGGATATATTAATATGGGATATTACTACATCCCATATATATTTTAATATGGGCATGCAATGTGAAACAAGCACATCATAGAGAACGGGGTACCTATACCCTCAAATATTTATCTATTGAGTTGCATACAATGGAATTACACTCTTTAAGTTATTTAAAAATGTACAGTTAGGTTATTCTTGACTATAGTCAGCCTGTTGTGCTATCAGATAGAAGGTGTTATTCATTCTTTCTATTTTTTTGTACCCATTAACCATCTCCACCTTCCTCCCAAACCCCACCACCCTTCCCAGTGTCTGGTAACCATTCTTCTTCTCTCTGTTCATGAATTCAATATGTTATCATTCTCAGTCTCTATGGAAAAAACACAGGTAGAGAGTAGATACCTTCAATCCTACTTTCCTAAGGGTTTTCTAATTGTGTTGGGGTGGAACAGGTGTACTTCGTTTTGAACTAAACTAAATTAACCCAATTTCTTCTGGGTCACTCTTTTATATACAGGCCTGACCTACTTTATGAATTCTGACAACAGTCATGAGTGAATGTGTATGCACCTATGCAGTTTGTATGTGGAGGGGGAAGTAAACTAACATTTACCGAGTCAAGATTCATGGCAAATAATTGTATTTATTTGGGGGACAAGACTAGGGAAAAGCAAATGAGACACTTGCTTTAAGCTCAAAATTTAAGGGGGTGCCAAAAAACTCAGTAATCACAACAAATCATAGTTTAGTGCAATATTTTTAAAAAATCAAATCAAGGCCAGGCTTGGTGGCTCACACCTGTAATCCCAGCAGTTTGGGAGGCTGAGGCGGGTAAATCATGAAGTCAGGAGTTTGAGACCAGCCTGGCTGACATGGTAAAACCCCATCTCTACTAAAAATACAAAAATTAGCCAGGCATGGTGGCCGGTGCCTGTAATCCCAGCTACTCGGGAGGCTGAGGCAGGAGAATCACTTGAACCTGGGAGGCGGAGGTTGCAGTGAGCCGAGATTGCACCATTGCACTCCAGCATGGGCAACAAGAGCAAAACTCCATCTCAAAAAAAAAAAAAAAAAATCAAATCTAAATTAATGAAAAGATGTGTGGTAAACAAAATATAATTTTAAATAAAAATAAGATCAGTATTACTGATTTTTCTATTTTCCTCAGGTTCCAATTATGACTCAGTGGAGCACTGATGTGTGTAATCTTATTCAATCTCAAGATGCCTTCAAAATGGTTCTATTGAGCTCATTTTACAGTGAAGGAAATAGCTCTTGAGGATTTTATTGGTCAGTATCCCACAAACTGAAACCAGAACACAATCCTAACTCTCATTTTGGTGTCCTTTGCTGTACTCTGTGATAATCCTGCTTTAGTGACACTATGGGTCAGGTCAATACAACACTCTATCAATTAAAATGTTCATTCATTTAACCCTTTATTTTCACACCATGGGCAAAGCCATTGTGTTATTTACATCTAAGAAACTGGCATTTTATTTGCACTCTTTTCTCTAAAACACAGAGAAAATAAGCACATTATAATCCTACCACCTGAAAAGGCAAAAATTTCCTGGCTTATCCATAGAAACAGCCTCACCTGACAGCAGGAAAGTAACTGTGTAGATGTACACATTAGGATTACCTGGAGGACAGAGGAAAAATCTGAGACCGATTTCTAGGGCTGAGGCCTCCCTGATAATCAGGACCTCAGGCCTAGCCTACAGTCTCTGTCTTCTCTGTATGAGAAAAAATTCATTCATCCAGAGGGCTGGTAATGTTTAGACCATCTGTGAAAAAGAACATTCCTGCTTGTTTTCTGTTTTATTTTCTTTACAACAAAAAATGAATATGCATTGATTGTAACAACTAAAACATTCTTTTGTAGAAGCAAAAGTTAACCATCTCTCCCTGCTTTCATCCATTCCCTGCCCACAGAGGTAACCAATTAAATACGCTCTTAAATAGCCTTCCATAATGTTTCCTTAATCACACAAGCTTACACAGAAATATATGCCTTATGTAGAGTTTTGGTTTTGACTGAATATTTTTACCAAAATGGGATCATATTGTACATGATTGTCCAATGTGCTTTTTTAAGTTAATAATACATTTTTGTTGTGGCAAAATGTTACAATAGATGCATCTGAATGAGTGGTGTATGAGTGTACATCACACTATTATTGTAGCTTGTTTTTGGATTTAAATTATTTCTTAAACAGAGGGAAAATAAAGAGATAGAAGAGACCTCAAAGACACAGGTTTTATAAAAATGTCTTTTCATGAAATAGATACTGGCAAAGAAAGAGAAAACCAGAGGCAAAAAAAAGGATTAGAGAAACTAAAAGGATAGCAGAAAGCTGTGCAATATGCTAATGACTTCCCTTGGAAATTACTAACATTTAATAAAATTGTATCATTCTCATACATGAATAAAAAACCATATATATATGTGCACATATAATTGCTATTATTGATGTGTGGATGTGTAGAATTGACCTCTTTGTAAAACAGAAATAGATCTAATTTATTAGATTTAATAGCTGCACAATATCCCATGGCATGTAAACACCATATTTACTTCCATCATTTCCCTTTTTTAGAAATAAAAGTTAAATCACCACATTTTGTGCTTTTATTTACATAGATTTGGGGATATTTTGTTTATTGGAAAACCACATAACGTTGCAGTGAATATTGCTGGCCTTGGAATGTTCTTATATATCAGAGGGGGACAACCACCAATGTGACTGTGGTAAGATGAGAACTAAAATTGATGTGCAAGGCAAATCAGCAAGAAGATGAAATCTAGAAAACTGGGACTTGAGCCTGTGTTTGAAAGATAGGTAGTGCTGTGCCAGGTGACCATGGTACTAGGGAGTGCCAGACTGGAGATTAAGAGTGTGTACAGAGAGAGCTTGAGCAAAGGCCTGGAGGGAAAGGAACACAGGACCTGATCAGGACTGCTGAGCAAATATGGCTTCAGCTGATGATATACTCAAAATGGAGGGAAGTAAGGTGAATTAAATGGATTGGAGCTCAACTGCAGGATAAAATTGCACCTTTTTTAAATTACCATGTCCAGAAAAGGTGTCAAGATGGTATAATTTAATAATTCTACTCAGTAAGCATTAACAACTCAAATTTTAATTAGGAGGAAACTGGGAAGCTGAGAGGTTTAAATAGCTTGATCATGTGAACTAGGCCAGACCACACAGTCTGAAGTGGGCTAAAGACTGGCCAAAGTGAGTTCTAAGCCTCAGTTCAAGGTGGCTTTCATGCTGTTTCCTGTAGAACTAGCAAATAAATGGTGCAAACATTACACATAACAGAGAGAAGACTCCCTCTTATTTGTAGTGAAGCATTTGAACTTCATTGATCAATATAATGCTTGCAGAGAGTGAGTCCATATGGTTAGAGGGCCTGAGGTCATAGATCCTGTGTTTTATAACATAGGCTAGGGAAGGTGTCACATCAGCGCTAAAGGTCGCTTATGAATTTCTCATCACATAGGGATTACATAACTCTGCGCTCCATTTGTTTCTGTGTTATTGGGCCTATAGCAGGCATGGTCTAGGTCTGCCTGGACCACAGGAAGGAATTGCAGCTAGTAGTTGATAAAACTAAGATTTCAATCTTTGTCTTTTGAAGTCAAAGTGTCGTACTGTTTCCACAGCATCTTCCCTACTTCGTGGAGCTAGTGCAATAAAAATGATATTACAGACATTAAAGAACCAATCAAACATTAGAATAAATTAGTGACATAATTCCATCCATATTTTAGACAGATCATTTTGGCCATCACATATATGATATTCTAGAGTAATACAAAACTAGAGACAGAAAAAACCTACCAGAAAACTATTCAGAAATTTCAGGCAAGAGAAGACAGGGCCTAAAATATGGCATTGACACTCACAGTGGAAAAGCAGGAATGGGCTTATTTCTGGTCCAAATGGCAAAGCTTTGCAACTTACTGATTGTGAGGCATGAAGATGAAAAAGAAAATGAAGACATTTCAAGTATCGTAATATTGAATAGACTGGATAATGACAACGTGACTGAGAAAAATTATGATCTGTAACTAGGAAATTACTGATCTTTTATTTTCAAGCTTCCCAGCTTACGTAGCCTGAAGCAGCTAAGGCCGTGCATGATAGCAGTTCAGCAGGTGTCTCTCTATGTGCGACTCTGTGCCCCTTCAGATAATAACCTTCCTTAACTTTGAAATCAAATGTATTTGTGTTGACCTCAGTTTCATGTGCTATCCTATCCTTCTCCCATGAAAGCCCCAAGATATTCCTTGAATTCCATAGAATAAGTTTGACCATTCTGAAAAAATCTACTTATCATATTTGGTAATGGTTAATATTGATTGTCAACTTGATTGGATTGAAGGATGCAAAGTATCGTGCCTGGGTGTGTCTGTGAGGGTGTTGCCAAAAGAGATTAACATTTGCCTCAGTGGCCTGGCAGAAGCAGACGCGACCTCAATCTGGGAGGGCACCATCTAATCAGCTGCCTGCACAGCTAGAATAAAGCAGGCAGGAGCAGATAGAAGACCAGACTTGCTGAGTCTTCTGGCCTTCATCTTTTGGACCTACCCCAGCGGTTTGCCAGGGGCTTTTGGGTCTTTGGCCACAGACTGCAGGCTGAACTGTTGGGTTCCCTACGTTTGAGGTTTTGGGACTCAGACTGATCCAGTACTGCTTTCCTTGCTCCTCAACTTGCAGATGACATATTGTGAGACTTTACCTTGTGATTGTGTGAGTCAATTCTTCTTAATAAACTCCCTTTACATATATGTGTATATATATATATATATATATACACATAAAAATATATATACTATTATATATATAATATATATACATACTTATATATAATAGTGTATATATATATAATATATTTGTATATACTATTAGTTCTGTCCCTCTAGAGAACCATGACTAATACATATTTAGAAGTTGTAATATGTACTTCTTAACCAGGCAATGCAATGCCCTCCATAGTTGCCCCCTACTTACTGTCTGACCTCATCTCTTGCTTGCATGTTCACTCACCTCCTCTTCCCCAACAATAGCAAATAAAACAGTTTCTGTGACACATCATTTGCACATTCCATGTCTCTGCTTTTACTTTTAATGCTCTCTCTGGACAGCCTATTTCTCTGAGGTATGATTGATGGTGCGGTGGGTAATCTTCCTAGAAACATAAATACTTCAAGACTTATTTTTCTCAAGAGAGTTTTCCTAATGTTAGCCTTCTCCAGGAAATACTAAGCACTCCCTTTAGAGCACACTCTGTTACTTTACACTTCCATCTCTCTATCAGTTATGCTTCACTGTGTGTATGAGTTACACGTTTCCCTCCCTGTCCAGCAGGTATAGTATTAGGCCTGTTAGCCTGTTCATTTTCTGGAAAAGCATACTGCTTAGAAAATAATTATTCTTTTATTTCTAAAGCATTTGTTGTACTATCTCCTCTTTGATTTATTATTCTATTTATTTGAGTTTTTTCTCTTTTCTTCCTGGTCTAGCTAAGAGTTTGACAATTTTGTTTATCTTATTTAAAAACCAACCCTTCGTTTTGTTGATTTTTTATATTGGTTTTCTATTCTGTATTTATTTATGCTCTTATCTTTATAATTTCCTCCCTTTTGTTAATCTTGGGCTTAGTTTGTCCTTCTTTTTCTCATTTCTTAAGGTATATATTGTTTATTTAGCATGTTTTTCTTTTGTCAATGCAGGCATTTTTTCTATAAACTTCCTTCATACTACTTAATACTGCTTTTGCAATGTTTCCCTTAAGTTTTAGTATATTGTGTTTTGTTTTACTTTCATTTCTCTCAAGATTGTCAAAATTCCTTTTTGATTTCTTTTTTGACCTAATTGTTGTTGAACAGTGTGTTGATTAGTTTCCATGTGCTTGTGAATTTTCCTTTTTTTTGCAGGGGGCGGCTGTCACTGATTTCTAGTTTCATTTCATTGTCCTTGGAAGAGATACTTGGCTTGATTAATCTTCTTCAATTTGTTAAGATTCTTTATGTAGACTAACATGTAATCTATTCTGGAGAATGTTCCATTTGAGTTTGAAAAGAATGTGTATCCTTTTGTTATTGGGGAGAAAGTTCCATATATATATATGTTATGCCAATTTAGTCTATAATGTTGTTCAAGTCTGCCATTTATTTGTTGACTTTATATCTGTATGTTCTATCAATTATTGAAAATGGGATATGTAAGATTCCTACTATTATTGCATTGCTGTCAACTTCTGTCTTCAGATCAGTCAATATTTACTTTACATATTTTGCTGCTCTGATGTTGGGTGTATATATATATATATATTTATAATTGTATCTTTTTGTTGAAGTAAAATTTTATTAATTTTTAATGGCCTTCCTTTTCTCTATAAACAATAGTCAAGGCTTAAAATCAATTTTGTCTGGTATAAGTAGAGACATTCCTGCTTTTTTGTTGTTTTGTGTTTTTCGGGTTTTTTTTTTTTTGGTTACCATTTACATGGAATATCATTTTCTCAATCTCTTCACTTTCAGCCTGTGTCCTTAAAGCTGAAGTGAGTCTCTTTTAGACAGCATATAGCTGAATCTTAGTATTTTTATCCACTCAACTACTCTATACCTCTTTATTCAAAAGTTTAATTTATTTTCATTTAAGGTAACTGTTGATAGGAAAAGATTTACCATTGCCATCTTGTTAACTGTTCTCTGTTGTGTAGTCCCTTTGAATTACAAGAGACTATTATGAATAATTATATGCCAAAAATTTAATAAGCTAGAATAAATTGGTAAATACCTAGAAATGTAACCTACAAAGACTGAATCAAGAAGAAATAAAAATACTAAACAGGTAATTAATAAATAAAGAGCTTGAATCAATAATCCAAAACTTTCAACAAAAAGGCCCAGGACCAGATGGCTTCATGGGTGAATTCAAACAACCATTCATAAAAGATTTAATACCAATCCTTCTTTAACTCTTCCAAGAAAACAGATGTAGAGGGAAAACTTCCAAACTTATTTTATGAGGCCAGCAACACTCTGATTCCAAAGCTAGGCAAAAATATTATAAGAAAAGAAAACTACCACCCAAATCCCTAATGAACAATGATGCAAATATCCTCAGTAAAGTACTGGCAAACAAAATTCAACAGCACATTAAAAGATTTATATGCCGTGATCAAGAGAAATTTATCCCTGGGTTGCAACAGTGGTTCAGCATATATAAATCAGTTAATGTGATATATCACATTCACAGATTAAAAGCAAAAAACACATATATACCTCAATAGATACAGAAAAATATTTTTTAAACTCAACATCCATTAATGATAAATAATATTTAACAAAATAGGTATAAAAAACTTACCTCAATACTAACATAATAATTAATAGACAAAGAAGCCTGAAAACTTTTTCTCAAGGACCCAGTAGAAAACAAGGATTTCGGCCGGGCACGGTGGCTCACACCTGTAACCCCAGCACTTTGGGAGGCCGAGGTGGGTGGATCACGAGGTCAGGAGATGGAGACCATCCTGGCTAACATGGTGAAACCCCATCTCCACTAAAAATACAAAAAATTAGCCAGGTGTAGTGGCTGGCACCTGTAGTCCCAGCTACTCGGGAGGCTGAGGCAGGAGAATGGCGTGAACCCAGGAGGCGGAGCTTGCAGTGAGCTGAGCTCATGCCACTGCACTCCAGCCTGGGTGACAGAGTGAGACTCCATCTCAAAAAAAAAAAAAAAAAAGGATTTCTGCTCTTGCCACTTCTATTCAACAGAATATTACAAGTCTTAGCCAGAGCAATCAGACAAGAAAAAGAAATAAAAGGTACCCAAATACAAAAGAAAAAATCAAAATTATATATATGTAGAGGACATATATATATATAATTAAACATATGCAGAGGACATAAATTATATATATGTAGAGGACATAAATTATATATATGTAGAGAACAAAATTATATATATGTAAAGGACATATATATATAAAATATATATATATAATATATATGTAGAGGACATGACAAACCATATGGTTTTCTATATGTAGAAAACCGTAAGGAATCAATAGCAGCAAAAAGCCTGTTAGAACTTATCATTGAATTCAGTAAATTTGCAAATACGAAATCAGCATACCAAAATTAGTGTCATTTCTATACAATAGCAGTCAACTATTTTAAACAGAAAACTTTAAAATTCCATCTGCAATAGCAACAAAAAGAATAAAATGCTTAGAAATGAACTTAACCAAAAAGGCTAAAGATTTATACACTGAAATTTATAAATATTAGTGAAGGAAATTAAAGAAGACACAGATGAAAAGATACCACGTTCATGCATTGAAAGAATTAATATTGTTAATATGTCTATACTATGCAAAGTGATCTACAGATTAAACAAATTATTCATAAACATCCCGTGACATTCCCTACAGATATAGAAAAACAGATGCTAAAATTAATATGGAACTGCAAAAGATCTCAAATAAACAAAGCAATTTTGAGCAAGAACAAAACTAGAGGCATCACACTTCCTGACTTAAAAATATATTACAATTCTACAGTAATGAAAAAAATACATAATACTGGCATAAAAACAGACATACAGACCAATGGAACAAAACACAGAGCCCAGAAATAAGTCTACTTATTTATGGTCAACCGATCTTTGAGAAGAGTATCAAGAACACACAATGGAAAGGAATGGTCTCTTCAGTAAACAGCTTTGGGAAAATTGGATATCTATATGCAGAAGAATAAAACTGGACCCTTATGCAGTAGTTCCCACTTATTCAACATTTTGCTTTCCACAGTTTTAGTTATCCACAGTCAACTATGGCCTGAAAATATTAAATAAAAAATTCCAGAAATGAACAATTTATAAATTTCAAATTGTTTACCATACTGAGTAAGATGATTAAATCTCATGCCATCCCACTCAACAAAAGCATCTGTCACCCAGAATATGAATCATCCCTTTGTCCTGCAGATCCACACTGTATACACTACTCGCTCATTTGTCACGTAGCCATCTTATCAGATCGAATTTCACAGTATCACAGTTTTTTATCTTCAAGTAACCCTTATTTTACTTAATAATGCCTTCAAAGTACAAGGGTAGTGATGCTGGCAATTGGGATGTGCCAAAGAGAAGCTGGAAATTGCTTGAAAAAGTGAAAGTTTATTATAGGTGTGTATGTATAGAAAAAACATAGTATGCATAGGATCTGGTACTATCTAGGGTTTTGGTGGCAGCAGCAGTCTATCTGGAGCAACTGCTGCCATGATGCCAGCTGCAGTGGGGGATGTATGGCAGGGGCTGTGTGCTCCACAAAGCCCACAGGAGCTGGGAACAGGTGAAAGCCCCACCCCCTTATGAGTTGGCAGGGCAGAAGCCTTGCCCTCCTGGGCACGGATGTAGCCACTGAGCCACAGCTGCAGACCTGGGCATCCCTGTGCTCTTGGGGGCCCAGGAAGCCCCCCTACCCCCACAGGCTTGGAAGTGCCTGCTCCCACTGCCTGGCCAATCCCAGTGCCCACACAAATTTTGGAGCAAAGTTGAGACCAAGTCCAGATGCTGTGACAACTCGGCCAGGTGTGTGCATGCTTGGGGAAGCACTGACACATCAGCCTCTGCTGCTTTGGCCCCCTCCAGACTTTGGGTGCTGACCAACACAGGAGGGAGGTCAAGGGGATGCTGAGGGTGGCTTGGCATGGGCCTGAAGCCACCCCTCATCACAAACAGCCTGGACACTGTAGCCACTGTGGATGGCAGGTTAATGGTGGCAAGAGGAAGACAGGCTCCTGGGCAAAAAGAGATGGGTTCCTGGTGAAACCCCACTTTCAGGGCAGGGACAGCCTGAGACTCCCAGTTCCATGCACCGGAGTGAGAACCCACAGGCTTTTTCCAGGCCTGCCATGGCTGCCCATGGACAAATCAGCACACAGTTTCTCCTCTCTGAAGCCCATAAAAACCACAGACTTAGCCAGGCTCAAGCAGACAATGGGACAACCTGCTTGTGGAGAGGAGATACCCACTGCAGGTCTCCTGCCTGCTGAGAGCTGGGCAGATGACAGGACTACCCGCCAACAGAGAGGATCTACCTAATGTCAGTCTCCGCTCTGCTAACAGCTGGGCAGATGAAAGGACAACCTGCCTGTGGAAAGGAGTTGCCCATTGCGGGTCTCCTCTGAGCTGTTTAATAAGGCACCTCTTTGCCGTGCTTACCCTTCAGTTGTCCATGTACCTAATTGTGTCTGGGCATGGAACAAGAACTCAGGACTCACCAAACGGCAGGGCTAAAAGAGCAGGGGCTGAAATACACCCCTTGCTTGCCACATTGCAGGCAATGAGAAGGAGAGAAGAGAGAAGGAGAGAAGAACTGCAGCCCCCTGGGGATCCCAGACCAAGGAGCTCCCCAAGCCAGGGTTCTGACACCATCTTTGGGGTTCTGCAGTTCCTGGCATCTCCAAGCTTCTGAGCACCACTCTGTGCCCTGGTGCCAGCAGTGGAAGAAGCTTGTGGTATGCCTGGTTCAGCCACAGCGTCACAGGGAGCCAGCACCTATCTTGGTGCATGGAGCTGCCTGCACTGCCACAGCCAGTGTCCCTAGCTGTGTGCAGTGGCCAGACCCCATGTTTGCCTGCTCACACACCCCTCACCACTCCATGCCTGGCTCACCCTTAGCAGGCATGAGATCCAGGCCAGTAGCGTGAACGGAGCACAGCCTGTCAGGCCAAAGGGGTGGAATGAGCCCAGTGGGCCTGAGCAAAACTCAGGCCAAGTTACCACCAGCCACAAAAATTTCTGGATGGAAGGATGGAAAAGTGACACCTCAAGGATCACATGACAGTTTCAGGCATCCACCGGGATCTTGAAACTTACACTCTGTAAATAAGAGGCAACCACTCTATCACACCATATTAAAAAATCAGCACAACATATATTAAGGCTTAAAAATAATACCTGAAACTGTACAACAAATAGAAACATAAAAGATAAAGCTTTTAGGTATTGGGACTTGGAAACAGATTTTTGGGATATGACAACAAAAGTACATGAAACAAAAGCAAAAAATAGAAAAGTGGAATTGCATTAAACTTAAAATCTTCTGCACAGCAAAGGAAACAACAGAGTGAAAACACAACTTATGGAATGGGAGAAAATATTTACAAGCCCTATATCTGATAGGAGTTAATATTCAAAATACATAGTGAACTCATACAACTCAATAGCAAAAACACAAATAACAATTTTAAAATGGGCAAAGGACCTAAATAGACATTTCCCCAAGGAAGATATATAAATGGCCAATGAGTATATAAAATGGGTGTTCAATATCACTAATCAACAGGGAATGTAAATCAAAACCACAGTCAGATATCACCTCATACGCTTCTTAGAATGGCTATTACTAAAAACACAAATGGTAAGTAAGTGTTGGCAAGAATGTGGAGAAAAAGGGATATTTTTACACTGTTAGTAGGAATGTAAGTTGGTGCAGCCCTTATAAGACACAGTATGAAAATTCCTTTAAAAATTTAGATAGAACTACTATTTTCTAGTAATTCTAGTTCTGAGCATATACAGAAAGCAAATGAAATCTCTATCTTGAAGAGATACCTTCACATCCATCTTCATTGCAGCATTGTTCATAGTTAAGATATGGAAACAACCTAAATATCTGTCAGTGGATAAATAAAGAAGCTGATAATATATCACAGTTTCTTTAACTATATATATATATATATATATATACACACACACACACACACACGTGTATGTGTATATGTGTGTGTATATATGTGTATGTGTGTATGTATATCTGTGTGACTTTATTTTATATATATAAATGTATACGTGTGTATGTATATACATATGTGTGTATATATATGTATGTAAAGGTGTGTCTATATATATGTGTGTGTATATAAATTTTATCTTTAAAAAAATCCTGTCATTTGTAACAACATGGATAAACCTAGAAGACACTGTGCTAGGTAGCCCAGACACAGAAAGACAAATGCTGTATGATGTCACTTATGTGAAGTCTAAAATTCATAGAAGTCAAACTCATAGAAGCAGAGAGCAGAATGGGGATTGCCAGGGCAGGAGATGGGGGAAATGGAAGATGTTCATCAAGGGAATAAAGTTTCCGTTATTTAAGATTAATAAGTTCTGGAGACAGAATGTACAGCATGGTGACCATAGTTAAAAATATTGTATTTTATACTTGAAATTTGCTGAGAGATTATAATAAGTGTTCTCCTTTCTCCCTCCCCACACAAATTGGTAATTGTGTGAGGTGATGGATATGTTAATTAATATAATTGTGGTGATCATTTTATAGGGAATGTATACATCAAAATATAAAGCCGTATACCTTAAATATATACAATTCTTGTTTGTCAATTATCAGTTATACCTCAGAAAAGCTAGTATAAAAGGAAAAAGAAAATAAGAAATAATGAGTGGATAAATGGATTGATGGGTGGATAGATGGATAGAAACATACAGTTTTAAAAAAATCCTAGAGATTCTGTACACTCAGTGGTTTCTAATTTCTCCAAGAGAAAACATCTTGCATAACTATAGTATAATATCACAGTCAGGAAATTCACGTTGATACAATTCACCAACCTTTCAGGTTTCACCAGTTTTATGTGCATTTGTGTATGTGTGTTGGGGGAGGTGATTAGTTCTATGTAATTTTGTCACATGTGTAGATTAGTACGATCACCACCGTAGTCAAGACGTAGAATAGTTCTATCACACAAATTTCATGTTTTGCGGTACTTGAAAATCTCTCCCTCAGCCTAGTCCTTTGATCCCTTCTCTTTTCACATCTCACTGAGCCTACTGCTCTCTTTCTTCAGAAACATGTATATCACATTCTGAATTGTTTTTCTTATATTCTCTTCTATAAAATCCAAAATCAAACCTACTTTAGGAAAAATGGAAAAGACCCAAAGTGTGTCACTACCGTGGATTCACACTGCTCACACCCCTTCTTTTCCCCTCTACTAAAGTGTTTACCACAGTGATACATTTTCTGCTCTAAAGTCAATATAAAAATTGTCAAATACTTATATTGGTTAGAAATAGTACCATGGTATGAAATACATATTTACAATGCCTACACAGGTATGAGCATTCAGCTAATTCTCTACCCCCTGGTGTTTGTAGATAATTAACACTCATTTTTATATACTGTGTAGTGCTTCCCTGTTTCAACAAGAAAACAATCCCAGCTCTCTTGAGCACAGATGTGATTTTCTAAATTAATTGATAACCTTAGCAATGATCTTACTAAGATATAGAAAACAAAACAAAATTGACTATAATATACTTTTGCTTAAAATTACACTTCACTCAAAAAGTAATCTTTTAATTATTTATAGAAATGTATTTTATGAAGTATAAATACTGAAATGTTCTACTCTAAAACATTTTCTACTGATTTTTATATGAAAGTATAGAAAATATTTCTTGAGATCATATTAAGTACCTATACATAACTTTACCATGAAATCCTTATATGTTTAAATCAATTTTATGAGTCATTATTTATGTATAGTTAGAAATAAACTATTTTTTAAAATCCCAGTACAATTTTATTTGTATAATAAGAAATTCCTTGGCATTTTTAGAAACAATCATGCATTTAGGCAACAGATATTTAGTGAGTGCCTTCCATTGGCCAGTAACTGTGATATTCTCCAGGAATAAATAAATAGGAGTTGCTATCTATCCCCATGGAGTGTGATGGTTACTAGTGAGTGTCAACTTGATTGAAGGATGCAGTATTGGTCCGGGGTGTGTCTGTGAGGGTGTTGCCAAAGGAGATTAACATTTGTGCCAGTGGGCTGGGGAAGGCAGACCCTCCCTTAATCGGATGGGTGCCATCTAATCAGCCACCAGAGAATATAAAAATCGTGAAGTGATGAGACAGGCCTAGCCTCCCAGCCTACATCTTTCTCCCATGCTGGATATCGAAGTTGGAGTCTGATATTACTGCCCTCGAATATTGCACTCCAAGTTCTTCAGTCTGGGGACTAAGTCTGACTCTCATTGCTCCTCAGCTTACAGACAGCCTATTGTGGGACCTTGTGACTGTGTAAGTTAATACTTAATAAACTCCTCTTTATATATGTGTGTGTGTGTGTGTGTGTGTGTGTGTATGTGTATGTATCCTATTAGTTCTGTCCCTCTAACAGAACCCTGACTAATACAAGGAGTTATGTTTCAGTGAGAAAATAGATATGTACATGGTAACTATAATAAAGGCTTGGAAATAAGATGAAAAGTTAGAGAGAGAAGAGTGGGAACCAGAGGGAATGAGTCGAGATGGCTACTTCATAGAAGTAAGGGAAGTATCCAATGAGAAGTCACAAGTTGCATCTTGAATTTTGCTTGGCTACAACAAATATCCCTGTAAATGAAGGAAACAAATATTTAAATTGTGGGTTTTTAAAATCTACTTAAAGAAGAGTTATCTGAATTTTCTTCAAACAAGGGGAAATTATGGGTCAAAAACTGAAAAATCTACCATTACCACCTCCTATGACTATGTTCTGCAATATTCTAATTGTAATAAATAATCTAAGATGTTTGTAATGTTTTATAATTCTTCAGCCATTTTACATAGGATTATATTGAATGATCACAGCAATTCTGTGAGTTAGGTGTCACTATTTTCTCCTATTTTATTTCCTTGTCATGAGTCTTTCAGAAAAAAAAAAAAATGGCAGGTTTTAAAAGCAGGTCTACATGTTTCTTCAGCATATGCTGCTTCTGCATAATTATGTAATGTTTCCAAATCAGCCTCCATGGGAGCATCTTCAGGACCACAGATGACAGTTATTTAAACATTCAAACATTTTGAACTAGAAGTAAAAATACAATTGCCTCTCATTTCTGAGTAAAGAAGTAGCAAATTTCATTGAATTTACAGTTCATGGGTTCTTACAGGTCACATGACCTTTTAAAAATATCAGTGAAAATAACTATTCATCCTAAAATATTATCAATAATATATTACATAATTATTGTGAAAATATTGTGAGTAATATTAATCACAATTAACATTATGATTAATATTATGAGTAATATTAATCACAATTAACGATATTGTGATTAATATTATATCACACTTTGGAGATTGCAAGTTGCCCTCATATACATCATATTTTATCTTGACTTTGAGAAGTTGTCAGCATGGTTATTTGTGTGTTATATTTCACAAATGAGTAAACAAATGTAGAACGGTAAAGTATTTAAGGACGTACGTCCAGGTAACATGGCAGAGCTAAGACTGATCTAAGGTGCTTCTTTAACTTCTGAAATAACCAGTGCGTGATAATCTTGAATGTAAAATGGATAAACTTATTTAAAACACGGAGAAGGTCAAAGACTCCCAAAGGCGGGAATTGCCCTGTTATCAGTTTATTCCTAGTCCATAGTGTATTAACTAGTAGGTCCCTAATATTTATTGGATGATTAATAAATGATCAGTGAACAGTGAAAACATGAATACATACATGCTCTCCTTCCCTCAAACTAGACATACAACAATTCTTTGATATGTATTAGGGTTGTAAGCTAAAAGTTAGCAATCCAAAGATTATTTCTAAATACTTAGCTGGTAGCAAGTTCAGTATCGAAAACACGCCCACATACACACACATACACACACAGACAGATGCATGTACATAATCAAGCTACTCTATACCAAATTGCATTGCTATCAAAATCTTCAGTAACAGTTCACTATACATTTCTAATGATTTGCCTTTATTTTCAGTATGTCACAAAGACATTGGAAACAGACATCTAGGTAGTAATAAAAGACTCCTATCCAGTACTTGTGTAACTGGAAAAATCAGTTACAGCCTCAGAACCATAGTTTCCTCATCTGTAAAATAAGGCTATGATACTTTTTTGAAAGATCATTGTAAACAATCAGGACAGACCGGGCGCAGTGGCTCACGCCTGTAATCCCAACACTTTGGGAGGCCGAGGCGGGCAGATCACAAGGTCAAGAGATAGAGACCATCCTGGCCAACATGGTGAAACCCCGTCTCTACTAAAAATACAAAAATTAGCTGGGAGTGGTGGCACGCATCTGTATTCCCAGCTACTCAGGAGGCTGAAGGAGAATCACTTGAACCCAGGAGGCGGAGGTGGCAGTGAGCCGAGATCGCGCCACTGCACTCCAGCCTGACAACAGAGCAAGACTACGTCTCAAAAAAAAAAAAAAGGACAATGTTTTAAAAGCACCTAGCACAGTGTGTACATATAGTAGGTGCTCAGAAAAGCTGCCACTTATTTGCTACAGTTCTTAGAATAGGCTTTTGTCAGGGAAAAACAATACCTCAATCTTTCCTCCTAGAAGCGTTTAGTAACAGAATCAGGATTGCCCATACTAACGAAAGCCATCATCCTGCTCAAAAGAGTCAGAGCTGGGAATCACTTAGAAACATGTGTGCAGTACCAGAAATGATGCCCATTTTGTGTTGTGACGTCGTGCACCCAGAAATGAAACCACACAGTCCTGCTAGCTGAGACCATTTACAGCCACTATTGGCACCGAGTGGAGAGCGTTTCTCAGGCAGATATGAACAGACGGTGGTATTTCTCAACTACAAGCCCACAGCCAGGGAACTCAGCATATGTAGGCATCCTTTTTACCCCGAAGAAAAGTGACTTTTAAGGAAATGAAATAGCAGCTGTATGAATCCCAACCAGGAGATGAAAGGGGGAAAGAAGAGAAGGGAGAGAGTGAGAGAGAGAGAGAATGACTTGGAGAATCATTTGTACCCATCTCGAGCACAGGCAGTGCACATTAAAGACAAAATACTTGGGTGTTAAAAAGCCAAAATGTGGGTGACAAAGGGCAAAGTTAAAACACTAGGAAAAGACAGAAAAGCTTCAGTACTTAACATATATTGATCTTATCCAAGAAAGGGCACAACATAAAGCATTTCTGACGAGTAATTGGATTATGAGTAGCTAAAATTAACATAAAAGTTACGATTCAAAAAAATTATTAAAAATCACCTTCAAAAAGATGAGGAGAAAAATATGAGCACAAAATCCTACTACTAATGAGTAACGAAAGTGAAGCTCAGTTCTTAAACAATACTTGTCCATTTAATCTTCATCAAGTAGGTATTTTATCAATAATAATAAATTATAATAGAGGCTCAGAAAGATTTATTATTTCAACCAAAGTCAACTGCCTAACTCCAGATTTCTGACATTTTTATTCTTGTGTTCCTCAAACATAAATGTGTATTAGAATATCCAGGAGGGATTATTAAACCATAGATTATGGGCTCTATTCCCCGGGTTTCTAACTTAGGGCCCAAGAGTTTAGACTTCTCACTCATTCCCAAGTAATGCTGCTGGTATAGACAACACACACTTTGAGAAGCATTGTTCTGCTGGAGGATGCTATAAAAGACCAAGGCTTATCATTCAGTGTTAGCCCCTTGTTCTACCCCAGATCCAACAATTCAAAGGAGGAACAGCCTGGAATCATCATTGGAATGATTAATCTCAATAAGAACTGCTAGAGGGTTTTGGAAATATGCATAAATTATGAGTTGTATTAAACAGTTCACAAGGCTGGGCACGGCGGCTAATGCCTGTTAATTCCAGCACTTTGGGAGGCCAAGGCGGGTGGATCAGGAGGTCAAGAGATCGAGACCATCCTGGCCAACATGGTGAAACTCCGTCTCTACTACAACTACAAAAATTAGCTGAGTGTGGTGGTGCACATCTATAGTTCCAGCTACTCGGGAGGCTGAGGCAGGAGAATCACTTGAACCCAGGAGGCGGAGGTTGCAGTGAGCTGAGATCATGCCACTGCACTCCAGCCTGGCAACAGAGCGAGACTCCTCCTCAAAAACAAACAAACAAACAGCAATTAAAAAAAAAACAAAACAGTTCACACTAAAATGTATGTATCACTCTTTTTGGTTGAGTAGATTCCAGGAACCTGAGAGATGGAGGGGGAGAGAGAGAGAAAATGAGAGAGAGAGAGAGAGAGAGATTGAGATTCAAAGATCTGATGGAAAGGGGCTGAAAACAGAGAAATTAGAGACAAAGACGCAGGAGCTGTGGAGAGGGGGCAATTGAGTGCCTTGGTGTGTGCATGCATGGTGAGCTAGAGAGTGTCCAAAGCACAGGCCTTGCAATCTAATCAGAGAGCCATTGGAAGCCCAGGGACTTTCCAGGAGTAATACAGGCCAAATCGTATTTTTGAATCAGAATGAAAAACCATTACAAAGAATGGGGTATGTTACCATTGGGTCAAGTGGCTGTATTTCTATTTTGGAACTAATCTAGCATAGTAGGGAGTGTTGATGTTTATCTAACATCTAGTTGCCCTCTACTTGCCTGCTCCCAGAATCCTTACTCTATTCAAACAGAACTGTATCCAGACCCCATTCTCAGCATAAATCATGATTTATCTAATAGGGATTGTTCTGGTAGTAAGAACATATCTCCTAGCCCGAGAGACAAAACCAGTCTACAAGGTGACTTTTGGAAATTATTTTCCTTTGTGATAAAAGAAATGGTTATATGAGAAAAATATGCCATTCCTTCTTTAGACTTTGTTGTGTGAGAACTTGATGCTTAGATTCACAGCGGTCATCTGGTAAACCTGAGGGGAAGACTACTGACAGCTAAAGGCAGTGATTTCAAGGGAAGGAGACAGTTGAGTACTTGAACTACCTACCTCCAAATTTCATGTTAAATGGGACAATTAAATGCTGTGTTTCTTCATTTGTTTTTTCTTATGGTTTAAGAAACTAATTATTGCAACTGGGAAATGAGATGTGATCTTTCACTGTACTTAGCAAAACTGAGGCCAATTCTATCAATGACTGCAGTGTTTATGCCATGAAGCAAGACAATTTTGTATAACGTTTGAGAATATGTTCAACTTTCTAAATTAAAAATGTGACCATTCTACTCCTCTAATTAAACCCTTCAATTAAATGCCACATAGGATTGAGTCCAGGTTCCTATAAAGACTTTCACTTTCTACCCTAGGTTTCCAGCCTGTTTTCTTCCCACTGGCTGCCTCCCACTTTATGCTTCAGTCATTCCAAATATCTTGTTCTTGCTCACAAATCTATTGTGCAATCAGTGCCTTGTGATGTCTTGTGCATTTCCCCACCTATATTACATTCTCCTTCCCTTCCTTTCACATCCTCATCTGGATAACTCCAACTAATCACTCTAGCCTGACATAAGACCTCATCCAGGAAGCCTTCCCTAATGCTCCTTATACAAAATTATAGGCCAGCCTCTGTGTTCCCACTGTACCCCTGCCTTAACTCTCACTGATGTATTCATCATATAGTATTAAGATAACCCACTAATATGCATGCCTTCTTTATTACACTAGATGGTCTTTAAGGAAAGGTGCAATAGTTTTAATTTTGTATTTTGAGTGCCTAGACAAATAATTGGCCCTTATAGAAAAAAATCTAGATTAATATTTTAAACACCTATCATGACAACATATTCTGCTGCTGGTAGCTTGAAATAAGAGACCCTTTAATCTATAAGTAACACTGAAAACCCATGATTTACACATGACTGTGATTACTATTACTTCTCCAGCTGTCACTAACAGATGAAGGATTATCCAGAGGTAGAAGGAAACCAGGAGGTTGATTTAAATTGTTTCCACTGGCATTCAAAATATTTGACCCTTCCAAAATGAATGTTAATAAGAATAATATTACCTGTTATTATAATGTGTATTGTAGTTCACAAAGCACTTTGTAGGTGCTTTATATTATATAATATTCACAATAACCCCAGATATAACTATTCTATTTGGGATATATGAAAGATCAGAATCCCTATATAGTCTTAAAAATTACAGATGATGCCTAAGAGATTTCGTTATATGGAGTGTCTCCATCAATAACTACTGTATTGCAAAAACTAAATTATTTTCATTTAAAATAACCATAAACCCATTTTATGTTAATGTATTTTATAAAAATTACTGTTTTACAAGCAAATATGATTGAGAAGATGGCCATTATTTTACATTTTTGGTAAATCTCTTTAAGACTTGGCTTAAAAGAAGACTGATGGATTCTCACATTTGCTTTTGCATTCAATTTTTGTGCAGTATTATGTGTCATGTAGTCTCTGGGAAACTCCACTGTACACTTATGAGAGACAGAGAATAGAATTGGCAAGTAATGTCAGTGTTAGTGTGAATATAGTTTTTACTTTGCTTGCAGATCCTCTGAAAGAAACTGAAGAGAGACCCTCAGGAACCTCATAACCACACTTTGAGTCTAACTGCTAGGTTAGACTAACCACAGATTACATGACTTACAGAAGTCAAACAACTAATGAATGCCTGACCTAGGATGTGAAAATGAACCATTTACTATCAAGCCAGGGGCTGAGTTACAGGTCTTGTATTAGCATGTTTAAAAGTGTGGTGCTTATATCTGATGTGACAATTAGGTGGTTATTAACCAATAGCTAATCCAGAAACATAGTCAAACTGTTTTTACCAGTACATCAGCTAAAGTGATAGTGTGGCATGAGATTGAATTTGGCTCAGTCAACTGAGGTTGAGGTTGAAGTATTTCTGACATGCATGGGATTGGTTGTGATGCACAGGTGAAATTAGGCAGAGGTCAGGTCTACCATTTCCTGTGAAGTTGAGGGTTTTTAGTGGAGCCACTGGTTGGTTGGTTTCTAAAATATAGAAATTGAGAATGAGGTTCCAGTAAGAAAATATTGATTAGAATCCAAGGAATTCCATATGCACTGATTATGCAGGTATTTTAATTGAATTGTTCTCAAACATAAGGAGAAAACCCTAAAGCGGTAATAATTTAAATCTCAAAAGAAATCTCTCTGAAATGGTCTCTAAGGCATTATGCCATCATGTATATAATGCCTTAGATGAAACAGTAAACCTTTCATTCATTCTAAACTTGTCTAGAAAAAAAAAACATAGTTAAGACAAACATGTAGAGGACAGAGAGCTTAGATTAGGATATTTGATTTGTGCTCATATTTATTTCGATTTGGATACAATCTTAAGTCAAAACATGTAAGCTTATTTTAATTAATTCTATTGGCCAGCCAACACAATTAATGTTCATTATTTCAGTAAATATTTCAATGACAAACACAGTCAGGGAAAAGGAAAATCCCTGAGGATTTTAAAATAGGTAAAAATACAGTTTATCTAGCCAAGACTGATCATTACAATAACCTTGGTTGGGGAGGAGAGGGATAAGGAATGAAAGCTTGTTTTGAGAAGAGGGTAACCTCAGCTAATTCCTGAATGATGAATAGAAGTTATCCAGATGAAGAAAAATTGAACATATTTACACAATCCATATGTGTCATGATAAATAATGAATGTTTGACATAATGTGATCTCATTAAAATTTAATAACATAATAGCTTCAATACTTTTGGCCCCCATTTTAGAATTGGCAAAAAAAAAATGAAAACATACCAGCATTGTCTAAAGTGATGCATTTCGCAAATGGAATGATTAGTATTTGAACATAGTCTGAGTTCAAAGCACTTCAATAAGGCACACCAAGATGGCATGACACAGTGTGGGGATACCTGGCATATTCACTGCAAGACAGTGAGCATATATCCAGGAAAAATTGTAAATGGCAAAGGATTAGAAGATACCACTGAAGAGGTGGGTAGGACTAGATCTCTGAGGTGACAGGAAATTCCTCCTGTAAGAATGTGGGTGGCTACCTTTGCATTTTAGAAAGGGCTTTCATGTAGATAGCAACACATTGCCAGGAGATAGTTTAAATCTAAAATTTAGTGTTGGAAAATGCTCAGAGATCTCAAAAGCAACAAATTAAATTTGTAAACACAAACAAGTAAAAGATTATTCCAATGCTCTGTTCAAACAACAAAGGGAAAAACTGTGTGTTAACAAAAGACCAATGAGATCTGCAAAAGCAAAACAACTTTATTATTTTCTTTTTATTATTATTATTTTAAATATTTGTGGGTACATAGTACGTGTATATGTTTCTGGGGTACTCGAGATGTTTTGATACAGGCGTGCAATATGAAACAAGCACATCGTGGAGAATTGGGTGTCTTTCCCTTCAAGCATTTATCTTTTGAGTTACAAACAATCCAATCACATTCTTTAACTTATTTTAAAATATTCAATTAAGTTGTTATTAACTACAGTCAACCTACAACTTTATTTTCTAAAAGCAATCTGCAGATTGCGGAGATGAAAGTGCACTTTGAAGAGGGTCTGGAATGCAGGAGATTATGAAGGTAAAAACTGCAGGGCAGGGAAGGGGAGGCAGGGGAATGAGGAACAGAGTCTGGACCAGATGACCTTTAAGCCCCATATCATCAGTCTTTCTTGATTGGCTGGTTCCAGGTGGTCAGCTGGTTGGCTCCAGGTGACTTGCTAGCGGTCAGCTGGGAAATTTCCAGCTGCAGTACTTTTCAGGAACTGTTCTTTGACTCAGTTGCAGAAAAACAGGTTCTGCAACACTTTCTAAGGACACAACAGAATGTGACTGCCCTCTCACCCTGCCATGGCCTCTTGGTTCTGCTTGTAACTTTTGAGCCACAGGGAATCCATCTTGTCTGCTAACTGGAGGCACAATTTGAAATGTTCTTCTGATCCACGTTCTCAATTTGTAAATCCACGTTTTTAATGTTTTATAATTATGGTTTGGACGGAGCTATAAAAAGTTGAAAGAGACTCTCAGCTATTTATCAGAGCTTTCCCTTTATGATAAGCACTCTAGGGAGAGGCTCATCCTAATTTGAAATAAAGTTAAGATCAGTTGTTCCAAAGGCATCCCCACTGCAAAATATGCTAACTTAACCAAAGCCCTGCATGTTGCTAAGTCAGGTTCATGAAACTGGCCCATACCTGCTGTAATAACTTCTTTAGGAGGGAAAAGCCACAATGGCAAAAGGCAATAACAACTCAAAAAACAAACAAAAAAAAACCCAAAAAACTAGTGGGGTTTTCATAGGAAGAGTAAAGCAGTGAGGTTAATCGCAGCAATAGGGTCAATCCAAGCTTCAAATGTAAGTACAAAGTTGTAAATAAAGAAGAAATACTCAAGTATCAAAGATGCCAATATTTGGGGGTGTTAAACTTGAACTATTATAGCAAATGAAAGCTCAGAATAATGTAAAGAAAACCAATATGGAGCAAGAATTAATGGTTAAAAGTGTGTGGAGAATCCCAATGTGCTTATATGAGATACCCCAAGTAAGGGTGATTTTCACATTTTCTACTATTTCTATGCCTTGGACAGATTCTGTATATCATGTGGTTTTTCAAGAAGGCCAATGCTAAACACTGAGCCATAATTTGGCTGTGGTCAGCATTATATAGAAAACAGACCAGGCTACACAAATATTCACAATCCCAGAATTAGATTATTTTCTCACCTTTTAACCACACGGTATTTACACATTGTTAAGGTTAGAAAATCATGCCCTAATATATGGTGCTTTGACGTGATGAACTAAAGGAGCAAATGTAGAGAGCCTCAAGGTCTCTCTGATCCCATCCCTCAATTCTCTCAATCCTTTGTCTCTCCCAAAGCACAGGATGAAGCTCTTCTCTGAGGTTCCCTTATTTACCTAGAAACTGGACTCCCAAAGAGGAACAGAATCGCCTTCCATCCCCTCCCAGAAACCTCATTACCAATAGCAAGAAAGAAGATTGAGGAATGCAACCACACATGGATGGACTTTCACCAGATGATGTCTTCCTTTCAGTCTCATTCCAATTATAAAGATAATTATTTACAAGTTAATTTCTGTCTCCTGATGTCCATTTATTCTTCCTAGTAATCATTTATCCTTCTAAAGAATTGAGCACATTTCCCCTACTTCCATCTCCCTATTGAAGTGGGTATATAAACATCAAACATTTGGCCTTTTCTTTGAGATTTTATATCATGTGTGACTCCTGTGCATAGATGTATATGTGATAAAGTTGTTATGCTTTTCTCTTGTTAATCTGTCTTGTTAAAGTGGTGTCATAGAGAAAGAGATCACCTTCTTTCTGCCCCTACAATATAAAAGAAAGATTTTTTTCTATCATATGAGAGAAATTAGATATAAAACCCTGACAGCAAAGAACACACCTATCACCCAGATCTTGGTTTCTAACATATTCTCCAATAAAAGGAGCCAGGACTACATGGAAAAATGGTTAATTCTAAGATTGGGACAGAAAACATACACAATGAGCCTGGGATACATGCCAGAAAATAAGTACTAAAAGGAGGAGAGAGAGAGAGAGAGAGAGAGAGAGAGAAAGGAAAACCCATATTGACGGCAGTATGTCAAAAGGACACAGGAGTCAACTGAATGAACTCCCAAGCACCAAGGTTAGAACAATTTGAGCAACCAAATAAAGCCGTATTGTATTATCACACAAAGTATAAAATAAATACACATGGGTTTGTACTAGTATAAATAAAATATTGAATAAATTAATAAATGAATGAAGGGAAAAAGACAAATCTCCCATGTAGAAAAATTCCATGTAATTTATGTAAATATTCTGTCCACTTCTTAAGTATGGATTGGGTGTAGTTACTAATTTCCAATGAATTTAGCATGAAAAGGAGGAATGCAAGGAAAAAAACATGATAATGGAGACACCTGACAAAGGCTACCTCAACCAAGTGATCAATGTTATCATTAACAATAATGGTATGGGTCAAGTGAGGTGGCTCATCCCTGTAACCCCAGAACGTTGGGAGGCAAAGGTAGGAGGAGACTTTGAGGCCAGGAGTTTAAGACCAGACTGGACAACATAGCAAGACCTGTCTCTACAAAAAAAATTTAAAATGAGCTGGGCCTGGACCTAGGAGGCTGAGGTGAGAAGATGACTTGAGCCTAGGAGTTTGAGGCTGCAGTGAGCTATGAGCATCCCACCACACTCTAGCCTGTGTAGCAGAGTAAGACCCTGTCTCTTATAAAACAGAAAAAAAATTAGTGTGTACGCTTGATATTATGAGATGAAAATACTCACGCTTGATATTATGGGATAAAAATACTTAACCCCTTTTCACTTCCTTCCCAAAATCCACAACTCCAGTCAAAGCATGAGAAAAAAAATAGACTTTCCAATTGAGTGATATTCTACCAAATATTCCTTAAAACTATCAAGGTCATTAAAACCAAGGGAAACACAAAAAACTGTCACAGCCAAGAGCAACCTAAGGAGACATGAATAAATGCAATGATGGTAGCTTGGATGAGATCCTGGAACAAAAAAAGAATATTAAATAAAAACTAAGGTAGTCTAAATAAAATATGGACTTTAGTCAATAGCAATATGTCAATATTGGTTCATTAATTGCAACAAATGTACCGTATAAATACTGTTAATAATTGGGAAAACTAGAGTTTTTCTGTAAATCCCAAACTGTCCTAAACATATTATTTAAAAACAAAAAAAAAGAGAAATTTTTTTCCCACTCACACAAAATACCAATGTTAACTTTCCTTTCTCCTTCCACCTCGTTTTTTGCCACATGCAGATAGGAATTTGGTGGAGTTCACAGCTATAAAGGAAGTATAGATTTTGTCAGTCTCTTGCCAATTTAGTTTTGTAGACTGAATAATTCTCCAGCAATTAAAATACATTTAAAACAGATTGTACTTTTAATGTAAATTTAGGGTACAGAACAAGAATATGAAGTCATCAAGAAACAAAAGAAAGGAGAAGGGCACACCCCAGCTAACTCAGAGCTGCCACTAGAAGAAAAAGGAAATTTCCTATATTTCTACTCCTAATTCGCTCCTCCCTTGTATTCCACTCTCTACCGAAGCTTCAACAGGATACAGCCCCCTAAATCTCACCATCAAAAGCTGAAGGATAGAGCAATTAATAATGGAGAAGTCATCAAGTACTTTAAAAGGCAGGCACTCCACCGGCCTCCTACATTAGGCATGGTTAGATTGTCACAACTCCTTATTTGCTGTAGGCAACATATAAGGAAAAGAGGCGTGTGGTTACCCCCAGATTCTGTAATCACTCCAAATCTTAGAGGAGACTCTCTGGCCAGAAGAAAACAATAGAGTGTCTTCACTACAGAAGATAGAGTCTATATTATCATTGAAACTGGTCTTTCCAGATATTTATAAATATAAACCAATTACAACAATAACACAATATTCAAGAAATATAGAAAGCAGCAGCCGCTCAAAAGACAAAAGGGAAAGGTAAGCTTAACATATAAAACATTAAAATGCCAGACATTAATAAAATTTAAGTAGATATTGGATTAATTAAAATAATAGCTTGGCAGGTCTGAAAAGGAGGAAACAAACAGAATCATGGGATAGAGTTCTTGAAAATAACAGAGTTTGTTTGCAAAATCAATAAACTCCCAATACATACCAGAATGTACATTGGCATTTAGAAAACCAGTGCAAACTCCTCAAATGTGGCAAAAAGAAAAATGAAGGAAACTATGAGAAAAGATGAGACTTAGTTGATACACTTATTTATTCTTTTTTTTTTTTTTGAGACAGAGTTTCACTCCGTCACCCAGATTGGAATGTGGTGGTGTAATCGCCCAGTTATTTTTCTTTTTATTTTTTGTAGAGACAGAGTCTCACCATGTTGCCCAGACTGGTCTCGAACTCCCAAGCACAAGTGATCCTCCCGCCTCAGCCTTGCAAAGTGCTGGAATTACGGTCCTGAGCCACAATGCCTGGCCAGTTGATACATTTAGGGAAGTCATTACTGATATAATATGACAATGTAAGAAGAGAATGGAGATATTC
This sequence comes from Homo sapiens, assembly GCF_000001405.40. Classification (NCBI taxonomy): domain Eukaryota; kingdom Metazoa; phylum Chordata; class Mammalia; order Primates; family Hominidae; genus Homo; species Homo sapiens. The sequence goes on from NC_000002.12 coordinate 14,358,736, forward strand.
TTGGATTAAGATGATGAATAGGAGGCAGAAGTAGCTTGCAGCCCCGGCTCAGACAGACAGAGCAGCGTGTGGAGACTCACATCGTGAACTTTTGCTCCAAGAACTACCTCAGGAACACACCAGGAAAGCTGAGAGAATCCACAACCCTTTGAAGAAACTGAATTACTGCTGCAGGCTCTCGGAGATGCCAAAAAACTGTGAGTTGGCTTGCTTTCTCAACGGCGAGGCTTGTGGTCTGGTGCAAGTTCTCAGCTCTGATCTCCAGCTTCCTGGAAATAGACTCAGTGCTGTTGCAGGGGCACAGTGGGAGTGAGACCAGCCTTTAGGCACATAGTCATCAGGTTATCTAAAGTCAAGATGAAGGAAAAAATCTTAAGAGCTGTGAGGCAAGAACATCAGGTAACCTATAAAGGAAAACTTATCAAGTTAACAGCAGATTTCTCAGCAGAAACTCTACAGCTAGAAGGAATTGGGATCCAATTTTTAGCTTCCTTAAACAAAACAATTATCAGCCAGGAATTTTGTATCCAGTGAAATCAAGGTTCATAAATGAAAGAAAGATATAGTCATTTCCAGGCAAACAAATGCTGGGAGAATTCGTCACCATAAAGCCAACACTACAAGAACTGCTAAAAGGAGCTCTAAATCTTGAAGTAAATCCTCAAAATACATCAAAGTAGAACATTGTGGAAAACACTATGGCTATTCCTCAAATAACTAAAAACAGAGTTACCATTCAACCCAGCAACCCCACTACTGTGTATACACCTAAAAGAATATATATCATTCTACCACAAAGACACATGCACACATATGTTCATTGCAGCATTATTCACAACAGCAAAGACATGGAATCAACCTAAATGCCCATCAGCAGTAGACTGGATAAAGAAAATATGGTCCTTATATACCATGGAATACTACACAGCCATAAAAAGAACAAGATCATGTCCTTTGCAGGAACATGGATGGAACTGGAGGCCATTATCCTTAGCAAACTAACTCAGGAACAGAAAATTAAATACTACATGTTCTCAGTTATAAGTGTGAGCTAAGTAATGAGAAAACACAGATAGAAAAGGAGGAACAACAGACACTAGTGCCTACTTGAGAGTGGAGGATGGGAAAAGGGAGAGGTACCAAAAACAAAAAACTAGGACACTATGCTTAGTACTTGGGTGATGAAATCATCTGCACACCAAACCCCCAAGTCATGAGTTTACCTATTTCACAAGCCTGCACATGTACCCCTGAATCTAAAATAAGCGCTTAAATATTTAAAAATAAAATAAAACTTAAAAGTGCATACCATCTTTACTTTCAATACATCTGCCCACAGAATTCCTACTCAGGACCAGCTACATAATTTGTGGCACCCAGTGCAAAATAAATATCCAGAGGCCCTCACTAAAATTGTCAAGAATTCAAGACAGCAGAGCATTAAACCAAGAGTGCGAGCCTTCTAAGCAAGGAGCAAGAGTGTGAGCCTTCTGAGCAAGGAGCCCTGTGGAACATGAAGGTTGCCCTTTCTGCTGAACAACTCTTCAGGGCTCAATTCAAATTCCACCTCTTCAATGAACTCTCCCTGGTACTCTAGTTGGCATAAATCTCTTCCTCCTCTGATACCCATAAAACCTAGCTCATTCTGTCTTGAGTTCTGAATAATTGTGAACACAAGTGCTACCCTAATTGTACCACAGGTCTTAAAGAAGCTTTCATCTGAAGCATGTGTATATCACATGGTGTTTGGCATATTGTCTCACACATAACAAGAGCTGAAAAATGTTGATCAAAACTGAATATCAAAAATCATTGCTTCAATTGCAATAAACACCAAAGGGCCATAAGAATGACTTAGACAGCCTTTGCATTTTGGCATCAAAAGACTAACAATTAAACTTCAACTTCCCATTGGCTGATATGTAATTTTAAATAATTAATTTAAACTCATTCAGTTGTAAAATCTTTATCTGTAAAATAACAACTGCTTTACAAGGTTGACAGTAGGTACTTAATGTATTTATTAATAAAGCAGAAGAAAAAGTGCTAGAAAGCACTTTATAAACTCAAAAATGATTTGCAAGCCCATGATATCTATAGCAGTTATTTTCAAAGGGAGTTTAAATCACAAAATTCTCCAGAATCTTTCAGTAAGACTTGATCACAAATTATTACTTTTTAGTAATAATTCCAGTTAATACTAACAGATTTGCTTTTTTCCTAAGACAATTTCAATCATAAATGTATGTAGTTATGTATTGATTAAGATTTCTTAATTGTAGATAAAATTCATTCTAACCATTGCAGGTGAAATTAAAACGGTATTGCATGAAATTTCCAGGAGGTCCAGGGAACTAAGGTTAAATGTTACACAATAAGGAACAATGCAGCTAGAAACATTGTATCAAGAAAAATGCCCAGTCTAACCACGGGATTGTTGTAGCGAAAGATTTTTGTCAGGCTCCGTTTTATCATCAATGATGCTAAGGCTCAAATCCCAGAGACTCCTGATCCAGAAGTACTGAATGCCTCTATCACCACGTTTTTGAAAGCTATGATCAGCTGGGGGATTACTGCTCCCATCTCATATTGCTCATTTCCACCCTAAGACTTCAGTGTGTGTAGCTCCTTGACAGAACCACAGTCACAAACGTAAGCATGGCTGGGTAGAAATACTTGTGAAACATTCAAATTCTTGGCCCTAATTTTCAGGGATTCTAGTTCAGTTAGACGTGTGTGAAGTCTAGGGTCTACTTTGTTAGGAACAGCCCTGCACAATTCTAAAGCATCTAGTCTGGCCATATATATATTCAGAGATCACAGCTAAGGCACTGCACCAAGGAACATCACTTGCATGGTCGGAATCTCAACTGAAAAATGTAACAAAAAGTAAAATATGCCTGTATCACTCCCCTCCATAAACCCTGTAAAGTTTTCCTAATACATCTTGATAATGTTCAAACACTAGCTTGGTATATGAAAAACTCACAGAGGCTTCCTCCTCTGCCTTACTAACCATTCCTATCACCCATTCAACATTTCAACCAGATCAAACTACTAGCAACTCACTGAAGAACTCAGATACTCTGAGGTCTCCATGTTTTTCCTCATTTGATTCCCTCTCCCTTATCAGGGGAAATTCAGCCAGATATCGGGCGAAATTCACCCCTGATATTTCACATAGGTTATTTTCTATTTTCCTTAAGTGTTGGCCGGTCTGAGAAATAAAGAGACAGAGTACAAAGAGAGAAATTTTAAAGCTGGGTGTCCAGGGGAGACATCACATGTCGGCAGGTTCCGTGATGCCCCCTGAGCCGTAAAACCAGCAAGGTTTTATTAGTGATTTTCAAAAGGGGAGGGAGTGTACGAATAGGGTGTGGGTCACAGAGATTGCATGCTTCACAAGGTAATAAGATATCACAAGGTAAATGGAGGCAGGGCGAGATCACAGGACCACAGGACCGGGGTGAAATTAAAATTGCTAATGAAGTTTTGGGCACGCATTTTCATTGATAACATCTTATCAGGAGACAAGGTTTGAGAGCAGACAACCGGTCTGACCAAAATTTATTAGGTGGGAATTTCCTCGTCCTTATAAGCCTGGGAGCACTATGGGAGACTGGGGCTTATTTCATCCCTACAGCTGCAACCGTAAAAGACAGCCGCTCCTGAAGCGGCCATTTCAGAGGCCTACCCTCAAGGACGCATTCTCTTTCTCAGGGATGTTCCTTGCTGAGAAAAAGAATTCAGCAATATTTCTCCCATTTGCTTTTGAAAGAAGAGAAATATGGCTCTGTTCCGCCAGGCTCACCGGTGGTCAGGGTTTAAGGTTATCTCTCTCTCGTTCCCTGAACATTGCTGTTTTCCTGTTCTTTTTTCAAGGTGCCTAGATTTCATATTGTTCAAACACACATGCTCTACAAACAATTGTGCAGTTAACGCAATCATCACAGGGTCCTGAGGCGACATATATCCTCCTCAGTTTACAAAGATGACAGGATTAAGAGATTAAAGACAGGCATAGGAAATCACAAGGGTATTGAATGGGGAAGTGATAAGTGTCCATGAAATCTTCACAAATTATATTTAGAGATTGCAGTAAAGACAGGCGTAAGAAATTATAAAAGTATTAATTTGGGGAACTAATAAATGTCCATGAAATCTTCACAACATATGTTCTTCTGCCATGGCTTCAGCTGGTCCCTCTGTTTGGGGTCCCTGACTTCCCGCAATACTCCCTGGAATTTTCTTTTTATCTTACACCATTCTCAAATACCTGCTCAGAAGCTCAAACATCATCTGCTCTGTGGAGCAATTCACGACCCACCAACATCATTTATTCCTTTGGGGTCTCTTCATAACTACTACATGTCTACCTTATAGTACCAACCACATGGCAATTAGATTTTACAGGCTTGGCTTCCTTTCTAGCCTGTCGATATTTTGACTATTATTCAATGCTGGATTTCCTGTATCTAGCTCAGTGACTAGCATGTAATAGAAACTCACAAATGTTGGATGAATGAATCCGTGTATGCTACTTATCTAACCTAAATCACCATATAACCCGTGTATGAGTTAGCTTCCTGGAAACAAACTTTGAGAGGATAATTTGCATTCAGGAAGTTAATTAGTAACACCCTCGGTATCAGCATCTGTAAAGGGGTAAGCAAAGCAGTCCCCTGCAGAAGAGAAGTTGAACTGTAGTAAAATTTCAACAAATACCAGCCAATCCCACAGGAATCTCTGGATAGTTGTACACTGAGGGAAGGGGGCCAGGGATGTTCCTCCACCTCATATTGATTGACTAGTCACTGGTGTTAGATAGCCTCATGGAAAGGGCATTATTTGGGGCCAGGGAGCTCTTTTTGGCCATGAGCAATTTTCAGCTCTCAATAACCAGTACTCTCATTAGTTGGGTAAATGAGTGCTTCCATTCTGAAAGTGGTATCTGTGTGGTGTTCACTAAATGCCCCATGTACTAATTTGAATTAAATTAAAGTACATTCTTTACAACAAATTTATTCTTAAAATGCAATCCCAACCTTGAATTTACATTTCTATGAAAGAGTAATAGGGTTTCCATTAATACCCACTAGCCCTTCTGACATATCTTCCTCGTTCTTTATTTTTCAATTGTTTACATTTTATGCTCTTACTTGCCACCAGTGACTGTTTTTCTCTATCCTTCCCTCTCTGATCTTCAGCTTTTTATCCTCCCTTGTCCTTCTGTTACTAGCAGTGAATCTTTATAGGTCTGAAGCAACCTCAATTCTTGCTCCTCAAAAGAAAGAATTCATCTGAGGGGCATAAGGCAGAGGGAGAAACTGAGACAACTTTTAGAGCAGGAGAGAAAGTTTTTTATAAAAGTATTATAGCAGAAATGAAAGGAAGTAAATTATACTTGGAAGAGGGCCAAGCGGGTGACTCAAGAGATCAAGTGCCTGGTTTGACCTTTGACTTGAGGTCTAATACATCAGCATGCTTCTGGAGGGTTGCACCCCTTTTCCCCTGATTCCTCGCTTGGGGTGGGCTATCTGCATGCACAGTGGACTGCCAGATCTCGGGAGGGGCTGCATGCACAGTGTGTTTACTCAAGTTGTATGCATGCTCACTTGAGGCATTCTTCTCTTACCAGTCCAGTATTCTTAGAAGAAGGTCATTTACCAGTTAAACTCTGTCATTTTGCCTCTTAGTGTGCAAGCTTGAGCCCACTTGCCCAGTTCCTGAGATCCTATTAGGAAGCTCCTGATCACCCGTTTCAGGTGTTTCTATCTATCGGAGATTGCCTTCCCTGGCACCAGCTGCGACCAATTATTATTTTAGCGAGGTACTGTAACTACCCGACCAACACCTGGTGGTCACTTGACATTCCTGATTGTAGGGGGTGGAGGGTTGACACTCTCCTGCCCTGCCCATATATGAGTAACTACCGACTGTAACAGTTTCACTTGATTACGTGCCTCTCTCACCGTGTTTATACCTCTGTTCTCTGTCTCTATATCACAAAACTCCAGGGTACAGTCTGACCAAGCTAGAGTCTCCTCTAAGGATAGGCATTGAGGAGTGAAGCCAAGAAGAAAAAGAAATCTCTTCATGCAGTAGAGAGGAGAATAGAGGAGACTAGTTGACCTTGCATTTTTTAAACCCATAGTATTTTGAAGTTGCAGCTTAAGACTATACCTCTTTCTCTGTTCCTGGCTCTCTCTCTCTCTGGGGAAAAAATCCCCAATGCCAATGTTTTTGAGCTTCCTAGTTCATGTACCCACCATTTAATTCCCCAGAATTGCAAGCCCATGAAACCCTTCTAAATAGAAAACTGGCAAGCAAAGAGTATCTCATCAAAAACTAACCGACAACAATAACAAACTTCTGTAACTGAACATCACGATTTGTGTCGTTTAATAGAGGAAAGACAATAGATTCAGGATAATTGGCATCCAAACATTAGTGTGGGTGTTGGAGGGGAGAGGTGAGCAAGTTTTTATTTCAAAGGACAAGAGTTCTTGAATCAGCCCTCTGTATTGGAAGGAGGGATCCTGTGTGAAGTCGTGGAGACTATTTGGTTTCCCTTTAGTTAAAGTCTGTTTGAGAGTAAGGAGATATGCAGAAATGGCACTTCAGCTTAGCAGGAAGGCATATGCATGTCTCCCTGACACTATATTTCTTCAGATCATTTATGTTGGCTATCAGCGTGTTAAGTTCTTGATCTTATTTAGCACTACGGGGTGTCATACACAGGAGACTGCCTTGGGTCCTACTTCTTCCACTAACTCATTCTCTGAGTATGCCATTCCCTCTGCTTTTCTACCTCCCCAGAAAAAGAAAATGAATTAATTCAAATTTACTCCAAGCGTAATAAATATTACAAAATTCCTACTTGAAAGCAGATTCTGGTTGGGGAAAGGAATCAGGACAAGCCTTTGTAAGTCAGGGAAAGGGAAATTTGCCCTCATTGCACAATGTTTCCTATAACCCATTTTTACCTTTGACACAACTTTATCTACTGCATGTTTATACCTTAGATAAAATCTGAGTTCTGGTTATTATAGTTCAGATAAAGTTAAAGCCTGGAAATTCCCAAAGGTCTCAAGATGGTAGATGGGTTTTATTGCTGTGGTATTCACTGAATCACAGAGCCCTACTATGTTATTAGAACACGAATCCCCTAAATTAGTCATAGAATTTCTTTCAGCCCCAATTTCATTCCTTCTCCCTGAAATTCAGTCTTTGGGTTCTACTGCCCCCACCCCCACCTCAGTATATATAGGTCTGCACTGGTGATAGATTTCACCATTGTCCTATCTATTTTTTCTCTCAGTTTCCATAGTGATCTCTGGTTACTCCCAACACTAACATGCTGGTTACCAACCATATTAACTGGATTTTTGCCATGTTTGAAGGGATAAGGGATTAGGAGTGAAGGAAAGCCCAATAAATAATATAACAATGGCAAACACTATGATGGATCTTTTTATCTAGACGCCACTACTCTCTGGCTGTTTCACTTGAGGGCGTATTTTGCCCCTTTGATGGGGTATTTTGCCCCCAATTCTTCCCCCTGTTTGGGAAATTAGCTTTGATAATATTTTCTGATTTATAAGATAACATTCTATATACCTAGTTCCCCTAACATTTTACTGGTAGTAGAGGAATCTTGATGTACCCACGTGGTTTTTTTTTTATGTCCTCTATAACATTGTGTCTAGGAACTAATTTTCCAACTTTTCCAAAAATGTAAAAGATAGATTCTGGTTTCAGAGGGCAGTTGAGTTCTTGAGAATGTTTTAAAGCTATTTTTCAGTCTCTGGCACTGTTTTATAATTGGAATTCTGCCTTCAAAATATAGACTGTAGACTAGCATTTCATATTATTTTTAATCATCTAGCCTCTATCAATGTTGCTAAGTTGAATCTTGCAAAATCATTGGCTTGACATTTCAACATCAACATAGGATTGTTATTATTCTCAGTACTCCTTATCCAGGCAAGGAGTAGGAGGTTTAGTTAGCATAATCTAAATATAAAGTACCTTTTCTGCAATTGCATAATCTTAATCTCAAATGAAACTAAAGTTCCACAATTTTATTTAATACCTAATATGTACCAAGGGCATGAGCTACATAACATGGAGTGCTTGCAGATAGAATTTTGACTTTTTAAGACAATATTCTACAGAATGGCTTATTCCTTGGCCAATTTGGATAACAAAAGCCTTACCGCAATAATTAGGTAGGGTCAAGCTATTCACATTTTTGCTTTTAACAATATGTGTGTCTTGTTTATTGGCAACCTGAAGTTGTGTTCCTAATAAAATACAATGTAAGTATTTCTGATCTGTACAGTTTATTATAAAAATGATATAAATATCTATTTATACTGAAATCTCCAATTCATGTACAATAGGATGTCTTCCAGTATATAGTCACAAAGAATTTACTAAAAAAGTTTAATTATGTTGATCAAATAATAATCATCATTGCTGATCCAACTGGATTCCTCTCTTTTCAGTATGAAAATTGGGGGAAGCTTTTTAATGTACACTGTGTTACTCTTGCACCATATTGGCATTTGCTGAAACCAATTCAGGAGAGCATACATTTTTTAGACAATATTTATTCCATGCCTTCTATATGCTAGGGCTGGGACAGGCTCTGGTAAAACATAAGTGAATAAGAGAAATAGGTCTCTATCTGAATGGAGCCTATACTCCAACAGAAAAGGGAAGGAGTAGTTGAATTATGAATAGGTTTATTCTGCTAGTGTGGCCTCTAAGCTTCATTCGAAGTCAAGTAGAAGGAGATAGGAATGAACACAATTAATTATGAGATAATTGTTGTATTCTGAGTTATAATCTTACAAGTGCGTAAACAAACTATTAGCCAATAAGATATAAAAAAAAAATCCCAATTAAGCAGAATGGGATTGACTTATAATAGAGGTGACAATTTAACTGGCCCTTTTAGGATAGATGAATTTCAACACAGAATGTCAGTCACAGAGTAGATTCTTAAAAAATTTGTGTTGATTAAAATAGGGCAATTATTCTAGAAGAGAAAGCTACAAACACAAAGAGTTAAGATGAGAATATACAGCCTGCATTTGAATAAATAAATAATTTTGTTTTGCTTTAAGTGTCCCTCATGATACCCAATGACAGTTGATAAGGAAGAATTTTGAGGAGAAAAATAAGATCAAGGCATTGAAATAAAATATGTTTAATTATAACAAAGGCCATATCTTAACCACAGAGATTAGAAAAAGCGTCCTTTATAATTTAAGGCTACACAAATTTAAATACTCGGCTTCCAAAGAGTATGGATCAGCTCACCTGTATTTTACTCATGTAATTTGGATTAATGCTAAATTAAGTAATTATTTTCACTGCCAATGACTTTGATGAAACCCAAGATCTAATTTCAGCAATAAGTGATAGGATGAATTATTAAAAGGAACCTCATACCTTTTTATACTTCCATAAAATCAATTCTAAACACATTTAGAAGGAATAAGTTTAGAAACTAATTTATGGTTATTTGCCTATCTCTGCTGCACTAGTGGTATCAAGTGAGAAAAAAATAAATTATTTATTCAAAGAGGTCAGCCATAAGATAGGGGATTCCTTAGGCTTATAACAAAGTATCCATGTCTTTACTCTGCCCTCCAAATCATAAACATTTTGGTCCTCAGAAGGGAAATCATCACTAACTTGAAGATAGGAGAGTTTCACTCTCAGATGCTAAACTTACTGTACAATTACTGAAGAGGTGCTTCCATGTGCACCATATTATTCTTGCCCCACATTAGAAGAGGAGGGCTAATTCCTCCACACAAAAAAAAAATCTCCCTCCTTGAAAGTGGGTGGGTGTCTTGTGAATTTAAATAAATATTTCTATAGTTAACAATGATGTAATGTATATCTCAAAGTAGATAGAAGACATGAATTGTTTCCAACACATAGAAACAATAAATACACAAAGTGATGGATACCTCAAATACCCTGATTTGATTGTTATACATTCAGTGCACAAATAAAATATTAAGTGTCCAATAAAGATGTAAAATATGATGTATCAATTTCTTGAAAGAAAGAAGTATCAAAATAAGAGTAAATCTTAGAATGTCTGTAGTACTGTGTGGTCCACAACACTTTTACACTGCTTTTCTTTTTTAATCTGCACAACATTATACTCTAGAGAATACTGAGACTTGAATGATTAAATAATATTCTTAAAGTTACAAAACCTAAAAACAGCAGAGGTCAGACTTAATCTTGGGTCTCCTGAAAGTAAGCCTACCCTTCTATAAACTCTACAGTTTCATGTCATCTAATTCTCTTAGCATCAGCTTTCTACCACCACTTTGGGGCATGAAACACAAGCCCAATGTTACCAAAGAACTGAGCAATATTTGAGGAGAGAGATGTTGAGATGCGTAACATGTATCACCTAGATTTTGAAGACTACTGCATATTCTTCATTGAAAGAGTCTGGATATGAGAACTGCCTAGAACTGCTCTGACACTAGGATGAATAGAGACAACTGCAGCAGGGGCACTGCACTTAGTCTCACAATCTGATATTAATAGATGTTAACCACTGACGCTATAAAGCAACCACACAAACAAGCCAACATAATAACCAACTAACAATGAAATGACAGGATAAAATCCACACATATCAATACTAAGCTTGAATGTAAATCAATACTAAGCTTGAATGTAAATGGGCTAAATGCTCTACTTAAAAGGCACAGAGTGGCAAGCTGGATAAATAAGCAAGACCCAGTGGTATGCCATTTTCAAGAGACCCATTTCACAATGACAGCCATAGGCTCAAAAAAAGATATGTGTGTCCCGGGGGTGGATAGAGGAAAATCTACCAAGCAAATAGAAAACAAAAATGCAGGGATGGCAATTATAATTTTAGACAGAATAGACTCTAAAACAACAAAGATTTAAGAAGAAAAAGAAGGGCATTATGTAATGGCAAAGGATACAATTCAACAATAAGTCCTAACTATCCTAAATATATATACACCCAACACAGAAGCACCCATATTCATAAAGCAAGATATTACAGACCTACAAAGAGACATAGAGTCCCACACAATAATTAATAGTAGGGGACTTCAACAATCCACTGACAGTATTAGACAGATCATTGAGGCAGAAAATTAACAAGGATATTCAGGACCTGAACTCTACATTGGACCAAATGGATCTGATAGACCTCTATACAACTCTCCACTCCAAAACAACAGAATATAGATTATTCTCATTGCCACAAGACACATAGTCTAAAATTGACCACATAATTGGACATGAAATAATCCTCAGCAAATGCAAAAGAACTGAAACCATACCAAACACATTCTTGGACAACAGTGGAATAAAAATAGAAGTAAAAACTAAGAAAATTGCTCAAAACCATGCAATTTCATGGAAATTAAACAACATGCTCCTGAATGACTTTTGGGTAAATAATGAAATTAAGGCAGAAACCAAGATGTTCTTTGAAACCAATGAGAACAAATATACAACATACCAGAATCTTGGACAAAGCTAAGGCAGTGTTAACAGGGAACTTCATAGCACTAAATGCCCACATCAAAAAGTTAGAAAGATCTCAAGTTAACAGCCTAACATCACAACTGAAAGAATAAGAGAAGCAAGAATAAATCAACCCCAAAGCTAGCAGAAGACATAAAATAACCAAAATCTGAGCTGAACTGAGGGAAATTGAGACATGAAAAGCCATTCAAAAGATCAATTAATCTAGGAGGTTTTTTAAATAAGATAGAGAGGCCACTAGCTAGACTAACAAAGATAAAATGGGAGCAGATCCAAATAAACACAATTAGAAATAATGAAGGGAATATTACCATTGACCCCACAGAAATAAAAATAACCATTCAAAACTACTATGAACACTTCTATGCATACAAACTAGAAAACCTAGAAGAGATAGATAAATACCTGGACACATACACCCTCCCAAGACTGAACCAAGAAGAAATTGATTTCCTGAACAGACCAATAAGGAGCTTTGAAATTGAATCAGTAATAAATATCCTACCAATCAAAAACAAACAAACAAACAAAAGTACAGGACCTGATAGATTCACAGCTGAATTCTACCAGATGTATAAAGAAGAGCTGGGACCATTCTTATAGAAACTATTGCCAAAAATTGAGGAGGACAGACTTCTCTTCAATTCACTGTATGAGATCAGCATCATCCTGATATCAAAACCTGGCAGAGACACAACAACAACAACAAAACTTCAGGCCAATATCCTTGATGAACATTGATGCAAAAGTCCTCAACAAAGTACTTGCAGACTAAATCCAGCAGGATGTCAAAAAGCTAATCCAACATAAGCAAGTAGGCTATATCCCTGGGATGCAAGGTTGGTTGAACATATGCAAATCGATAAATGTGATTCATCACATAAACAGAACTGAAGACAAAAACCATATGATTATCTCAATTGACACAGAAATGCTTTTAATAAAATTCAACACTCCTTCATGTTAAAAATCCTCAATAAAATAGGCATTGAAGGAACATACTTAAAATAATAAGAGCCATCTATGACAAGCCCATAGTCAATATTATACTGCATGGGCAAAAGATGGAAGCATTTCCATTGAAAATGGGTGGAAGACAAGAATGTCCTCACTCACCACTTCTATTCAATGTAGTATTGCAAGTCCTAGCCAAAGCAATCAGGCAAGAGAAAGAAATAAAGGGCACCCAAATAGGAAGAGAGGTAGTCTATCTGTGTGTGTGTGTGTGTGTGTGTGTGTGTGTGTGTGTGTGTGTGTGTATCTCCCCATAGTATAAATCCAGAAGCTCCTTCAGCTGATAAACAACTTCAGCAAAGTTTCAGGATACAAAATCAATGTACAAAAGAGACTAGCATTTTTATACAACAAAAACTGCCAAAACAAGAGCCAAATCATAAAGACAATTCCATTTGCAATTGCCACAAAAAGAACAAAATACCATTATACAGCTAATCAGAGAGGTAAATGATCTCTACAATTAGAATTACAAAACACTGCTCAAAGAAATCAGAGAATACATAAACAAATGGAAAAAAATCCCATGTTCATGGATAGGAAGAATCAATATTCTTAAAATGGCCATATTGCCCAAGCAACAAAGCAATTTACAGATGTAATGCTATTCCTTTCAAACTACCAATGACATTCTTCACAAAACCAGAAAAAAATTATTTTAAAGTACGTATGGAACCAATAAAGGAACTGAATAGCCAAGGCGATCCTAAGCAAAAAGAACAAATCTGGAGACATCACGTTACCCGACTTTGAACTATAGTACTGGGTTACAGTAACCAAAACAGTGTGGTCCTGGTACACAAATAGACACATAGACCAATGGAACAGAATAGAAAGCCCAGAAATAAGGCTGCACACCTACAACAACCTGATCTTTCACAAGGCTGACAAAAACAAGCAATGAAGAAAAGACTCCTTGTTCAGTAAATGGGGCTGGGATAACTGGCTAGCCATAAGCAGAAGACTGAAGCTGGACCCCTTCCTTACAGCATATACAAAAAATCAATTCAAGATTAAAGACTTAAATGTAAAACCTAAAAGTATAAAAACCTTGGAACACAATCTAGGAGATACTGTCCTGGACATAGGAACAGGAAAAGATTTTATTGACAAAGACACCAAAAGCAATTTGCAATGAAGGCAAAAATTGAAAAGTGGGATCTAAGAGCTTCTGCACAGCAAAAGAAACTAACAACAGAGGAAACAGACAACGATGGAATGGGGGAACATTTTTGCAAACTATGTATCTGACAAAGGCCTTATATCCAACATCTATAAGGAACTGAAACAAATTTACAAGGAAAAAAACATTAAAAAGTGGGAAAATGACATGAACAGACACTTCTGTAAAGAAGACATACATGCAGTAAACAAACATAAAAGAGATCAATATCACTGATCATTAGAGAAATGCAAATCAAAGCCACAATGAGATCTATCTCACATGATTAAGAATGGCTTTTATTAAAATGTCAAAAAATAACAGATGCTGGCAAGGTTCCAAAGAAAACACTTACACGCTGTTGGTGGGAGTGTAAATTAGTTCAGCCATTGTGGAAAGCAGTGTGGAAATTCCTCAAAAAGCTAAAAGCAGAACTATTTGAGCAATCACATTTCTGGTTATATACTCAGAGGAATATAAATCATTCTACTATAAAGACACATAAACATGAATGTTCATTGCAGCACTATTCACAATAGCAAAGACGTGGAATCAACACTAATGCTCATTAGTGACAGACTGGGTAAAGAAAATGTGCTATATATACACCATAGACTACTACACAGCCATAAAAATGAATGAGATCACGTCTTTTTGCAGGGAGGTGATAAAGCTGAAGCTATTATCCTCAGCAAAATAATTCAGTATCAGAAAAAACAAATACTGCATGTTCTCACTTATAAGTGGGAGCTAAATTATGAGAAATTATGAGCACAAAGACAGAAACAACAGACAGCAGGGAGTACTTGAGGGTGGAGGGTGGGAGGAGGAAAAGGAGCAGAAAAAGTAACTATTGGGTAGTGAGCTCAATTCCTGAGTGATGAAATAATGTATACAACGAACCCTTGTGACATGAGTTTACCTATATAACAAAACTTCCCATGTATCCCTGAACCTAAAATAGAAGAAGTTATAAAAAAAACTTTTTAGAACTAATTTAAACAAAAATGGGATCTTTAGAATGTGTATGTGCATGTGTGTGTGTGTGTGTGTGTGTGTGTGTGTGTGTATACACACACACATTCCATCCTTATCCATTACCCACTGCTTGGAGCCTAGTGAGGTACACTGGAAACCTTCCTGGACTTGGATATTGGAGACTCATATTTTAGACTTAACTCTACCACTACTACATGAACTTGGGCAAGTTCATGTCTGTTGGGCAAGTTCATGTCTGTGTGTTACATATTTGTCATCTTTAATAGAAGTGTTCTGTACTTTATATATATATATATGTAAGCAAATTTTGAATTTCTGTACATTACTCTGTTGTCAAATATTGCCTTTAAGGAATCATTTTATCCAAATTTTACTTACTAAAATGAAAATATGTTATAGTTATTTATTTTTTATTCCTAATGTATTGAGTAGTATATGCTTAGCCCTGTCCCAGATACTTTTGGGAAATAGAGCAGACAGACCACGCCATTCCATAGCTTACAATTCATACATTTACACATTACCCTTTTTGTCCCCTGAGGAAAGCAAAATATATGACCCACTAATCTGTACAGCTAATGGTTCTATTCTCTCAAATAAATGGGAGAACTAAAATTTTTAGAAATTGAATCACACAAAAACAAAGAGTTGTAAATCTTTGTTTCCTTCATCTAAAGTGAGGGTTTATGCTATTTAATATACTACACTCTTTCTTTATTGAATATCTAAACCAGGTGTGGATGTGGATTATCTACTTAATAGCATATCCAAAGGCTTTTTTATTCTTTTTCTCCTTCAAAAAAGCCCACACTTTCCTTATTTTAGACAAATATGTCCCAAAATCTCAAATTAAATAGAACTTCCATTTGAAAAGCACCCTTTAGTTAGCCCAGTGTGTTGGCCTGTACCTGTAGTCCTATTTACTCAGGAGAGTTAGCTGGGTGGGAGCATCACCTGAGCCCTGGGAGGTCAAGACTGAAATGGGCAGCTTGGGTGACAGAGTGGGACCTTGTCTCAAAAAACAATAAAAGAAACGAAACAGAAGAAAGAACAGGAAAGGAGAGGAAGAGGGAGCAGGAGAGGGGGAGGATGGGGAGGGGAAGGGGAAGTAGAAGAGGAAAGGGAAGGAGAAGCAAAGGAGAAAAACACTGTTTGTGCTCCCTAACCACGCACATTTGTTTAACAAACATTCTAACATTTTACCTAAAGGGACAGGATCACACTTGGGTATTTATTTAGTCAGGATCCAACACATCCTAGGCTGCCTACACAGTGAGTGGCAGGAACACTGGAGAGTGTAAGCTCCAAAAAAGAGAATCTGCTTATGTAAGATATTTGGGGATCAAGGCGTGAATTGGATTTATCTATGGAAAAGTTGAGAGGGTTAGAAATCTTGCCAAAAACAAGAAAATGCAGAATGATGGTGGAAGGGGTACTTTCTTATACTACTCCCCTCTTTAAAAGCCACTAAATAGGGAAAAAATAAGAGGGATGTAAATAGAGAGGGTAATAGCATCAAAATGAAACTACAATAAAATTGAAATCACTTCTTGTTACATCTTCTGGATATTTTTCAAAAAGCTAAATAAAATTTGGGTGAGCATTTATTAAATAAAGTGTGCTCAGTGCTAAAATGCAATGATGAACAGGGAAATCATGGACTCTAAATTCACTTGGTTTATTTTGAAGCACTAAATTTATAAACCAATAAATAAATTGGACCTAATGCCATAATAGTTACAAATTTCATAAGAAGACAAACAAAGGGTTGAGTTAGAAATAGAATGGTTTTAAGGAACAGGGATTACTCTGAATAAACTACTCCAGGAAATACTAACAGAAGTTGTGAGGCTGGGAGTTGAGCATGAAGATGTAAAAAAGGTTTTGTGTAATGTATTTCTGACTTTTTGACTAAAATTCTCAGAATTTTAGAAGAAAAGATGAGAACTGTCAAAAGCAGTAAATTAATGACCATGCTTAGGGAACGAAAGAAAGCTAGTAAGACTGAAATTTACTCTGAGTAACAGAGTAGTGGTGATTAGATCATGCCAGGCATCTGAATTTATTGAAGGACAATGGAAAACCATTGGTGGGAGATGGTTAGAACAAGATGGAAACTAAGCATTCCCTTAGTGTGCATGCATACCCTCATACAAATATTTGAAGTGCTATGCCATATTCATATTTCTATAAATTTTCACCTATGAAACTATAATTCATAGAAACAAATATGCAGGCAAATGTAGCTCAGCCTCTCCCCCATAAATTGAAGACTATATACCAACAGTCATCAAATTCTTATTTGAGCAACCAAATCTGGGTAAAATCATTTATTTCACAAATTCAGAATCCCACCAATATCCTATCCTCTTAAGACTAAATTATAGAATAAACTATCACCAAGAAACCATAATAAAACACAATAAGAGGAAAAAGAGAAAAAAAAATACTTAATTTTTAGAAATGTATATGATTTACAAACAAGTTAACATATACAACTATATATTACACAATTACACATACACATATATAAAGAGAAAGAACAAGCAAGAAAAAAATGTGTGAAGCTTCTACAGTTATCTTCTCCTTAACTGATCAGAAAAGATACAGTTATTGTTTCTGTAACTGATTATCTTTTCTGTCAACTTAGTAGACAGTTGTAACTTGCTTCTTTCTCTATCAATTCCATCTACCCTTTGTTCTCACCCAATTCCTCACCTGATTAGGGTTCTTTGTCCTAAAGGATGTGGAATCACAATGCTCTTGCACTTTTTTTTTTTGGTAACTTTTCATTAATTTTGCCATTACATGTAGACATACTAAGACATAAACCAAGAACTCTTTTTTTTCCAACAAAATATTTCTTGCACTAATTAGAAAACAAAAAATGAATTTTTTTTTTTTTTTTTTTTTGAGACAGAGTCTCACTCTGTCACCCAGGCTGGAATGCAGCAGTGCATGATCTCAGCTCACTGCAATCTCTGCATCCTGAGTTCAAGCGATTCTCCTGCCTCAGCCTCCTGAGTAGCTGGGATTATAGGCAGGTGCCACCATACCCAGTTAATTCAAAAAATCAATTTCTTATTGGTAAAGGAATCCATCACCCCAGACAGTTGTTGATTTATTGGTGATATAGAGAGTTTGAAATGGCCAGGTAGCAGTCTTAACTTCCAAAGTAATGGAGCCACTGTTTAGTCCCTTGTTGAAAGCATTCTCCCTTTGAACTCTAAGACCTACAAATCAGGAAAGTATGAAACTGTAGAATAAAAAAGAAACTTAGCAAATTAAATTACAAGAGCACATACAACAAACCTACAGCCAACATCACACTGAATGGCAAGAATTTGAAAGCCTTCCGTCTGTGAACTGGAACAGCACAAGGATGCCCACTCTAACCACTCCTATTCAACACAGCACTGGAAGTCCCAGCCAGAGCAATCAGAATAAATAAATAAATAAATAAATATCCTCTAAATTGAAAAAGAGGAAGTCAAATTATTTCTATTTGCTGATGACATAATCTTATATCTAAAAAAACCTAAAGACTCAAAAAAAAAAAACTCTTAAATCGGATAAATGGATTCAGCAAAGTTTTGGGATACAAAATCAGCATGCAAAAATCAGTTCCATTTCTATAAACCAATAATGATCAAGCTGAGAACTAAATTAAGAAGGCAATTCCATTTATAACAACTACACAATAAATATCTAGAAATATGTTTAACCAAGCAGGTGAAAGATCCCTACAAGGAAAACTAAAAACAATGATGAAAAAAATTATAGATGACACAAATGGAAACACACCCCATGCTCATGGATCAGAATTAATATCATTAAAATGACCATACTGCCCAAAGTAATCTACAGATTCAATCCAATCTCTATCAAAATACATTATTTTCAACAAATGGTGCTGAGAAATTGGGTTTTTCTGTATCTTACCAGATACAAAAAGCAACTCAAGATGGAATAAAGACTTAGATGTAAGACCTGAAACTGTAAAAATGCTAGAAGAAAATGTAGGAAAATCTCTTTGGAACATTGGCCTCGGCAAAGAATTCATGACTAACACCTCAAATGCACAAACAATACAAATAAAAATGGACAAATAGCACTTAATTAAACTAAAACAGTTTCTGTACAGCTAAAGAAATAATCAACAGAATGACCAAACTACCCACCCATTGGTGCACACTGTTCATCTGACAGGGGACTAATACTGGGAATCTAACATGAACTGAAACTAACAAAATGAACCCATTAAAAACTGGGTGGAGGACATGAATAGACGCTTGCTTGCTTGCTTGCTTTCTCTCTCTCTCTCTTTTTCTTTCTTTCTTTCTTTTTTTGTTTCTTTCTTTCATTCTTCCTTTTTCCCTTCCTTCCTTCCTTCTTTCCTTCCTTCCTTCTTGCCCTCTCTCTCTCTTCTTCTTTCATTTTTGAGTCAGGGTGTCACTCTGTCATCCAGGCTGAATGCAGTAGCATAATGATGGCTCACTGCAACCTCGACCTCCTGGGCTCAAGCAATCCTCCTGCCTCAGCCTTCCAAGCAGCTGGGACCACAGGTGCAGTCCATCATGCCCAGCTAATTTTTCTGATATTTTTGCAGAGATGGGGGTCTCTGTTGCCAAGGCTTCTTTAGAACTCTTGGGCTCAAGCGATCCTCCGATGTTAGCCTCCCAAAGTGTTGGGATTACAGGGATGAGACACTGAGCCGGCAATAAACGTTTTTTCAAAAGAAGACATACAAATGACCAACAAGCATGCGAAAAAAAAAAAGTTCAACATTACTAATCAGAGAAATGCACATTAAAACCATAATGAGACATCATCTTACACCAGTCAGAACGGCTATTAATAAAATGTCAAAAAATAACAGATATTGGCGACAATGTGAAGAAAAGGAAACACATACTGCTGATGGGAATATAAATAAGTAGAACTTCTACGGAAAGCAGTGCGAAGATTTCCCAAAGAACTTAAAATAGAACTACCATTCAATCCAGCAATCTCACTACTATGTGTCTTTCCAAAGGAAAATAAATATTTATATCAAAACGATAACTGCACTGATATGTTTATCACAACACAATTCACAATAGCAAAGACATAGAACCAACCTACGTGTTCGTCAATGGATGACTGGATAAAGAAAAGTTGGTGTAGGCTGGGTGCAGTGGCTCACGCCTGTAATCCCAGCACTTTGGGAGGCCGAGGCAGGCGGATCTCAAGGTTAGGAGATCAAGACCATCCTGGCTAATACGGTGAAACCCCGTCTCTACTAAAAAATACAAAAAATTAGCCAGGCATGGTGGCGGGCACCTGTAGTACCAGCTACTTGGGAGGCTGAGGCAGGAGAATGGCATGAACCCAGGAGGCGAAGCTCACAGTGAGCCGAGATTGCGCCACTGCACTCCACACTCCAGCCTGGGTGACTGAGCAAGACTCTGTCTCAAAAAAAAAACTAAACCAAGACTAAACCAGGAAGAAGTTGAATCTCTGAATAGACCAATAACAGGCTCTGAAATTGAGGCAATAATTACTAGCTTACCAACCAAAAAAAGTCCAGGACCAGATGGATTCACAGCCGAATTCTACCAGAGGTACAAGGAGGAGTTGGTACCATTCCTTCTGAAACTATTCCAATCAATAGAAAAAGAGGGAATCCTCCCTAACTCATTTTATGAGGCCAGCATCATCCTGATACCAAGCCTGGCAGAGACACAACAAAAAAAGACAATTTTAGACCAATATCCCTGATGAACATCAATGCAAAAATCATCAATAAAATACTGGCAAACCGAATCCAGCAGCACATCAAAAAGCTTATCCACCATGATCAAGCAGGCTTCATCCCTGGGATGCAAGGCTGGTTCAACATATGCAAATCAATAAACGTAATCCAGCGTATAAACAGAACCAAAGACTAAAACCACATGATTATCTCAATAGATGCAGAAAAGGCCTTTGACAAAATTCAACAGCCATTCATGCTAAAAACACTCAATAAATTAGGTATTGATGGGATGTATCTCAAAACAATAAGAGCTATCTATGACAAACCCACAGCCAATATCATACTGAATGGGCAAAAACTGGAAGCATTCCCTTTGAAAACTGGCACAAGACAGGGATGCCCTCTCTCACCACTCCTATTCAACATAGTGTTGGAAGTTCTGGCCAGGGCAATTAGGCAGGAGAAGGAAATAAAGGGTATTCAATTAGGAAAAGAGGAAGTCAAATTGTCCCTGTTTGCAGATGACATGATTGTATATCTAGAAAAACCCATCGTCTCAGCCCAAAATCTCCTTAAGCTGATAGGCAACTTCAGCAGTCTCAGGATACAAAATCAATGTGCAAAAATCACAAGCATTCTTATACACCAATAACAGACAGAGAGCCAAATCATGAGTGAACTCTCATTCACAATTGCTTCAAAGAGAATAAAATACCTAGGAATCCAACTTACAAGGGATGTGAAGGACCTCTTCAAGGAGAACTACAAAACACTGCTCAAAGAAATAAAAGAAGACACAAACAAATGGAAGAACATTCCATGCTTATGGATAGGAAGAATCAATATTGGGAAAATGGCCATACTGCCCAAGGTAATTTATAGATTTCATGCCATCCCCATCAGGCTACCAATGACTTTCTTCACAGAAGTGGAAAAAACTACTTTAAAGCTCATATGGAATGAAAAAAGAGCCCACATTGCCAAGTCAATCCTAAGCCAAAAGAACAAAGCTGGAGGCATCACGCTACCTGACTTCAAACTATACTACAAGGCTACAGTAACCAAAACAGCATGTTACTGGTACCAAAACAGAGATATAGATCAATGGAACAGAACAGAGCCCTCACAAATAATGTCACACATCTAAAACTATCTGATCTTTGACAAACCTGACAAAAACAAGAAATGGGGAAAGGATTCCCTATTTAATAAACAGTGCCGGGAAAACTGGCTAACCATATGTAGAAAGCTGAAACTGGATCCTTTCCTTACACCTTATAAGAAATTAATTCAAGATGGATTAAAGACTTAAATGTTAGACCTAAAACCATAAGAACCCTAGAAGAAAACCTAGGCAATACCATTCAGGACATAGGCATGGGCAAGGACTTCATGTCTAAAACACCAAAAGCAATGGCAACAAAAGACAAAATTGACAAATGGGATCTAATTAAACTAAAGAGCTTCTGCACAGCAGAAGAAACTACCATCAGAGTGAACAGGCAACCTACAGAATGGAGAACATTTTTGCAATCTACTCATCTGACAAAGGGCTAATATCCAGAATCTACAATGAACACAAACAAATTTAGAAGAAAAAAACAAACAACCTCATCAAAAAGTGGGCAAAGGATATGAACAGACACTTCTCAAAAGAAGATATTTATGCAGCCAAAAGACATATGAAAAAATGTTCATCATCACTGGCCATCAGAGAAATGCAAATCAAAACCACAATGAGATACCATCTCACACCAGTTGGAATGGCAATCATTAAAAAGTCAGGAAACAACAAGTGCTGGAGAGGATGTGGAGAAATAGGAACACTTTTACACTGTTGGTGGGACTGTAAACTAGCTCAACCATTGTGGAAGTCAGTGTGGTGATTCCTCAGGGATCTAGAGCTAGAAATACCATTTGACCCAGCCATCCCATTACTGGGTATATACCCAAAGGATTATAAATCATGCTGCTATAAAGACACATGCACACGTATGTTTATTGAGGCACTATTCACAATAGCAAAGACTTGGAACCAACCCAAATGTCCAACAATGGTAGACTGGATTAAGAAAATGTGGCACATATACACCATGGAATACTATGCAGCCATAAAAAATGATGAGTTCATGTCCTTTGTAGGGACATGGATGAAGCTGGAAACCATCATTCTCAGCAAACTATCACAAGAACAAAAAACTAAACACTGCATGTTCTCACTCACAGGTGGGAATTGAACAATGAGAACACATTGACACAGGGTGGGGAACATCACACACCGGGGCCTGTCGTGGGGTTGGGGGAGGGGGGAGGGATAGCATTAGGAGGTATACCTAATGTAAAGGACGAGTTAATGGGTGCAACACAGCAACATGGCACGTGTATACACATGTAACAAACCTGCATGTTGTGCACACGTACCCTAAAACTTAAAGTATAATTTAAAAAAAAGAAAAGTTGGTGTATATACACAATAAAATACTATTCAGCCATAAAAAGAATGTAAATTTGTCTTTTGCAGCAACATAGAAAGAACAGAAGGCCATTATCTTAACTGAAACAACAGAAAGTCAAATTTTCTCACTTATAAATGGGAGCTAAATAATGCATACACATGGACATAGTGTATAGAATGATAGATACTGGAGATTCAAAAAGTTTTAGGTGGCAGAAGGGGGATGAGTGACGAGAAATTTCTTAATGGATAAAATGCACAATATTCAAATGATGGATCTGCTTAAAGTCAAGGCTTCATCACTATGCAATAATCCATGAAACAAAATTGCACTTGTACCCCTTAAATTTATACAAATAAAAAACAAAGGAGTCAATTCCTCTTCTACCAGTTGACTACCTGATCATGATTCTGGTTATTTGTGAAGTAGTATCATATATTTTTGATTTAAACAATATGCTGCATCGTGAATGTTGTCTCACAGTTGGCACCAAAACTGGGCCTTTAATGAACTATTCTGTGTCCTGTCAAGCCAAATGATTTTTAAGTGATAGGATATATGAAAAGAGCAGTGAATTTTGAGTGTGAACCCATTACTTGATGTCTTAGGTTTTGAAAAATCCATTGACCAGAATAATATTGTGTAGGATATTATGTCAGTGAGCAAGGCATTCTGAATTCACGTATAATAAGGCTGGCATAACTATAACAGTAAGTAAAGGCACATTTATATCTCAAATTAATAATTATTTCAATGATAGATAAGTAATAGCCACTCCATGCAGGATAGGGTCCACTAGAATCAAGCTGTTACCAGGTATCTGGCTGGTTTTCCTAGGGAATGGTGCTACTTACCAAGGCTGGCTTGTTTTCCTAGGGAATGGTGCTACTTACCAATATGGTCTCTGCTGTTGGAAAGCCAGGTGTTCATCACTGGCAGTAGCCCCTCAGTCTTGGTGAGGGGAAGTCCATGTTGCCGAACCTTTGCATAACCTCTATCTCCTGTTCTATGACCACTATATACATAGGCCCAGTGAGTAAGTGCTAAAGGAGTTGGGGGCAGAGAATGACCAGCATCCACACAAAGGGGCATCTTGCCCATTTGATGATCAAGGACTCCTTTTACAGCTGATGCTCTTTGGTAAGCAGCCACATTCAACACAAATACCTTGGCATTCTATGCCCATTCTAAGAGGTCCATGCTTTAGGCTACTCATGAATCACACCATCCTTCTGTCCACTTTGAACTTTCATAAAATAACATCATGCTTCCATTCAACAACATGTAATTTTTTTACAAAGAGATTCTCAGAACTGGACAAATAAAGAGAAAAGTACTCATTGTTACAGAACATTGTGATAATTTACATAGATTATCCAAAATCTAATAAAAGAAGTTAGAAGTATTGCTTAAATCAAGATCAAAATTAAAAGATAAATGTCGCCTTATATATCAACAATAATAGATTTCATAGAAAAATATATCACTCACAACAGCCACTGAACTATAAGAGATGTAGAATAAATCTATCAAAATATGTAGAATACCCACAAAAAGAAAATTATAAAATGCTATTGAAGAAGATAAGAGATTTATATAGATGAACTTGTATAATTTGCTCATGAATTTAAAAAACTCACTCTCCTAAGTAGATTAGCATTCCCACAAATAATCCATATATCAGAACTATTTAAATCAAAATTTCAACATGATTTTTCATGGAGCTAAACAGACTAATTCTAAAATGAATTGAAAGCAATTATTTAATATTCTCCAAAATAATTCTAAAAACTAAACAAGAAGTAAGGTAACTTTCGCTACTAGACTTAAGACTTTATAAAGATATGGTAATTAAAATATTTAGACAGAGGTTGAGAAGTAGACCAATAAAGGAAATCAGTAGAGATACTGGAAACAGACTCAAGCATATGTGGGGATTAGTACCTGCTGTCCATAGCATACAAATCAGTATGCAGTGGTAAACTCTTCATAAAAATGTATAGTGACTCAGTTGGCTTTCCTTATGGAGAATAGAGTCTAGAGCACCACTTCATATCACACATACAAAAAAACTTCCACATGCATTAAACATCTGAATTATAAAATCAAACTTGTAATGCACCTATAAGAAAATGTAGAATGTTTTTAAGCACTGCTGAGAATGTAAAAATTTCTTAGCTAAAACACATTAATAACAACAAAAAGAATAAATTAATAAATGTGATCATATGAGATTTTAAAGTTCTATAATATAAAAGTGCCATATACAAAGTTAAAAACAGATCAAATTGGCAGAAGATATTTCCAATATATATAACCAAGAGTTTTAGTCTACAGAAAAGAAAAAGAATGCCTACAAGTCAATATTTAAGACAAAAATAATCTACTAGAAAAAATGTGCAAAGTAACTAATTTAACTGAACAGGCAATTCCCAGTGGAGAAAATAGCGAATAAATATGAAAATGCATGCAACCTCACAGAAAATCAGGAGAGTGTGAACTAAAGCACTGAGCAGCTATTGCACATCCACCAGCTGATTGGCATAATTCAGGAAGTTTGACATTACCAGTTTATAAAGCCAATTTGGAGAGCAAGTAGAAATCTAGTGAAATTGAAATGAACACACTTGAGTATACAGTAATTGTGGTTTTTGGTGTATACTTAGCAAAATTCACATCATCTACTAGAAAAACTTGAAACAACATAAATGCCTCCAAAATATGGTATATTCATAAAATGAAATACTATAGAAACTAAAATAAACTAACCAGATCCTTGCTTATCTTCATAATATTGAATTAAATGATTAATTGTGGCATGATAGCTTTAACAATAATTTGCAAAATAAAAGCACATCTAAAAGGTAGAGTGGAAGGAAACACATCAAATTCAAGATAGAAATTTACTTTAGGGAGGGAGGCTTAGAAATACACTTGAGTAACAGAGATTTATATCTATTTATAGATAGCTATATTACATGATTGGTGAAGAAATGATAACATATTTTTATTAATTCTGTATGTTAGGTGTATGGGTATCTATTATTAACCTCTGAATTTTCTTTTAATTTTCAAAATTAAAAACAAAGCACACACAAAAACAAAGCACTCAGTGACTGCTATAATAAAGTCCAGGGAAAATACGGGTAGAATGGCTCATGAAAAAGAAATGGGGAAGTTTCTGGAATAAAACTGTGGGGGATACAGAGTTTGTTTTTTTCAGGTGGTTGATGCTAAAGAATGGTCCTAAGACACTGGGGAAGATTCATCAGAGAAGCTAAATACAAATGACGCAGGGGAGTAACTAGCCAAAGACAGAGGCTATTGAAAAACAAGATGGAAAGAAATTTACTACAGCAGTAAAGTCACTAATAGTGAAAAAATGCTTTCTATACTAAAAGCAGGAAGAAGGAAAACATGGGTTGAATTGTATATAGGTTGGCTGGGTGAAGAATGTTAAAGTGTTTCCCAATCTGAGCAGCTATTTCTCCTGATAGATTAGAGGAAGTCAGCCAGAGTAGCTTCTTCCCCATCACCACTGGAGGCCAGAAGCTGCCTGAATATGCTGTTGTTGTCACTGAAATCTGGTCGTGGTAGAAGAAGTGAGTCTGCAGGATGCTGTGTTCGTGTATAATATATCACAGTGGTTGCTGGAGAAGGGAACTTCCCAGAGGGATCGCTGACTTTAAGCTGCAACATAGCTCAACGGTCAGGTACAGATGTTTTTTGGCTTCCTCTGTTGTAATTACTTCTCCTTCCAAATGTCTACATCTGGCTATATATATATATATACATACACATACACACACACACACACACACACACACACACACACAGAGGAAGGATAGAGGATCTGCACAAAGAAAGCTAACTTTTTTCTCCTCTTTCTCAGAAACTTGTCTCGGGAGGAATGTTGAATGGGGCATATAAGCAGCTCGGAAGCTGTGAAGGGAGGCACGTCTTAGCTTTAAGATTTATGATCCTAGACATATACACCTGAGAGATGAACACCAGCTGTCACATAGTATATATTAAGAGGGCTCCCATGACAAAAATAATAAAGCAATTCACATCTGATGGCTTGAATTTTCAGTTTGAAATATGAAGCTAGGTCATCAGCTGAGTGTGATGAAGAATGGCATGAAAAGAGAATTAGCTTTAAGACAGTCATTTTGGACCATGATAAAAAGGTTTATTTGAGACACATGGAATAATTTTGAAGCAATTCTCCTTTCATCTTAGTGACGAGATAGGGAAACAAAACTGGTTGGCTCACTTGTGTGACATTCTGAGCAGTGTCTGTTCAGGTGCAGACCCTGAGGATATGGATCATAACTTCCATCTGATGTGGGCAAAAGAGAGGAAGACAAAGACAATGGCACTGATGATATTTTCAAGAAAGTAATAATAATAATGGCTTAATCCATGACTAGAAAGCTGAAAAGTGACGGACTTATTGAACACAAGAAAGTAAAGAGATCCTTGCATTAAAATCTTTGATGTGGTTTTTAAATATTCAGGGAAGGAAAAAATCAGGGTTCTTTAGACCAAAACTAATGGAGGCTATGAAAAGAAATTAGTATGTTTAGTGCTGTGGCCTCAGAGATGATCCAGTGTTAGCTGATAACAAATTCTAGAGTATCACCTGTGACCGAGTTGCAAATAACAATGATGATTTGAAGAAAGAAAGAACTGAGAGGCTACTGAATGATTTATCCATGTAGATGAAGTCCCTGACAATGGCAAGTGAAGTAACAAGAAAGAGTATAGTGCAACACATTCAAATAAAGAAGGAGAAGGAAGAAAAAAGAAGAGGAAGAGAGGGAGAAAGAGAAGGAAGAGGAGGAGAAGAAAAAGAAGAAGAGAGAAAGAAGAAGCAGAAGCAGAAGGAGGAGAAGCAGGAGGGGGAGGGGAAGGAGGAAGAGGAGGAGAAGGAGAAGGAGGAAGAGAATGTATTATTTGCAGAAGATAGTAACCAGGATGGGAAAAGAGGTCTAGCCAGAAAATATGAGCTCCAAGAAAGCAGGAGAACTGTCCAAAACCCTCCAAAAGAAGCAAGGATATACATATCTGAAAGTGGCAATGAAGAATAAATGAACACCTAGACAAATTCCTGATCATAAGATGAGAGAGAGTAAAAAGAAAGAGAAACAAATAAACCAACAAACAAAACTTAATTAGCTTAATTTTGAAAGAACAGCAAGAAATGTAGAGTCCTTGTAGGGCAGCCTTATTTTACTTAAAATGAAGTAGTGAAATAATTTTTTTTAAAGTTTAGAGCATAAGAAAATTGACAGTCTGGAAATTTTGAAGAGCTAGTGAAATAGTTTGAGAGAAAAGAGTGGGAAATTGTATCTGATGAAGGGACATGTACAGAGCAATAGGGGAAGAGAGCCAGGGTGATGGTAGCTGAAGTAGGAGACATAGACCCCAGATTAGTAGACAAGGTGAGTCTGATGAGATTCTGTGTTTTCTTGGATCTTCAGAAGTCTTCAGGAAGCAAATAAGGACTTCTGAAGAGTCCTACTGAAAAAAACAAACTTGAGGGAAAGGACAATATGGGCTATAGGGAAAGTGTGCCTTCCCTACACATGGACCATTTTCCCACCTCAGAAAAGTATAATAGCAGAGGCAAAGCTGATAGAGAGAGTCATCAGTTTTAACTAACATCTTTACTTCCTAGACTGCCTTCCAACAAGGAAAAGCCCAGTTCACAGGTGTAATAAAAAGACCAACATTCATGAACCTATAGATCAATAATCTGGCAGTAGGCTTAGGGCTGCAGAGTAAAGTCAATTCACCAGAAATAAGCAATTGCCAATGCTCAAAAAACAATTAAAATTTCGAAAAGGTGTCACGTGACTGCGTATAGACTCAGCTTCTCTGAAGAATGGCATATTTGACACAAAGCCAGGGAATATTTAAAATCTCAGGGGGTTATTAACACACTCTCCTCAGGAGGACAACATTTCCTGATCCTAGACAGAAACTTCTCT
This sequence comes from Homo sapiens, assembly GCF_000001405.40. NCBI lineage: Eukaryota > Metazoa > Chordata > Mammalia > Primates > Hominidae > Homo > Homo sapiens. The sequence goes on from NC_000002.12 coordinate 14,387,671, forward strand.
GAGACCGACTTTTCACTGCCCTGCTCACTCTTACTGCTATGCTACCATCATCTAGCACAGATCAACTTAAATCCAGCACATTTATATGCATACCTCCAGTCCAAGTTCTAAAAGAATTCTTCAGATTGTGTACCAGTCATCGAAGGAGAATTAAGGAGTAATCCTCTCCATCCATTTTAGGACAAATAACTCCAGGTAGAACTTTTCTATTTAAAAAATAGCGGTCCAGGAGAAAACCAGTTTGGGACAAATACAGAAGAACATAGAAGTAGAATCATCCTCCTTTCTCTTTCCCTCTCTTTCTCTCATCTCTCTCTCCTCCTTCCCTTCTCTTTCCCTTTCCCTTCCCTCCTACTCCCCTTCTCCCAATCTATCTCAACTCTGTTCCCATCACCACATCTTCTACCCCGTCTCTGATGCTCCTCTTAAAAAGACCCTTGTTATTACATTGAGCCCACCCAGATAAGCCTTAAAAATCTTCCCCTCTCAAGATGCTCAATCACATTTATAAAACCCCTTTGTAAGGTAGCATAGTCACAAGTTCCAGGGATTAGGAGGTAGACACCTTTGAGAGGAAATTATTCTGTTTGCCACACATGATAGTTAAACTTCTGAAAGTAAACTAACAAAATATCTTGAAAGCAGAAGGGGAGAAATGATACTTTACCTATAAAGAAAAAAAACAGTTGACTACCGGCTGATTTCTCACCAGAAACCATGGAAGCCAGAAATAAATGATACCTTTTTTTTGGCAGGGGGCAGAGGCTGGACTTCTCAACCCAGAATTTTACATCCAGCAAAATATTCTTCAGGAATAAAAGGGAAATAAGCATGTTTTCAGATGAAGAAAAAACTAATAAATTTTGTTGCCAAAAAACTTTCCATAAAAAGATAGCTAAAAGTCATCTATTATTTTGTTTTTTTTAAAAAATAAAAGGATTCCTGAAATATTAAGAAGGAAAAAAAGAACAATGGAAGGAGTAAAAAAAAAATAGATAAATAAAATGAATTTCCTTTGTCCCTTGAATTTCTAAATTATATTTGATGGTTAAAGCAAAAACATAACACGTGTTGGTTTGGTTCTCAATGTATATGCAGGAAATAGACTTCTATTATAAAATGGGATTTGTAAAGGCAGGTAAGGCTTCCATGGCTCACATGAACTGGTAAAATATCAACACCAGTAGATAGTAATAAGTTATATGTTTAATGCAATACCTCATATAACCACTAAAACAGTCATACAAATAGATACATTCAAAAACACCACAGTTAATTAAAAATGGAATTCTATTAAACAGCAACTATCCCACAAGAAAGCCAGAAAAATAAACAAAATGGAGAAATAAAAAACACAGAGAATAAAGATTAATGTATACATTTAAAAAGTATACCCTAACAGGCCAGACATGGTGGCTTGTGCCTGTAATCTTAGCACTTTGGAAGGCCGCAGCAGCCAGGTCACTTGAGGCCAGGAGTTTGAGACCAGCCTGGCCAACACAGTGAGACCCCGCCTCTACTAAAAATACAAAAATTAGCTGGACATGGTGGTGCATGCCTATAATCCCAGATACTCAGGAGGCTGAGGCACAAGAATCGATTGAACCAAGGAGGTGGAGGTTGCATTGAGCTGAGATTGTGTCCCTGCACTCCAGCCTGGGTGATAAGATGAGATTCTGTCTTAAAAAAAAAAAAGAAAAAAAAAAAGAAGCAATTCAAATCAATAATTATATCAAAGGTAAATAATCCAATTCACCAATTAAAATAAGATTGGCAGAGTGAATTTTAAAATAAAAGATAATTATATGCTGTCTACAATAAATTCACTTCATATATAATCATATAGCATGTTGAAACTAGGATGATGGAAAAACTATATTATGGAAACATTAATGAATATAAAGCAAGAGTGGCTATATTAATATCAGATAAAGTAAGCTTTAGAGCAAATAAAATTACCAGAGACAGACAGGGACATTTTCAAGCGATAAAAGAGTCAATCTACCAAGAAGGTGTAGCAATCCTAAATGTGCATAGACCAAATAATGGGGCTGCAACACATGAGCAGCAAAATCTGATAAAACTGAGAGGACAAATAGCAGTAAAATCCGCATTACAGTTGGAGACATCAACAACCTTCTCTCAGTGATTGACACAGCTAGGCAGAAAATAAGCAAGAATATAGAAGAACTCAGCAGTATCATCAACCAACAAGATCTGACATTTATAGAACATTCCATGCAAGAAAAGCAGAATACACATTATTTTCAAGTATCTGCAAAATATAGACCAAGACAAATCACATTCTGTGTTATATAACAACCTCAGTGCATTTAAACAGAACTGAAATCATATGAACCATATTCCCTAATGACAATGGAACCAAAGTAGAAATCAATAACAGGAAAACCTCCAAACACATAAAAACTAAAGAACACATTTCTAAATAATCCATGGGTCACAGAGCAATACCTAAGGGAAATTTTTTAAAAATTGAACTGAATAAAAATAAAAACCAAACAAATTGAAATTTGTGGGATATAACTAACACAATGCTGAGAGAGAAGTTTATAGCCTACATTAGAAAAGAAAGGAAATCTCAAGTTAATAATATAAGCTCCAACCTAAGGAACCAAGGAAAAGAGGAGCAAAATAAGCTGGAAAACAAGCAGAAGAAATAAAACAAAATGAGAACAAAAAAAAAATGAATTTGGAATTTATTATAATAAACATCTATTTCTTATATTATCAGAAAAGCCTGTATGTCAACAGTATTGTTGAACAAATAAAATTCAAAATAGTCATATAATAAGACCAGCATGGACCAAATCTCAAATTTCAGAAGGAATTTTTGGTAGAAATTTTTTCACTTCATGTCCATTCCTGACTTATATTTCTCTCACTCTTTTTTTTTTGTTTTGGTACGTGCTTGGCAAACAAAGCTCCACTACTTTAAAGATTTGCTTTAAACCTTTGAAGCTCTTTATTCCTTGCCAAACCAAGCAAATAATTACCCTCCAATTGGTAGGAAATCCATTATTGCTAATGTGGAACTTTTTCTCCATTCACAATGAGAGTACTTCTTCAACATGTGAAACTTTTTTCTCTATTCACAAGTCCAAATATTTATTAAAGAAACTCACAACTGAATTAATGAAATACAATTTATAAGAAGTGAGTATTCTCTAATTTCAGATTACTTTGAAAAGTTTTATGCAATTGCAAAAGTACAAATGTAGCATCAACAGTTACACACGAGAAAGGAGAATAAGAGGAGAATCAGTCTCAACTATAGTGAAAGGGAAATATTTTTGAAATTTGTTTCTACAGTAAATATGTCCTTTAGTAATCTTTGATCAGAACACCCAATCCAAAGTCAGATCAAGGTCACTAGAAATAAGTTTGGTCCTGTCTTTACTGTCCCTCTTCCTAATGACAGCAACCCACATGCACAGTCTTCAAAGTGAACACCTGTCTCCCTCACACTCTCTCCCCACTGTGCTCTGCAAGTACACTACACATGTGCAGGCCCCCTACCACAGCATGAAGTACCCTGCCCATACACAAGGCCACATGTAATTTTCAAAGTTTGGATTGGCAGTAAAATGTACACCAGGAATAGGACAGGTCATTGAAAATGGAAATATAAGAGAAAGCATACTGTCTAAATGTAACCAATATAAATGTCTTCCCAAACTGAGGATGCAAATCAAATTACACTTTTCTTCCCCACACTCATTGCTGGAACCTCATCTCATTAGCAGGAAGTTGAATAATTTTCCCTAGATATTAATACCTGTCCCCTATTCCTTTAATTATTCAAGTACCACAATGTCATACTTGACCCAAAGTGCTAAAGTATTCTTTTAATGTCAAGCATGGAATAAACTGGACTCCAGCCAGTCTGCAATGTGATAGATCTCAATGGTCACACTGTATCTTTATGGAAGTTTACCTTACACAGTCTATCCACTGTAATAATGATGTGTCTGCTTGTTGAATTCCACCTTCAAGTATAGTACTTCCGTCATTAAAGAAAAAAATAAAAATAAAAAGTTGATCACCTCCAAAGCAGCCCTTGGTAAAAGATCTGACTACATTACAAAGAGAATATTTTGCTTTCCCTGTCTTCTGACAACATAGTACTTTATCAAAATGTTACTCTTTACTTACTGTTTTATGCTATATTCTAGTCCCCACTCATTTTTATCAATCTGTCATATCTCTATACAATAGAGAGAAAACTAATAGTAATCAATGCATCTCTTCTGTGCTGGCCATTTAACTTAGAAAACTCACTGAGCCTGCCCCAATATTAATACCATGAGGTGACTTTATGGGTAACAGTGACTCATTCAGGTTTTTTGTTTTTATTTTAAGACAGGGTCTCACTCTGTTGCCCATCCTGGGGTGGAGTAGCATAATTCTAGCTCAATAAGGCCTCAAACTCCTGGGCTCAAGTGATCGTCTCACCTAAGCCTCCAATGTAGCTGGGACTATAGGCATGTGCTACCATATCAAGCTAAGTTCTTTTTTTTTTTTTTTTTTAATTTTTTGTAGAGACAGAGTATCACTATGTTGCCCAGGCTGATCTCAAACTCCTGGGCTCAAGCAGTCCTCCCACCTCAGCCTCTCAAAATGCTGGGAGTATAGATGTGAGCCACCGCACTCAGTCTACTCATTCAGTTTGACTAACATTCTCCAAAACTCCAGCCCTACAGATTGTAGTCAGGATGTGAACTGAGTTCTACTTGACTCTAAGGCCCATGTCCTGTCTCTTACTCCAAATTATGTAATTATCCCCAGCTGATAAGCGAAGACAATAAAGCTCAAAGACATTCAATAACAGGCCCAGACCAAGGTCTCACAGCTGAGAAGAATCAGAGCTGAGTCGAACCCAGATCCTATGCCTCCAAGTGCCGGGAATATGTTTTGTAGCAGCTCTCCCCTTTCTAAGTGTAAGAATGAATCACATTGCATTAGTGCCTGTGTCTGGCTCTAAGATGTTTTCTTTTCTTCTGTCAGTATCAGAACGGAGAGAGGTGATGCAAGTGAAGGCCATCAGTCACTTGGAAAAACTCTGAATAGAGCCCATTAGCCATAAGAACAAGATGTTTTGGGATACCTTTCAGAAATTCTCTTCCAGGAACCTTTTCAATACAATTATAACCTTGTCCCTGTTATCAAAGGACTGTCAGCAGCACTTAAGGAACTCACCTGTCTGCTAAAATGTCCCACAGGCCAATAGAAAATCTTTCTCAATCAGGAACAGAAAGTCAGAGGCTCTTCCTGATTGTCACGGGTCAGCAGGGACCCACCGCCCTGTCCCTCTGACCTTTATGAGGTGGAGATAAAGAACGTAAGAAGCTCACTCCTGAGGTCTTTTCCTTCATTGCCACCGAGGATATTTAACATTTTTACTTTCAGGTACAAAAACAAAGATGGAAAACAAAATCTCCCTTATTTTAAGAGTAATTCCTTTAGAGAAGACTTAGAGAAAGTTGAAAACCTTCAACCAGAAAACAAATAATAGAATCTGCCATTATGAGACATTATGCTGCATGTGTTATAAGAATTATTGCATTTCAGCCTTAGAGAAAATCACAGATGAGAGCCTGAGCTTAAGCACGTGTACCTGGTTTAAAGGGCTTACCCTAACACGGACAGCTACTTGCGGGCAGGGATGTTCTTTCTGCAGCACAAAGCTCTATCCCACAAAAACCTTTTTTTGCCTGAAACACAGGCAAGAATGGTGACAAGTGCTGGGACAGAGAGGTGCAAGTCTTCCCATTCACCACTAAGGAAGCACAATCCTCGCCTCCCACCCACCTTAGCTGTCCCCCTCCCACTTTCCAAACCCATGGTGGACACACGGCCTGTGAATTGTGAGGCATGAAAACAGGGCCATAGTACTGGTGCCCTAAGTCAGCCTGCAGCAAGCTGGTGATTCGAGACAAGTGACTCACCCTCTCTGAGCCTCAAATCACACACACCTAAAGGAGAACTTTGGTTATCTGCAAAAGTTCTCTAGCTCTAATGATCTTTGAATTCATAATCTCCAAATATGAGTGATTATAATACTATAGATAGACATAAAATATTAAATTATCTGATTCAATAATAAATGGAGGTAAAATTGCATGATGTTTTAATTTCTCATAACTTTCGACTAAATTCACAGAGGATTAGAGAAATAACAAACTCAATTTACAGATTTTTAAACCACAAATTGTTCCTGCTTTTGGAAGGGCAGAAGTAAATATTAACTAACATTGACATAATATTTTAACGTTTATAAAATCCGCATATGTCACTAAATCTTCACAGGTCTTGGAAGCAGACGCTGATGTTCCCAGGTCACTAAGACCCAGCGAGGATAAGCGAGTTTTCCGGAGAGACAGGGTTATTAAGTGGCAGAGCCAGGACAGAAATCTTTGTCTCAACTCCAAGTCTCATGTTTTTGCCACTAGCACACCTTTCCACGAGATTAACAGTCAACAAAATCCATTTTTAACCTTACAATGAATTAAAATTCAGTGGTTATCCTCAAAGGTATCACTAGACCTATTTAATGCAACTATTTGGAATGTGATAAAATTTCTGAATAAAATTTGGGTTATTTATTTATTAAAGTTGCAGCTTTTCATTTTCTAAGAGCAAAGGTGATGAGACAAAGAAAAGATGAAATATTTCCACATTTTGCCACTAAAAAGTAAGTCATTTTTAAAACCAGAGATTCAGCAAGTTCTCATTCGCAGGTTTGACTCAGTTCTGAGCTGTCAAAACATGTGTTGCTGCCTAGAGCTAAAACTGTTTCTAATGTACCTTTCAAATATTGCGACCAAACTGCCATAGTTTTCAAGTTCCTTTGTTGTTTAAATGAAGCAGAAGTATCATTTCCTGACAAATAAAAATGCATTAAAGTCCATAAATAGACTTCTTCCCCGACTGAGGGAAAGAGAGCCCCTGGGGAGGTTTGAAAAATGGACACTGTTTCCTACAACACAGGGAAGTCTAAGCTAAGGTTTTAGAAGCTGTTCAGGTGCTCTCCGCAGGGAGGTGAGAGGTTTCAGAGGCCTTGTGTGGCTGGGATGTACACACAGAACACAGACACTCCCTCAGGCCCCGAGTGCCCTAAAAATCTGGAGGGACACCAGGGAAGATGGAGTAAACTGAAACCTGGAGTTCTAGGAGGGGTAAAGACAGAAACAGATGAAGTCAGGCCTTCTCCGTCCTGTGCTCCTCAGGTTCAGGTCCTCATCTTGTGAGTCTGAGCCTGCTGATGTTGAAGACAGAGGGCTCACACACTGCAAAGTTGCCAAAGCAAAGGGAGTGGACTGGTCAACTGGGTCTCCTGCTGAAGCTAGGGAAAGAGAAGCAGGAAATGTTGGACTGCCAGGCTGGGCCTTTGGTGGGCACTGCTGCAAAGCTCTGTTATCCCTGCTGCAACCATAACCACAACCATGTCTGAGAATCAAGACAACCATCTTCTAACCCCAAGTAGTGACATTAAGCTCTATGACATTCAGCGTCTCCTTTTGAGGGCCTCAGATGCCTTAGGTTTATAAGGGAGAGGTGATCACCTGCCACATCTTCCTTTCTGAATTGTTGTGAAGGTGCCCTAGAAACGAACTCTTAAAAATGTTTGCAAAGATGCAGGTAGTGCAATACCATAAATTTGAAGCTTAAATATAAAAATACAACCTGTAGTGCAAGGATGAAGCCAAAGTTTTTATGTGGGGAAAATCATCTATATAAAGACACTGAAAGAAACAGAAACCTTGAATCAGCACTCATTCGGTTTCCACTTGGGGACAGGGTTTTGAAACACCGGGCTACAGACCTCACTGTTATCAGTTCAGAGCATAAAGAGCTTTCATCAATGTGCCCCTTTAAGTGCAGCAGGCTCGAAAGCCCCCGTGAAATGTTCTTTAAAAATTGAACAGACTCAACTGAACAATGAGAACACTTGGACACAGGAAGGGGAACATCACACACCAGGGCCTGTTGTGGGGTGGCGGGAGGAGGGAGGGATAGCATTTGGAGATATACCTAAGGTAAATGACGAGTTACTGGTCATTTACCTTAGGTATACATGTATACATATGTGTACGTTAGGTATACCTTAGGTATACATGTATACATATGTGTACGTTAGGTATACCTTAGGTATACATGTATACATATGTGTACGTTAGGTATACCTTAGGTATACATGTATACATATGTGTACGTTAGGTATACCTTAGGTATACATGTATACATATGTATACATGTGCCATACACCAACATGGCACATGTATACATATGTAACAAACCTGCACGTTGTGCACATGTAGCCTAGAACTTAAAGTATAATAAAAAAAAACATATAAAAAAAATTTAACAGACTGTGAGTAGGTCCCTGGGGGAGGATTAACCAGTTCTCCCTTTAAAAAAAAAAAATCAGACATGCGCATTTATAATACAGTCTTAAATCTAGCCCTGATCTCACAGAGCCATTTTAAAATTTCCCTCAGACAATGGCCAGGAAAACTTTTTCTTTTCTTTTTTTTTTAATAAAACCTTTGTCATTCTTTTTATTTTCTTAATTTTATTCTTACTGATTATGCCATTATATATACTACATATATGTGACATATATGATATCTGATACAGGTAATATACATGTTATATACATTATATATATATGAGAAACAGATTGGTTTGCTGTATGGATATATGAATATATTTATGGAGGAAGAGGCCCACAACCACAAAGGTGTCTAGGGTTCATAAAAGTTGTAATGTACCCCTGTCCTCTTCTTTCTCCAGCCTTTCCCCTGGTTATTTCCTGCCCACTATTTAAGGCTCAGTTGAAGGGACAACTTCTACAATAAAGCTTCTGTGAAATAGGAGACAAAAAGCAAGAGAAACTTAAAAACTAGAAATCAGAATTATTGCAGAACACCAGGCTTGCATTGGAATAACCTGGTCCATGCCATGGGGAGAGAATGGAAGCTTCTATCCTTGCAAGGCCTTTAGGAGAGAGAAATGCAAAATGAACAAAGCTGCATGTGTAGGCAGGAGTCAAAGAAAAATGACTTTACAAACATAATGAGGAATGAAGGAAATCCATAGAATCTCATTTACTCCCCCTGGTTATGAAGAATACTTCTTTGCCAATCAATTCTCATAATTGATTAGCTAATAAGAAGCTGCATTCACAGCAGCAGGCAACAGCGAGTTCACTCTCACTAGGGAACAGCTTTCTCTAGGGAATAAAAGAGCCAGCTCGGAGACTGGGTTGTGAGAGCATCCTTCCATCCAGAGAGTCACTGAAGAAGCAAACACTCCCTGTTGTGCTATGAAAATACTTTTGACGTGTTAAGAACTTATACTGGTCTCTTTGCAACTCATTCATACTAAGGAAATGTTCCTAGACGTGAAAAAACAACATTACATATAATTATATGTTCAGAACAGATTGGTTAGTTTTGTACTCAAATTTCACCCTTTCATTTTTCTTTTACTGGAAATGAAAAAAAACTAAGAAATATACATATACATATATATGTGTGTATATATAATTTTATACACACATATATATATATACACACATATATGTGTATAAAATTAAAATCTGGTACCTATCTACCAGACTATTCATGGAATTCTTTAATCAGTAAATAAGATTCACTTATAATTATCACTTTTTTTTTTTTTACTACAGAAGCTTTGAAACAGCTCCTACTCTTTAAGCAATCTCCTATGTATTGTGCTGTTAATTTAATGAAGAAATTAAATCTTTCTTAGTATATTTAGGAATAAAGTTCCCAAGTTTTGCATAATCTCATGAGTTCCAGTTAAGTAGAATGTAGGTATAAATGGTTTCACAATATTTGTGATAATATTTGAGCTAAGCGTTCAAAGGGTTCAAATGGCAATTTGTTACCAATCATAATCTTGGTAAATGGCTAGTGTCTGTTGAACAAAAGGAAAACTAATAGTGAGAAAATCTAAATAATGTAACCAAAATTAAATAGTTAGAAATATTTTAACAGCAAAGTTTCAATCATGAGATAATTGGGCGCTTGTTCACTCCCGCTGATAAAATCAAAGAAAATTTTATAATGTCACTATGATTTTTCTATGGTTATAAACTTAAGTATTTATCTAACTTCTCCTAGTCTCTTTTCTCATGTCGAAAAGAAGGCTAGTAACTACTCATTTACACAGTCATCACTATTTCAGCTAATATTTATTGAGTTTCTGCTACCTTCACGACTCGTTTTATATACTAAACATGGATGAGTACCTGGAACATATTGGATAATATTATTATTTTTGTGGGATAAAGGAAGTAAGCATAGTCTTTTATAGGCTGCATTCACTCTTGAAGTTTTTCTTTCCTACACAAAGTCAAGAAGCTTTATAAAATTCTTCCCAATAAAATAGCACTGAAAGGTGGCCCTTTGCAGCAACCACTGCACATTCACATAGGAAGAGAGATAGACCTCTAGTCATTTCCTTTATTTGTATCAGTGTGAAGAAGGGTGATAAAAGTCAACTCACCTGAGCAATAAACCTGAGAGGAAAACTCATTAGAGTTAAGGAAAACTCTAAAGCTTGAAACTTTGCAGTTGTAGAGACAAAATATTTTACAGTATATATTAATATCATGAGCAGTACAAAGGAGGCTTATTAGGACACAGAAATAGATCAGCCAACCACAAGGTCCAAATGACAACAGAAGAAAATCAAAACCAGAACAGAAAAAGACTCACCAATTAAACCCAACTAAAGGTTTCACTAAAATCCTAATTTAGAGGATTTAATGGTATAAATTAGAGGTGCTCTTTTGCATTGAAGGGATATCAAGTGTTTATGTTGTGTAATACACTGAGTAGAATTTATTTCAAAGCCTGGTTTCCATCTACACTATGTTTTAGTTGACCTTGGAGTGTAAAAAAGAATCATGGACATACTGAATCATGGACATACTGAAAAAGAATCACTGACATACTGAAAAAGAGATACAGTAGGGTCATCAACTATCTGTTGCCTAAAATGAGTTCACCAGCAAGAAATGCCTCTTACAAAATTAGAGAAGAACAAGGCCAACCCCTGCTCTGTTTGGACCATCCCTAAAAATAAATGTCATGAGCTTAAACACTGCATATTGAAAAAGAACATTTGCAAGCATGCACCTCTCTGTTGGTGCTTTTTACATGTGACTCATTGAGGAATGCATTGTCTTCAAATTGTTCTGCTTTTTTTTAATATATCTGCAACTTTTTTATATTTCAGAGGTGATGTTTCCACCCAAAATCTAACTGTGATTACTGCAGGCTACAAACTTATTTGGTAATTGTTTTGCTTCTTGTAATTTCTTTTTATAAAACCAGGTTCTAAACTCCTCTCACTTCCCATCATCAAATTGGTTCAGTTTGTTTTAGAAAACATTTTGGTATTTATAGCTTAATTTCTGCTGAAATTATACTGCACCAAGTTAGAGTTTAATTCATTTCTTTAAAGGTTGCTACTAGTTTAAACTTCATTATGTTTCAGAGGTAATTTGTCCACCAGATTTGTTTTAGACACATTGTTTTTAAATCACAGGTGCATTTTTAAAAATCAAGGTTTTACATAATTTCAAAAAATTGGGTCATGTTACATTTACTTTTTGTACACAGTTCAGTTTGATTCTCCTTGCTATTTCTAAAAGGACTACTATTCAACAGAGCTCTCAAATCAATGCAACTCATTCAGGGAAGAGGTATTTATGCTCTATCTTTTGCATCCAGCTACAAAGTAGAACTACAGATTGCTACAGGAATCATAATACTACAGAACAATTACATTGATCATGCAGTAGATATAACTGGGCAGGTTTGTTGTTTGTTTTGTTTTGTTTTTGAGACAGAGTCTCACTCTGTCATCCAGGCTGGAGTGCAGTAGCACCATCACAGCTCCCTGCAGCCTCGACCACCAGAATCAGGTGATCCTCCCACTTCAGCCTCCCAGGTAGCTAGGACTACAGGTACACTGCACCATACCTGGCAAATTTTTTGTGTTTTCTGTAGAGAAGAGATTTTTCCATGTTTCCCAGGCTGATCTCAAACTCCTGAGCTCAAGCAATCTGCCCACCTCAGCCTCCCAAAGTGCTGGGATTACAGGTGTGAGCCACCACACCTGGCCTAATTGGGCAGTTTTAATTTCAAACTAAAAGTTACAAATTTCACTAAGCACTAATAAATGCTAAAACAGCAATCATTCCCAAAACCAAAACTAAACTATTTTAACTAAAATAACATCTTTTTAGTTAATAATTCCCCTGGCTGTGCCAAACAATGAAGGATCATGCTTGAGAAAAGAGAAGAAGAAAAAAGCACTGTGATTTGATGAGATGTGTGCTACCCAACTCAAACGCAGTTTTGCCTCTTTGCTGTGGGTGCTGGTGTAAGGAAAGAATCCCTCTGGGCCCCATGCATATCCTCATATGTATCCTCACAAGCCTGGCCCAGATGATGTTCCAGGTTCTTTCCTAATGACTTTTTACAACTATTAGTTTACTCTTAAATAAAGAGCAGAATTGGGTTCATTTCAGACCTCTGCTTTAGATCTGCTGAGGAGGAAGTTTCTTAGTCACATAAGTATCTATAGCTAGGTGTATTATCGCCACATTTGGTATTAAGTTGTGACTTAATAACATAATGAAAATTTAGAATAGATTAGGTTTATTAAATAAAATGCATCGGCCTGTTATGTCAAGACTGTCTCTGAAACTGCTAGGATTCCGAGCAATTGTTTGATGGTATACTCTTACTTGAATGTGGAATTGTTCCTGATTGGCTTACAAAATAGCTCCCCACCGTTCAGAGACCAGGGAGCTCTATTAATGTAGCTCTGGGAATGTGAAAGGTCCTACCTGCCAAGGCCTTCACTCTGACCACAGTACCTTCACTCTGACCTCCATCGGCAAGATGCTAAAAGCTGCACGGAGAACTATGTTCTCCCACTTCCCCAGGCACCTCTGATAATTTATGATCTCCCCTAGGGCAGTTTATTCCATGCAGCTTATCTTTGTTCCAAGTGTTTTTCATTTGAAAATTGCAAACAGATTGCTAAACTAACATTGCAAGTCTTTAGGGTCACTTGCCCACACCCTAAAGATCTCTACCATTACTTACTGGTTATTGCTGCTGAATGATGCCTCCTTTATCTTCATCCTGCTCTTCTGAGTGAGTTTTCTGAAATCCTACATCTTGACTAGACTCACTTACCCATTGGCAAGTCTGGGCTCCCCAAATCCTCCCCTTACAGCCTGTGCAATTTGTAAGCAGTCACCCTCCCTTTATCCTCTTTGCCCAAAGCTTCATGTGACAGATTAAATTCTTGTAATCGCTTTTCCTGTGTCATTCCTCTAATCCTTTTACCATTCTATTTTGCCTTTGTGGTGTTTATTTCTACCATTTTCAAGTTACTTTACTTTGTATGGCAAATAGCAACAGATGCAATGTTCAAATAAGGCAGAGACCTGAATAGGAATTTCAGAGACTCTGTGATAAGGTCAGAGCTCCCAGTAGCATGCTGTGTGACCTTGGACTAGTCAGATATGAGATACCTTCCAGGATTCACTTCAAACCTCCCTGTGTCTTTAAAGAAGCACAGAACAGATTTCTCATTCATGGAAGAGTTTCACATAGCAAGTGGTAGATGCAAATGCTTGGAAATAAATCGTAGGCACTTATTCCAGCCGTAATTATTTATCTTTAATAGTTAATGTTTTCAATAAATGACCTTATGGATTTCTCCATATCAGAGTTGACTTATTTATTGATCCTGATTATTAATATGCATTTTGGTATCAGCATGTCATTTCCTTGAGGGATCAAAGCAAAAGAACCCCAATAAATGTAGACTCATTCTCACAACCTTGCTGAAGTCCATCAAACTAAGGGAGGGAAGTAAAAATGTTTAAAAAAATCCTGGAAAAATTAGTCTGCTTCATTTGTCTAAAACCAGAAAGAAAAAAGTACTAAAGAAAAATGAGAGAGAAAGAAAACCATATTGCCATACTGATCATTCAAGGTTGTTTACCAGAGCTTTCACACCTGCCTCTAACCACTGCCTCCCTCAAGCCCTCCATTTTCCAGGGATCAGAGGAGGGCAAATGAGATCATATATTTGAAGTGTTTGGTCTCCTAGTAGGGAAGGGGTCATATAAATCCTCAATGTTGTCACTTACTATTCTCCCCATGCCTTTGACCTTAGCTCACTGAAAGTAATTTATAACTGGTTGTAAGGGCTCCTGAGAACAGCTTCATCCACCTCAGGGGGAAAGAGGCCCTAGACAGGGAGCACCTGGCAAGTCACACTCCCTTGACCACAGGACTCCCACTCCGCTGCTTGAGTAAACATAATTATCAAGACAATAGCAGCTGTGACTTGTCTTCTGGTGCCAAGAGGTGAGTTATTGTCCGCCAAGGTGGGAGGCTAAATCAGAATGCAGGCTTCCCTCCCCACCTGCCCACGTTTACTCCAGAAAGGGGAGTGAGGGGGAGTGACTTGTGCTGCTTCCGAGTCCTATCCTATAAGCCAGCTCCACAGAAAAATGTTGCTGCCATTGTTTTTATTCTTTAGGTTCAGGGAGGCAAGAAGGGAAAACAGATGCAGAAACTTCCTTTGAGAAGGCTGATAAAATGATTAACAAGCAGTCAAATTAAAAAAAACTTAGTTATATCAATTACCTGCCTCATTTTTTGTAATCATCATTTTGTTCTGAGTCATCCAGCCCAAAAACTCCATCTCTACCTATAGCCAGTTACAATTCTCTATCAGTTGTGCCTCCTAAATAGTATCTAATTCATTCCTTTTTTTCCGCTGCTGTTGCCTTTACTAGGAGCCTAGTATCCTGATTTTAAGAACTCTTCAGAAAACTTCAGGCTGGGCATGGTGGCTCATGCCTGTAATCCCAGCACTTCGGGAAGCTGAGGCAGGAGGATCACTTGAGGTCAGGAGTTCAAGAGCAGAGCCTGGCCAACATGGTAAAATCCCATCTCTAATAAAAAAAAAAAAAAATAGCAGAGCTTGGTGGCATGCACCTGTAGTCCCAGCTACTTGGGAGGCTGAGGCAAAAGAATTGCTTGAGGGTGGGAGGTGGAGGTTGCAGTAAGCCAAGATCACACCACGCACTCCAGCCTGGGTCACAGAGTAAGACTCTATCTCCAAATAAATAAATAAATAAATAAATAAATAAATAAATAAAAAGGATCAGCCTAGAGCAAAGATCCTAATATTGGTACCAGCATATAATGAAGGGACAGCTATGAAGAGGACATGAAAGCCTGAGAGCATCCTGCTGTCATAGACACAGGAGTACAGGGATGGGAACTCCAGCCTGAGGATGAGGAAGAAGGTGTTTAGTTATATCACTAACCAGACACCTGCCTAAAGTGTTTCCTTGGCTCCAGGTATCTGTTCAGCATGAGGCACTTCAGCACACACAATCTAATCTCCAAATATTTTTTCAGTCTCACCTTTTATTCCCCCTCCCACTGCAGTCATCCTATAATCTAAATAAAATATAAAGCAGAGACTTCAAGCCTTTGCTGCCCCATGTCATACCCATTCCCAGGAATACTGTTCAACCCTTACACAATTGGCAAATCCCATTTGGTCTTCACAATTTAAAGGACAGCTCCCTCTTTTGAGATCTTCTTTCTCTTTATAGGCATCTGCCTCTGTACATCAACAAATGGTTTTTCATCTAAATATTATGTTTTTACGTGACAATATTGTAATTATTTATTTTTTTGTTTTCCCCACTAGACTGGGTTTTTCCTCCAGGAAAACCCTGGGTTTTAATAATCATTTTATTTCTAGCATCCAGCACTATGACTGAAATATGTTTGTATAACACATATTTTACTGAATTCAAATTAAACTATATAGAAGGAGGAGGTTACAAGGTGGACATAAGTGAGAATGAGAGAAAAAAATAAGCAAAAGAAATTTAGGAATTAGAGATTTTTTACTCATTATCCTAAAATGTGAGTTTATGTTTCATAATAAGAAGGAGAAGGGAGATGTGATATGATTGATGGGATAGGATGGAATGAAATGGGATGGAATGGGATGAGTACATCCTTTTCATTATACCTCACCAAAAATAATGCTATACTGTATTTGTGCAAAAAAAATGTGTGTATCACTTACTATATGTCACGCATTGTTTTAAGGGTTCAACACACATTAAGTACTTTAAATCTCGTAACAGCGCAATAAAGTAGGTACAATGGTTTGGAATCTTTTACGTTCTTTTGACAACTTCTGACAACTTTTACGTTATCAATTACTAAGAATCCACCAGAGCTTAATTTCTGGGGATTATATCTATAAATATTTTACATATTAGAAATTAAAAACTGCAGAATATAAAAGAATTCATATGTATTAATTTTAAATAATAATATACATCTTAACATAAATGACATTTTATTTTTGAAAAACCATTTTGCAAAATAGAAAAATTATTGAGAGAAGTAGCATTGCTTTACATTTTCCAAATCTTTAATGTCTAGTTACTGGAATTCAGCTAAATTTCCACTTCTGCTTCTGCATGCAATCTGTTGTGATGTGTCATTTTTGTTGAAGTATATGAAGAAAATCTGGCCTTACCTAGGAATGTGGTTAGAAAGAGAAGTTTTTAATAGGCTTCTCACATAATGGTTTATATTTTTTATATACCAAAACTGACAAGTTGTAGTTTCTTAAAGGTTAGTAGTTGTGTGGAATCTGAAACTATATCAATAATCGTTTTCTGCTCTGTTACATTAAAGTCCTTTGATCTACCTTATAGAGTAGAACTATTACTCATGTTTGATTTTGAACACCATGTATTGGTAATTTGAAATGTATGGGCTCATTAAATTATGAAGATCTTTCAAGTGTTGAAACATAGTATCAAATATAGCATCCCCCAAAATCATAGCCATTAATATCACCACCAATCTCATCTGATATATCCTTAAGTATTGGGAAGCTGCCAAGCTCATAGATGAGTTTTCCAAAACTCTTTCACTTCAAAGCTTGAGTTTTATCACTGGCAACAAATATTACCAATTTTTTTTTTTTAGGTAATCAGCTCACTTTATTCACTTTTGAGACTATGCCTGCCAAATACCAAAGTACAGATGAGCTTTGTTCCATCTGTTCATTGTTCTTTTATATAGAAGTAATATTAATGAAAGAAAAATGGCTAGTTTAGCTCACAATGGAAACAATCACAAGAGCTTTTGTAGAGACAACCGTTGTGCTCTACTGTGCAGCAGAAATGCTTTATAAGGACTTCCCATTTGTTAGACAGAATTTTCTTAAAGTGTACTTAAGAGGTTGAGATCTAATACTATTAATATTTACTCTTTTATCAAAAACATTCTTACATTAAACTCTTTTTTTTTCTGCAAGTGTGTGATGGTAAAGAAGGAAACAACTACTAGTGCAGTCTAGTGCCACCAACCTTTTGCAAAATCAGTACAAAAGTAAACACAGTGAAGAAGGCAAAATGTGTCTGTGTTGACTCCTAGATCCATTGAAAGAATTTCAGGGACCCCCAATAGTCTACACTTGATTGAACTTCTAACTTAACACATTTTAGGGATAAGGAATTAGAGTTCATGAGTTTTCACTCACTATCACACAGCTTGTAAATGGTGGACACAGAATTCAAACTCAGGCATCTAAGCTCTATAAGATCTGTAGTATGTACTGTTGTTTCACCATATCATGCTTTCTTTATTCTTTGGATGATTCAGAGCATTTTCAGAAGCAATAATCAAATATGTGATGTTCTTATCTGCTATCTTTAGAACCTAACCCCCAGTGAGATGAAACTCTACCATAAACATGTATTCAACAAATGACAGACAGAACAGTTCTGTAGGCAGATGCCCAGACATGCTAATTTCTTCAGAAGAAAGCCATAAAACAGAAAGGAGCATGGAGATTGTTGGGAGCTTAGAAGAGGCATGAATGGTTTAACTCTGCTGATGACATAATCGGGAACCTGCCCAGTTAGAGGCTTGATCTCCAACCTAGGGATCTTAGGTCAACAATCTCTATCCAGGCTTAAACTCCATCCTGACCCCAGGGCATGTTACTACAAAGAGAGTCATAGTGGACAATTTGCTATATCAGGGACCAGTCATCAGAGGAGAGTTTCTTGTCTTCCATGACCAATTCTACCTGCCTGTTGTATTCACCTTCCTCATTAGTATTTGTCTCCCTCTCTCGACTTCCCAAAGACTGTGCTCCTCTGGCCTTTCACTCTTACCATCATGCGCTCCTTCTTTACACTGGATCATTCTTAACATCTTGTCAACTCCATCTAGTTTCACCCATCTTACAAAACAACAAAACACAAAACTTCCCTGAAGCCACATTGTCCTCCAGGTCCTGCCCATTTCTCAGCCTGTTTCACAGTCAAACATCTTGAAAGAGCTATGTACACACTCTGCATCCACCTCCTCACCTTTCTGTCACTGCACAAACACTCTCCTCTCCTACAGACTGTATGGAAATGACTCTTTCCAGGGTCTCAATCACCTAGTGTTGCCAAACCTGCACTCATTTTACTCAATGTCCCTGGTGCATTGAAACTTCTTGAAACACTCTCTTCTCCAAGCTTCTGTGATCCTAATCTCTATTGTCCCCTCTTACTCCCATTATCAAATGCATCTCCCTGGCTTATGCCAGTGTTTCTTAGCACTCAAGCTTTGCCTACATTACAAGGGGATCTCATCTATTTACACAGCTTTCAATACTCTCTGTGCTAATCCTTCCAAAAGCTTATCTATTCCTGACCTCTTCTTAGAATTCAATCTTGTTTACCCAACTATTTCCTGGATGATTCCATGTCTTTGTCTCATTGGCATCTCAAACTTAACATATCTGATAATGAATTCTTAATTTCACCTCTGAAAACTTTTGAAAACTTTCTTCACCATATGTCCTCACAATCTCAATAAATGGTGCCACCATCCACCCAGCTGTGCAAGTGAAAAATACGGGAGTCATTAAGTTACTTAACCCTCTGCATCACTTCCAAAATTAAATGTATTATCAAGGACTCGTGGTTGTATTTCTAAGGAAATGGGAACGTGTGTATCCATGTGTGCGTGGCCAGGGGGCAGGGGGAATCTGAATTCCGCCTACTCTTCTTCATCTCCACTGCCACCACCACCCTTGGTCAGACCATTGTTTCTACCCACTGTCACCTGTTCTGTTACATGACATCTCTAACTGGTCTCCCTGCTCTCAGTTTTGCATTTCTTCAATCTCTTTCCATTTAGCCACCAGTGATTCCATAAGCATATACATTGGATTAATATCGCTCCACTACTTAAAAGTCCTCAATTTATTTTCCATTTTAGCATCATATTGAGTCATGTTACCCATTATCAAGGAGGCAACAATTATTTAACTTCTTCCTAATTTCTAGAACACGCCAAGACATTTTGTTTTAGGGCCTTGGTCACACTTGTCCCATCTGCCTGGAAGGCTCTTCATTTAACCCAAAGCTTTGGCTTCTTTCTACCCCTCAGGCCTCAGCTCAAATGTAACCTACCCAGTGAAGTCTAATACTTTATTCTTCATCATGGAAACACATTCATGTCTATTTTGTATCTTGTAATAATTTACTTATTTGTTAGTTATCTTGTTTATTTTTGTTTCCTCCAGTATCCTTAGCTCTATTAACTCAGGAGCTAATACTCTGTTTGGTCTGCTTCTTTATAACTGAGGTCTTTCACAAGACTTGGCTCAATAAGTACGCATTAAGCCAGTGAATAATATTCTATCCTATCTCGTGATGTCTAGTCTACTGTGTGAAATTTAGAGAAAACTTTCCTCTTAAAAAATTGTATACTATATATGATGGTCTAAAATAGAATCAGGGAGCCTGGTGCGGTGGCTCACGCCAGTAATCCCAGCACTTTGAGAGGCCGAGGTGGGCAGATCACCTGAGATCAGGAGCTCGAGACCAGCCTGACCAACATGATAAACCCTTTCTCTACTAAAAATACAAAAAAATAGCTGGGTGTGGTGGTGCATGCCTGTAATCCCAGCTACTCGGGAGGCTGAAACACAAGAATTGCTTGAGCCCAGAAGTTGGGGGTTGCAGTGAGCTAAGATCGTACCACCGCACTCCAGCCTGGGTGACAGAGCCAGACTCCATCTAAAATAATGAATTAATTAGTTAATTAAAATAAAATAGAATCAGGGTCTAAACCCAACCACTGTTAAAATTATGGTTGGGTTTCAAAGAGCTATATGTTGACTTTTGGATTTCAAATGTTCATTGTTACTCTGATAGGTGAGTTTAAATTTGTTTTAATATGTGTCACACTCCTAGGTACTTTTCTAAATACTTTGTATATTTTAATTTATCTTTTCACCCAATAACCTCATGGAATAGTGAAAGAAACCAAAATGTTCACCCCAAAATATTGAGGATTGCTAATGACACTGAAAACTCAGGGAAACACTCTGCCTCCACTTCTATTTGCCTGATCACAGGACATAAATCCTTCCTTACTGAAAACAGCACTTGTGTGTTGTCCCAGAGAAGGCACCAGCAGGCACCAACAGGATCTGGAAACTGATTTTACCATCTTTCCACATTCTCCCACCTTTTAAAAGACCAAAATTGCTCTCTCCTTTGCCTTGCCACTAAGTAGGATTTCTGGCTCTTTGTGAAAATACTATTTAAGCAAACCCTCTAAGCTACCACCTTGAGAGAGAAATACTTTTGAGTAGAGGCCTTTCCCACACAATTGGTACAGTGTACATTAATGTATTTCTGCTTGTTTTTGTTTTGTTAATCTGACTTTTGGTTTCAAGAGAGTATCTCAACTGAGAACCTAAAAAGGAAAAAAATATTATATTTTATCTTCTACAATAGGTATGTATTTTATCCCTATCATACAGATGAGAAAATTGAGGCACACAGGGTTTTTTTTGTAAGAAAGTTGATTAAAATGACATAACTAGGAATCCCGAGAGGACCCACACACCCTTGGAAAAAAGCAGACTGCTCTGCAGGACCCGGGAGACACTCCAAATACTGTGCTGGTATCCACGGCTGAGAGACCCATAGATGGTTCACATCACAGGACTCTGTGCAGACAGCCCCCAGTACCAGCTTGAAGCCAGTAGATTTGCTGGGTGGCTAGACCAAGAAGAGAGATAACAATCACTGCAGATTGGCTCACAGGAAGCCACATCCTCAGGAAAAGGGGGAGAGTACTACATCAAGGGAACACCCCATGGATCAAAAGAACCTGAACAACAGCCTTCAGCCCTAGACCTTCCCTCTGACAGAGACTACCCAAAAGACAGGGAACCAGAAAATCAACTCTGGTAATATGACAAAACAAAGCTCTTTAACACCCCCCAAAAAATCACACTAGTTCACCAGCAGTGGATCCAAACTAAGAAGAAATCTCTGATTTATTTGAAAAATAATTCAGGAGGTTAGTTACCAAGCTAATCAGGGAGGCATCAGAGAAAGGCAAAGCCCAATGCAAGGAAATCCTAAAAAACTATACAAGAAGCAATGAAAGAAATATTCAAGGAAATATATAGCATAAAGAAAAACTAACCAAATCTTCAGGAAATATTGGATACACTTACAGAAGTGCAAAATGCTCTGGAAAGTCTCAACAATAGAGTTGAACAAGTAGAAGAAAGAAATTCAAAGCTCAAAGACAAGGTCTTCAAATTAACCCAATCCAACAAAGACAAAGAAAAAAGAATAAGAAAATATGAACAAAGCCTCTAAGAAGTCTGGGATTATGTTAAATGACAAAACCTAAGAATAATTGGTGTTCCTGAGGAAGAAGAGAAATCCAAAGTTTGAAAAATATATTTTAGGGAATAATCGAGGAAAACTTCCCTGGCCTTGCTAGAGACACAGACATCCAAATACAAGAAGCACAAAGAACACCTGGGAAATTCATCACAAAAAGATCATCACCTAGGCACATTATCATCAGGGTATCTAAAGTTAAGACGAAGGAAAGAATCTTAAGAGCTGTGAGAAAAAGCACCAGGTAACCTATAAAAGAAAACCTATCAGATTAACAGCAGATTTCTCAACAGAAACCCTACAGGCTAGAAGGAATTGGGGCCCTATCTTTAGCCTCCTCAAACAAAACAATTATCAGCCAAGAATTTTGTATCCAGCGAAACTAAGCATCATATATGAAGGAAAGATACAGTTGTTTTTCAGACTAACAAATGAGAGATTTTGCCAGTACCGAGCCACCAGTACAAGAAATGCTAAAAGGAGCTCTAAATCTTGAAACAAATCCTGGAAACATATCAAAATAAAACCTCTTTAAAGCATAAATCACACAGGACCTATAAAACAAAAATACATGTTAAAAAGCAAAAAAAAAAAAAAAAAATCAAGGTATGCAGGCAAAAAATAGCACGATGAATGAAATGGTACCTCATATCTCAACATTAACATTGAATTTAAAAGGCCTAAATGCTCCACTTAAAGGGTACAGAACTGCAGAATGGATAAGAACTCACTAACCAACTACCTGCTGCCTTCAGAACACTCACCTAACACATAAGGACTCACATAAACTGAAAGTAAAGCGGTGGGAAAAGGCAGTTCATGCAAATGGACATCAAAAGCGAGCAGGGGTAGCTATTCTTGTGTATGACAAAACAAACTTTAAAGCAACAGCAGTTAAAACAGGCAAAGAGGGACATTATATAATGGTAAAAGGCCTTGTCCAACAGGAAAATATCACAGTCCTAAACATATATGCACCTAACACTGGAGCTTCCAAATTTATAAAACAATTACTAATAGACCTAAGAAATGAGATAGACAGCAACATCATAATAGTGGGGGCTTTAATACTCCACTGACAGCACTAGACAGTTCGTCAAGACAGAAAGTCAACAAAGAAACAATGGATTTAAACTATAACTTGGAACAAATGGACTTAACAGATATATACAGAACATTTCAACTAACAACCAAAGAATACATATTCTATTCAACAACGCATGGAACTTTCCCCAAAATAGACCACATGATAGGCCATCAAATGAACCTCAATAAATTTAAGAAAAATTGAAATTATATAAAGCACTCTCTCAGATCACAATGGAATAAAACTGGAAATCAACTCCAAAAGGAACCTTCGATACCATGGAAATTAAATAACCTGTCCCTGAATAAGCATTGGGTCAAAAACGAAATCAAGATGGAAATTAAAAAATTATTCGAACTGAACAACAATGACACAACCTCTCAAAACCTCTGGGATACAGCAAAGGGGGTGCTAAGAGGAAAGTTCATAGCCCTAAACGCCTACATCAAAAAGACTGAAATAGCACAAACTGACATTTTAAGGTCACACCTTAAGGAGCTAGAGAAACAAGAACAAATCAAACCCAAACCAAGCAGAAGAAAGGAAATAACCAATGTCAGAGCAGAACTAAACGAAATTGAAACAACAAAAATACTAAAGATAAATGAAACAAAAAGCTGGTTCTTTGAAAAGATAAATAAAAAGATAAATAAAATCAATAGACCATTAGCAAGATTAACCAAGAAGAGAGAAAATTCAAATAACCTCATTAAGAAATGAAATGGGAGATATTACAACTGTCACCACTGAAATACAAAAGATCATTCAAGGCTACTATGAACACCTTTATACACATAAACTAGAAAACCTAGAAGAGATGGATAAATTCCTGGAAAGATAAAACCCTCCTAGCTTAAATCAGGCAGAATTAGATACCCTGAACAGACCAATAACAAGCAGTGAGATTAAAATAATAATTAAAAAATTACCAACAAAAAAAAGTCCAGGAGCAGACAGATTCACAGAATTCTACCAGACATTCAAAGAATTGGTAGCAATCTTTTTGACACTATTCCACAAGATAGAGAAAGAGAGAACCCTCCCTAATTCATTCTATGAAGCCAGCATAACCCTAATACCAAAACCAGGAAAGAAGATAACTGAAAAAGAAAAACTACAGACCAATATCCTTGATGAACATCAATGCTGAAATCCTTAACAAAATACTAGCTAACTGAATCCACCAACATGTCAAAAAGATAATCTGCCATGATCAAGTGGGTTTCATACCAAGGGTGCAGAGATGGTTTAACATATACAAGTCAATAAATGTGATACACCACAAAAACAGAATTAAAAACAAAATTCACATGATCATCTCAATAGATGCAGAAAAAGCATTCAACAAAACCCAGCAACCCTTTATGATTAAAACTCAGCAAAATCAGCACACAAAGGATATACCTCAATGTAATAATAGCCTTCTATAACAAATCCACAGCCATCATAATGATGAATGGGGAAAAGTTAAAAGCATTCCCTCTGAAAACTGGAACAAGACAAGGACACCCACTCTCATCACTCCTCTTCAACATTGTACTGGAAGTCCAAGCCAGAGCAATCAGACAAGAGAAAAAAATAAAGGGCATCCAAGTCAGTAAAGAGGATGTCAAGCTGTCACTGTTTGCTGACGATATGATCATTTACCTCAAAAACCCTGAAGACTCCTCCAAAAAGCTCCTAGAACTGGTAAAATATTGAGCAACGTTTCCTAATAGAAGATCAGTGTACACAACTCAGTAGCTCTTCTATACACCAACGACAACCAAGCTGAGAATCAAATCAAGAACTCAACCCATTTTACAACAGCTGCAAATAAAAAAACAAAATACTTAGAAATATACCAAATCAAAGAGGTGAAAGACCTCTATAAGGAAAACTACAAAACACTGCTGAAAGAAATCATAGATGACACAAACAAATGGAAACATATCCCATGCTCATGGATGGGTAGAATCAGTACTGTGAAAATGACCATACTACCCAAAGCAATCTACAAATTCAGTGCAATCCCAATCAAAATACCATCATCATTCTTCACAGAATTAGGAAAAAAAATTTTAAATTCATATAGAACCAAAAAAGAACCTGCATAGCCAAAGCAAGACTAAGCAAAAACAACAAATCTGGAGGCATCACACTACCTGATTTCAAACTATACTATAAAGCCACAGTCACCAAAACAGCATGGTACTGGTATAAAAACAGACACACAGACCAATGGAACAGAATAAAGAACCCAGAAATAAAGCCAAATACTTACAGCCAACTCATCTTTGACAAAGCAAACAAAAACATAAAGTGAGGAAAGTACATCCTTTTCAACAAATGGTGCTGGGATAATTGGCTAGCCACATGTAGGACAATGAAACTGGATCCTCATCTCTCACCTTATACAAAAATCAACTCAAGATGGACTAAGGACTTAAATCTAAGATGTGAAACTATACAAATTCTAGATGATAACATTGGAGAAACCCTTCCAGACATTGGCTTAGGCAAGGATTTCATGACCAAGAACCCAAACACAAATGCAACAAAAACATAGATAAATAGTTAGGACTTAATTAAACTAAAGAGCTTTTGCACGGCAAATGGAATGGTCAGCAGAGTAAACAGACAACCTACAGAGTAGGAGAACATCTACACAACCTACACGATCTGACAAAGGACTAATATCCAGAATCTACAATGAACTCAAACAAATCAGTAAGAAAAAACAAATGAACCCATCAAAAAGTGGGCTAAGGACATGAATAGACAATTCTCAAAAAATGATATACAAATGACCAACAAACATATGAAAAAATGCTCATCATCACCATTGATCAGGAAAATGCAAATCAAAACCGTGATGCCACACCACCTTACTCCCGCAAGAATGGCCATAATCAAAACAATCCAAAAAACAATAGAAGTTGTCATGGATGCAGTGATCAGGGAACACTTCCACACTGCTGGTGGAAATGTAAACTAGTACAGCCACTATGGAATACAGCGTAGAGATTCCTTAAAGAACTAAAAGTAGTATTACCATTTGATCCAGCAATCCCACTACTGGGTATCCACTCAGAGGAAAAGAAGTCATTATACAAAAAGGATACTTGCAGATGCACGTTTAGAGCAGCACAATTCGCAATTGCAAAATTGTGGAACCAACCCAAATGCCCATCAATCAACGAGTGGATAAAGAAACTGTGGTGTATATATATGATGGAATACTACTCAGCCATAAAAAGGAATGAATTAATGGCATTTGCAGTGACCTGGGTGATTGGAGACTATTATTCTAAGTGAAGTAACTCAGGAATGGAAAACCGAACATCGTATATTCTCACTGATATGTGGGAGCTAAGCTAGGAGGATGCAAAAGCATAAGGATACAATGGACTTTGAGGACTTGGGGGGAAGGGTGGGAAGGGGATGAGGGATAAAAGACTACAAATATGGTGCGATGTATACTGCTCAGGTGATGGGTGCTTCAAAATCTCAAAAATCACCACTAAAGAACTTACTCATGTAACCAAATACCACCTGTACCCCAATAACTTAAGAAAAATAAAAATAATAAGAATAACTAAAAAACAAATAAAATGGCATAACTAGTATGTGGTAGACACATGATTTGAACTCAGGGAAGCTGGCACAAGGGTCTATGTTCTTAAGCACTGCTCTCTGCTGCCTTCCATGGGGTACCTTCCCTAGTTGCATTGGAAAGAACATAGGATTAGGAATCAGAGACTTGGCTGGGTCTAATTCCAGGTTTTCTACTAACACATCTGTCAAGGGAGGTGAGACTTTCTTCTCTTTGTGTTTGTTTGGTTTTACTCTCCAGCGAGTGTGGGAGGTGCAGAGATAATAACAATATATTCTAATAAGCAGTATAATAGAGTTAAGAACCTAGGCCTGTGGGAATATGGAAAAGGCAAGCAGCTAATTTACCTGGGGACACTCCAGAAGTTTTCATTTAAGAAGCTAATTTTTGAGCTGCAAAAGAGGGTGGAGGTGATAAGTATAAGGAAAAAGAAGAAAGATGATAGTTAACACTTACTGAGTGCTATCTGTGTACAAGGAACTGCTTTATTATCTTTTAATTATCAATTATTTAAATGATCACAGTAACTCTATAAGCTATGTATTAGTTCGTTCTCACACTTCTATAAATAACTACTTGAGACTGGGTAATGTATAAAGAAAAGAGATTTAATGGACTCTCAGTTCCACAGGAGGTATAGGACACATGGCTGGCGAGGCCTCAGGAAACTTACTATCATGGCAGAAGGTGAAGAGGAAGCACGCACATCTTCACATGGTGGCAGGAGAGAAAAGGACGGAAGTGTGAAGTGCTACATACTTTTAAACAACCAGATCTCATGAGAACACACTCACTTTCATAAGAACAGCAAGGGGGAAATCCGCCCCCACGATCCAATCACCTTCCACCAGGTCCCTTCCCCAACATTGGGAATTATAATTTGACATGAGATTTGGGTGGGGATACAGAGCCAAACTACATGAAGCTAGATATTTTCATTATTCCAATATTTTAAAAAAGGAGAAATTCAGCTTCAAGATGTATGATAATTTTCTGAAAGCCACACAGCAAAGGCCAAGCTAGTGTTCAAATCTTAACTACTACATATAATAGAAAGCCTTCAGGTATGAGTCAGTGTTTTGGGGGTAGAAAACTGAGAAAGGGAATTCTAATCAAAGGAATAACCACACACAAAGGCACAGCAATGAGGAAAATCTTGAAGTGTCTGAAAAAGTGAGAAGTTTATAATCTTTGAGGTTTATTCTTCACAAAAAGTACCATCAGGAGATGGGGCTTAAGAGGAAAATCGGAATATGATGGTGAAAACCTTGGGTTTAGATGAAATGAAAGTTTATATGGATTGGATCTGTGTCTCTGACCAAATCTCATGTCAAATTATAATCTCCAGTGCTGGAGGTGGGGCCCGGTGGGAGGTGATTTGATCATGGGGGCAAATTTCCCTCTTGGTACTGTCTTCGTGTTAGTGAGTTCTTGTGAGATCTGGTTGTTTAAAAGTGTGCAGCACCTCCCCACTCTTTCTCTTGCTCCTGCTCTGGCCATGTGAGATGATCCTGCTTCCCCTTTGTCTTCTGCCATGATTGCTGGCTTCCTGAGGTTTCCCTAGAAGCCAAGCAGATACCAGCATTATGTTTTCTGTATATACTATGGAACCATGAGCCAATTAAACCACTTTTCTTTATAAATTACCCCAGTCTCAGATATTTCTTTATAGCAATACAGGAATAGACTAATATAGTAGGCCATTAGGGTATTTTTAATCATACAGTGGTGGGGAAAGGGGTTGTTATCAGACTTGCATTTTAGGAGCACGGCTTAGGCAGCAGTGTTGATGAGGTACTGGAGTAGTGAGTGGTCTGAGAAAGCAACAGAAGTGAATTATAGCCCTTTATCCACTCCACCTGGACTTCTGGCAGGCTAGGACCACACTCCACTTCTCTCTCTAGCTCTTACAGCAACAGATGTGTGAGCCTTGAAAAGAGATCTAATGAGTAGAATTAAATGTTTAGAACTACTTCTCAAAGATAATTCTATTGCTTTTGGATAGATATAGATCTACTTTTATTTTTGCATATGATTTTTGTATAGCATCTATGTTTTAATAAATTAGTATGTAGTTCCCCTTTTTCTCCAAGTTAATGGGTGTCTTTTCCAATATCCAATTTAAAATTATTTATCCTTTTACCTCATTTAATGGATTGGCTGAAATAGAAAGATTTTAAGTTTATGAAACTCTGTATAATTTGCCAGAATTTAAAGATCAGAAAAATTTAAACTTAAGTTGGAGGCCTTTAGTTGGGTTCATCATCCTTTCAGACTTATTGATCATAAAACCCTATTATTGATAGTATTTACACATACTATAAAGACATTATGCTGGATAATTTATATAAAACATTTAATATGAAATTTTAAGTGATGGCAATCTCCAACTTTACAATAAAACCAAAGTTCAGGAATATAAATTCACTTGCCGGCTTGGCACAGTGGCTCACACCTGTAATCCCAGCACTCTGGGAGGCCCAGGCAAGAGGATCTCTTGATGTCAGGAGTTTGAGACCAGCCTGGCCAACATGGTGAAACCCCATCTCTACTAAAAATACAAAAATTAGCCAGGCATAGTGGTGCATGCCTGTCGTCCCAGCTACTTGGGAGGTTGAGACAGGAGAATAGCTTGAACCTGGGAGGCAGAGGTTGTAGTGAGCCAAGATCGCACCATTGCATACCAGCCTGGGCAACAGAGTGAGACTCCATCTCAAAAAAAGGAAAAATTAAAAAATAAATAAAATCACTTGCCCAGTTTTGCACTACCAGTCAGCAGCAAAAGCAAGAATCAAACTCAGACTGTTCCCAGCACAAACTGTGCATGCTTCCCCTTTCCTTCTGCCACCTCCCTCCAACCAAAACCAATGCCAACCCTTATGTCTTCACTCTTCCAAAATCACAATCAGTAACATGATTCACTTCAACTTCATTGTTTTTTAAAAATGCAGTTTCCATGGAAAAACTTTCCTCCCACTCCAGGATTTATAATCCTGCTCTCAGGACCAAAGCACATTTTTTCTTTTCTTAGCCAAGTTAATTACCAGCTTTGATTGGGAGCACCTGAAAATTTCCAGCTCATATCTGCTTAACAGGAGTGTGCTATGTAGTTGGAAGACCAAATCGAGTCAATACTCCAGGGTTTCAGAACTACTAATCCGTTAGCCAAAGTCACTGAATGATGGAGAGATTAGCATATAAGTACTTTTCTAAGTGCTTTGCATATTTGACAGTATTTTATTCATTTAGAATATATTTTGAGATATATGGAGATAGTTTTATTGTCAATGTCAGTGAAATCTACCTTCCTCTGTTTCCATTGTTGCGGACTTACTTCAGGGCTTTGCCTCTTGCATAACCATTCTTGCATGGCCAATAAACATGTGGCATTTATCAATTATTAATTCACTTAGCATACACTACTGAGAGCCAGCTTCCTGTCAGACTTGTTCACATATGTGCTACCATTTTGCCTTCAAATCAATGTGAGAGATGTTTCATTCTCCCTCCTCCATCATATAAGTAATATGGAAGCCAGAAAATAACTTACCATATGACTCAACACAGTGGAGACAGAGCCAGACTTGAAAACCAGCATTCTCCTAGTTTTTCTTTATACCTTAAAGCAGGAGAGCTCTGAGCTCGTGGCTGTGGGAGGAATCCATGCGGTGAAGAGCAAGGGGAAAAAGAGCACCGGAAAATACTTTCCACTTTTACCACAGCCGTAGCCAGTCACCTGTTTCTCTGGTAGCCCCTGTATTTCCCCTAAGAGGCATCAGCTGTCAGAGGCTAGAAGCGAGAAGGATCTCTGAAGGTGGGAAAGCTTGGCCTTGGAACAAGAGTAAGATTTTAAAAAATGAAGAGAACAGCAGAAGGAAACTATGATTTGATGAAGTGTCAATAGAAGGAATGTGACATTATTGAGTGTTTAAGATCTTTACAGGCATTCTGCTAGACATTTTCACTTGCATTATTTCATTAAATCTTACAAAACTACTACATTATTAGTCCCACTTTAGATATGAGGAAACTGAAGTTAAGGGGGAGTAAATGTCTTGCCTCAAATCACACAGCTAGAAAGTGGTAAATGCAGAAGCAAAACCTGAATAACTGAGTGCCCACAATGAGTCAATTTCTGAAGACTCTGGAATGAAAGACAAAACATACTAGGAAGCTTTGGGTGGGGGTTGGGGACAGACACATACTCTCATATAAGCAAAAATAGTTCACTAGGAAAACAGAGAAGGGACTCCAACCCAGGCTGGGAAGTCATGAAAAGACCTATTTTATATTTTTAATTTGCTTTATTTTTAAATTTTAGATTCAAGAGGTATGTGTGCATGTTTGTTACATTGATATATTGTGCGATGCTGAGGTTTGAGTTTCAACTGAATGCATATCTCAAGTGGTGAACATAATAGTTGACAGGTAGTTTTTCAACCCTTGCCTCCTTCCCTCCCCACTTTTGGAAAAGATCTTTGGATCCTTGAAGAAAGAGGTAGCTGAGGCTAGTTTAAAGCAACACTTGGGTGAAAGAATCAAGCCAGACACCCAGGAGAATTAGAACGTTAGTTTGGGCAGGTGTTTTAGAGTTTGGAATCACCTGCTAAGAAGTTTGGGCATGATTCTAAAGGCAGTGTGGTATCTATAAGTCTATCTATTCATCCATCTCACTGGTTCTATCTCTCTGAAGAACCCTAATACAAGGGGTTAAGAGCTAAGCGGGTGTGTCCTCTCCGCTGGAGACAGGCTTCAGTCTGATTCCACCTGGAAGCTCCAGGGTACAAGTTGCAATGTGAATTCCACCTACCTGGAGGTGTTTGTGTTTGGCTGAGAGCAATTGTCAAAGAAGGGTCAGCAACGAATTGCTGTCAGTATCTGGGAGACAGGTCAGCAACTGGTAAAGATATCAGGATGAGCACCAAGAGCTTCCACTACAGTAGTGGCTTTCAAAGTGCATTACACTGGGGGCCAGACACGGTGGCTCACGCATGTAATCCCAGCACTTTGGGAGGCCGAGGCACCTGAGGTCAGGAGTTCAAGATCAGCCTGGTCAACGTGGAGAAACCCCGTCTCTACTAAAACAAAAAACAAAAAACAAAAAAACCTAGCTGGGCATGGTAGTGCGTACCTCTAATCCCAGCTACTTGGGAGACTGAGGCAAAAGGATCGCTTGAACCCAGGAGGCAGAGGTTGCAGTGGGCTGAGATCATGCCACTGCACTCCAGCCTGCATGACAGAGTAAGTCTCTATCTCAAAAAAAAAAAAAAAGTGCATTACACTGGGAATGTCTTAGAAATGCAATCCTTTGGGCTTCACCCAGGCATACTAAATCTGAAATTCTAGGAGATTAAGAGGAAAAAAAAGCTGAGGCTTAGACAGCTTTATTACTGCCAGAGGCCACCTAGCTAGTTAGTACTCAAAATTAAATTTAAGTTTATCTGCACTCTAATCCTATGCTTTTTCCTCCATGCAAGTGTTTCTCAAAATGTAGTCACTTGACCAAATGCAACTACATGACTTACAGCATTTCTAGGGCTTGGGCACCAAGAATCTGAACTTGTAGCAACTTCCCCAAGTCTTTGTGTTATGCCCAATCTAATTTTTGAGGACCACTCATCAGTTCCATGTGCTTCCCTAACTCTGAAAACCAAAGTTGGAGCCTGCAGAAATATGCTTCATTCCAGCCCAATGTCAGGAGTAGACAACACAGGAAAGACAGGAAGGGGCAGTGCTTGCTCTGAAGACCCAGCCATAGGGCTTTAGGAGTTGTTGAAGCCAAATGTATTGAATAGCTATTATGGGTTGACTCGCGTGTCCAAAAATCTATGTTAAAGTTCTAATGCCCAGTACCTCAGAATATGACTTTCTGTGGGTTTTTATAAGTGTTAAGTAGTTAAGATAAGGCCATAGATGAGGTCATACTGGAGTAAGGTGGCCCTTAATTCAATATGGCTGGTGTCTATATTAGAAGAGGGAAGACAAAATGAAGACAGATACACAAGGAGAGCCCCATATGATGACAGAGGCAGAGATTGGAGAGCAAGTCAAGGACATCAAGGCTTGGCAGCCACCACGGGGAGCTAGGAAGAGAGGTGAGGAAGAATTCCACCCGGAGCATCAGAGGCAGCACAACCCTGTGGACATCTTATTTCAGATGTCACAGCTCTAGAACCATAGGATACTAAAATTCTATTGTTTTAAGTCACCTAACTTGTGATACTGGGTGTATAAAAACCCCAGGAAACATACAAGAGCTGATGAGTTAATGATGGAGAAATTTAATGCTCCTTTCCTTCTTGTCTGGAGCTTAAGCCGTTCTTATTTCTCCATAAGGAAAGCTTGGGTTTGAAGTCTCTGGGACTGAATATATGCTATCAAACCTTAACAGTGTTTATCTTCACAGAACACTGATGAAAGCTCTTGGGCTTCCCCTCCTCCATTTCCATCATATGAATATAAATCTTTGCTAGGGATTGTCTGTCTCTCCCGTTGCCTTTACCGTGAGGAGAAGCTCTTAGGCACACCCTTGCTGCAGTCCTTCTGCAAGGTTGCTACATA
Organism: Homo sapiens; assembly: GCF_000001405.40. Classification (NCBI taxonomy): domain Eukaryota; kingdom Metazoa; phylum Chordata; class Mammalia; order Primates; family Hominidae; genus Homo; species Homo sapiens. Next base: position 14,420,764 of record NC_000002.12, read on the forward strand.
CCACATACCCAATTCCATCATAACTAGCAATTTCTAGAACAGGGTTATCAGTTTTCTGAGAGGAAATTTTAAAAATTTAAAACACACACACACACACACACATACACACACATGCACATGACATTTTAAAAACCTTGCCTCTGTGGTCAGTATAAACGGACAAATATCAAGGCCGGACGCCCTTTGATGTGGAAATGTCTGTGATGCCTGACAGGACCCAACATTTGTAAATCAGGAATTGAAGCTAATACTGACTGCAGGAGATAAGGCAGAGCCAAACTTCCACTTCCATCACCTCAGAATAAGTGTCAGTCCTTCTAAAGGCGCATTTTGAGTGCGAATCACAGGATGAGTCAGACCAAGTGTTCTTATTTAGATAGTAGTGAAATCAGGCCTTAGAGAATTGTTAGTCAGCAAAACTAAATTTTAGTAAGGCCATGCTCTGGGAAAGGAAATGAAGAGATCTGAAACCAAATTTAGACCTTCCAGAGACCAAAAACAGCAAGGTATAGAAAAGAAAGATCCAAGCCTTGCTTCTCCTGCCTAATGTGAACAGGAGAGAGGCTGGAGCAGGTGGCAGGAAGAGGAAGACTCACTCACTTTGCAAAATTCTGTGAGCTCCTTACAACCACACAAACAGCATCAAAACACTTTCTTACTGGATTTAGAATGGCTGAAATCCAGAACATTGACACTACCAGCCCTAGAAAGAATGCAGGGCAACGAAAACTCTCATTCATTGCTGGTAGGAATGCAAAATAGTACATCCACTTTGGAAAACAGTTTGGCTGTTTCTTACAAAGCTAAACATACTCTTACCATAAAATCTAGCAATCATGCTCTTTGATATTTACCCAGAGGAGTTAAAAACTTATGTCTACACAAATGTTTATAGCAGCTTTATTCATACGTGTCAAAATTTGAACAACCAAGACATCCTTCAGTAGTTTGATGAATAAATAAACTGTGGTACATCCAGATAGTGGAATATTATGCAATGCTAAAGGGAAATGAGCTATCATGTCAAGAAAATACATGGAGGAAACTTAAATTCATGCTACTAAGTTAGCCAAGTCAATCTGAAAAGATCACTATTGTACATTTCCAGGTATATGACATCTAGAAAAGGCAAAATTATGGAGATGGCAAAAAAAATTCTACGTTTGCCAGAGATTAGGGAAAGGAATGAATTGGCAGAACACAGAGGATTTTTAGAGCAGTGAAACTAATTTTTATGATACGATAATGGTTAATATATGTCACTGTACATTTGTTCAAACTCAGAATATATAAAACAAAGAGTGAACCCTAATGTAAAATGTGGACTTTGAGTGATTAAGACATGTCCATGTAGGTTCACCAGTTATAACAAACGTACCACCCTTGTCCAGACATTGATAATGGAGGAAGTTATATCTGGGTGGGGGAAGATGATATGCAGAAAATCTGTACGTTCTGCTCAATTTTGCTGTGAATCTAAGACTGTTCCAAAAAATGAAGACTATTTTAAAAACACATACACACACTGTCTTATGGTATCTTCCCTCAGTTATTAGGCTTCTTCCACTGCCAAATAATCTTCTTTTTCACCTTAGCCACAGCCTCACCTTCAGTATGCCTTCTGTCTCATCCACATGGTAGTCATTCCCTTACTCCATGGTCTCAGAAGTTTAGTTCATCATGGCTGGCTACTGTCTAGGTCCATAAATGTAGATGTAGCTCTCCAACAGAGACCCTGGACGGTAGGGGTTTGAACTTCTCCTGTAACTAATTCTGTAGGATGATGGATTAAAAACACGCTTTGGATGAAGAAAGATGCCTCAGGACATCCTATCTTAGTCACCCACCAGATGTGAGACAAAAGAAAGTTATGGTAAAAAAATGTCAGTTCTGCGACTTCTGTAACTTTCAACAGTTATTTCTGCCCTCTAGCATAATCCTAGTAATGAGTAATATACATTAAATCGCCAGTGAACAGGGGCATTGACTGCATTTTTAAAAATTATTTAACTTAAATACCCTCTAGTCTTAAGATAGATTTCTTTGAATCTGGCCTCATTTTATTTGCTGCCTTCCTTTGCTTTAAAATTCCGACCTAACTCACTAAGCAAACAACAGAGGCTCAAAATGTTCAAGAACCTCCAAAATTAGGTACGTTCATTGTGGAAGGATACATCATATCATCATTCTTTCAAGTAATTATGAAATTCTATATTTTACTTGATTGACTATGTCTGAAAAAAGATAGGAAATATAAAAGAACTAGAACTCTGTTTAGTTGCATCCTCACTATCTTCCAAGCACTGTGCCAGGCTGTGAGAATAAAGTCTTGAAAATGATACTGTATTTGCCCTTGATGTGCCAGTATTAGTAGAAGGAAAATGACTGTTATGACAATTACTAGGCTGGAAGTGAGAAAGGAAAATAAAGAGGTAGACAAGTGCCTGAATATAAAGAAAGAAACTAACTTTGCAAAGATTATGGCAGAGAAATCTAACACAGCTGACTCCATCTTGCTTATAACCTTACAAGTTAATAGCCCTTGCTCATTTCTGGGCACAGGCCAAGCTAACTACCAGAGGAATTTAGTTTACACTTTAAAGGAAGGACGATAATAGCTCCTTCCTGAAACTAACTCTCCTTGTTTGGGGAATGAAACTGCCTTTGTAAAAACTGATGAAAGGTCACAAGTTTAAAATTATGATAGGGGCTTGAATTCTGCTAAGCTATAAACATAGTTAAGTGATAGCCAGCCATTGTTCCCTATCTTGATTACTGCTAGGAGTTTTGTAGCTGGAGGTCACAAGATTTGTAACTTCCCCAATTGTTCCTATAGATAACAGCCATATTGTCAAAACCTAAGTTTGGTCTTTGAGATATTTTTCAGATGTTTGCATTCAAGCAGACCAACCAAGGCCACCTGAACCCATGAGTCATACCAAGGAACTGACTCAAATGGTCCAGTGACCCCTACCTAGAAATTGACTCAGTACATGAAGACAATTCGGATACATCTATGATTTCATCCTTAACCAATAAACAGCACCCATTCCCTAGCCCCCTGCCCACCACATCATTCTTTTAAACTCTAGCCTCTAAGCTCTCAGGGAGATGGATTTGAGAAATAGCTCTTATCCTCCTGCCCAGACACCTTGTGGTAATTGAACTTTTTCTCTGCGGCAATGCTACTATCGCCATGTATTGGCTTTTTTTCTGCAGCAGGCAAAAAGAACATGCTGGACAATTACAATAATATTTTAGAATAAAAAGCTGAAACTTGATTTTACAATAGAGAGCATTAACTTCTGTGTTTAAAACACAGATAAAGATAAGATAAGTTGAGGAAATTTCTCAGGTAGAAATATAGGAACTGTTTTAGAAGGAACAAATCTGGAAGAGGGATGAAGAGACTTCTTAGTTTACTGTTGCAATTATCTAAGGAGCAGATGATAAATCTTAAAAGTTTATGGTAGTCATCTGAAGAGGCAGTGAGGGTAAGCCTGGCTCTCTGCAAACTCTGTGCAAGATGAACTAATCTGGTAACAATTTGCTAGTTGAATAAGAACAAAAAAAGTTAATAGGATATCTCCAAAGACCATGATAAAAATATCTCCAGAAAAATGCTTTTCTCAACCCCTACCTCTGTACTACACTGTGTAAAGCTGGCAGGAATAAAATGCTAGATTTTTAGAAAATAGTAATTTTGGGATAGCATTTAGACAACTTTCTCATGTAGAGAAAAATAATTTTAAATATTAACTGAAATATATATTGCTTGTGAATTTTTCTCGTCATCATTCCACCATTCAATTATCTGTAAAGCTGAGACTTAAAGCCCTAAAAAAGAGAAGTCATAAATGACTCTAGTGGTAACTACAAGTTAATCTTTAACAATGACTTCATAAATTGGTTCTTAGAAGTTTATGGCACGGAGGCAGTAACCCTCTGTTGCTCAGTCTATAGAAATGAGTTTTATTGTTTCTCAGATATATTCCCTACTACTCTTCGATGACAATTCAAGCTGAACCATGACTTGCTATTCACCCTTGATTTTAAAAGCAAACCCTGTTTTCGTAATTATTTCAGGCACTAAAACTAGTCATCTGAAAGTAAATCAAAAGTGATTTCTCTCATCCCAATGAAAGTTTCATACTCTGCCCCAACACAAACTCAGTTGAGGGACTTAAAGTGAATAGCATTTCCATCTACCTCTTTAGGCTCTTCTCAAAAAGGGGAAAAAAAATATTTTTCATTTCTCAGGTCCTGCTCTCATGGTCTCTTCAGGCTAGTGCTGACTATCCAGTGATGTTCTCGGTGCAGCAGATGTCTACATGCTTATTCTTTCCAGATAAAGCATCTGGGTTTTCCAGAATCCTTGTGATAACCTCACATTGCACAGATTCCTGACATTGACACCTGGACCTTTAGTCAATTCCTCTCACCTCCATTTCTGCCCCTGGGAACACATTTCACAGATTCTGCTGGCTTCCCTTTGCCCCAAAGCACACCCTATTGGGCAACTAAAAGATGGCTTGATTCTAGCTACTTTCCACAGTATCCATTTGGGCCACTCTCAAACATCCTGCTGTACCAAACAGCAAAGGGTAGTCTTCCCTTGACTGCCTCTTTCCTTGCTCTCCCAACAGAGTTGCTCCCAACAGTGTTGCTCCAGCCACCTACTGCTGCTGAGCTAGAAGCATGCACCATATTCTATGGTTACCAGACCACCTGTAATAAGTTCTCCTAAGAATTGCTTCATAGTACTATACTCTGATGTGCTGCACTGCACTTATGACTTATGAATTTTACAGCTCAGCAACATCCACCTGGAGAGGGTGATCCCATTCTCTTTCCTGCTGACACCCTAGATCTCTCTAAGTGAAATTCTTTTGGAGAATCCCTTCCATATCACTGAACAATGAAAATAGAAAAGCTTCAAGTATGATTACTACCGACAATTTTTTCATGTCCTTTAACCAATTTCCTTGGAATTCCTAGGCTCCTATTTGCATAGGTTGTTTGAGGAGGGAAGGATAGGGATTGTAAGATGGGTTTGGTAACCTCTCAGTAAGCACTGGAAGAGGTAACTGGCAGCAACTTTGTTCTCTATTTAAAATTTCAGGGTACTTTTTGTTCTCAGGTTTGGGGTTTCAGCCAAAATTCCAAAACAATGGAAAAAGCCTCATTTGGTATCCGACTTTATCAACTTTGAAACTGAAAGAGACTTTTGTCACTGTCACTGTTGTTTTTAGCTCTTTAAGAACTCTAGTACTGAGAATACAGAGTTCAGCTACCAACCATGGAGTGGGAAGGGAAAATTGCTGACCTAAGAGTTGTACAACAACCATGTGTGGAAATGATAAGAAAAAGTTCTGCATTAAACATGGGTGATGGGTATAGCTTGGGATTGAGATGTAAGTGTGTCTCCGTGTGTGAGAGTTGGTGGGGGAGACTTACTTTATGCTCCATTTTTGGGGTCAAAACCTTGGGAATGAAGGGTGGTAGAGAGAACTAGAATACCATTTGACCCAGCCATCCCATTACTGGGTATATACCCAAAGGATTATAAGTCATGCTGCTATAAAGACACATGCACATGTATGTTTATTGAGGCACTATTCACAATAGCAAAGACTTGGAACCAACCCAAATGTCCAACAATGATAGACTGGATTAAGAAAATGCGGCACATATACACCATGGAATACTATGCAGCCATAAAAAAGGATGAGTTCATGTCCTTTGTAGGGACATGGATGAAGCTGGAAACCATCATTCTCAGCAAACTATCGCAAGGACAAAAAACCAAACACCGCATGTTCTCACTCATAGGTGGGAATTGAACAATGAGAACACATGGACACAGGAAGGGGAACATCACACACTGGGGCCTGTTGTGGGGTGGGGGGAGGAGGGATAGCATTGGGAGATATACCTAATGTTAAATGATGAGTTAATGGGTGCAGCACACAAACATGGCACATGTATACATATGTGACAAACCTGCACGTTGTGCACATGTACCCTAAAACTTAAAGTATAATAAAAAAAAAAAGAAAAGAAAACCTTAAATAAGTTTAGAGGATCTCAAAGCTGAGAAAGTTTCTCTCTCCTTGGGCTATGGCCTGCAAATATCACAAACCACTTAGCTACTGGGTAGAGCAGCAACAGCTACAGGAAGACCTGAAGAAACTATCTTTGAGTCTCCTGCAGTGCCAACTGTCACAGGGGAGCATCTGAAAGTGTCTGAAGTGCAAGCAGATGAGAAGAGCCCTCCAGGTTGGAATAGGAAGGAGACAGAGTATGTTACAACTGGAGACCATGGTGAATCAGGCCAGCAGACAATATAGCTCTCTCAGGAGCAGGGCTGATGATCAAGACCTGGCAGGATGAGACACAGCTCAGTAGTGGTCTGCAAAAATACACAATGGGCTGGGACTACATGCCCACCTCCCATCCTACCCTGTCCCCACTCCAGGCCAAGAGCTTCCAAACCCTGATACTGCCACAGGAAAAAGAAGGAAGCGGGAGGAACTGAGATAAATGGGTTTGATGAAGTAGTTACTTAAATGAGATTAGATTTTGGAAAATTTACCTTAACTTGTGAGATTTAGTTTTCTGCACCGGAAAAAAAAAAAGGGTGGATCATGAGCCAAGCTGAATCAGATATTGAGAAATATAAAGATATTCTTTGTGTACTCTGAACTTCACGTTCAGTTTTAAAGATAAATACATTGAAGACAGGGCTGGAGGGTGTGCCTCTGAATTTAAATACAGTTTGGGATGAAACTAGATCTCCACTCTTGATTTTAATTACTATCTTAAACCAAAAGGGATAATTTCCAGAATCACCATGGAATGGTTTGGAGCATTTAAAGAAGGAAGCATTTTGCCAATACATTTCCTTTGGATGTGATGAATCCTGCACTGCCACAGCCAAGTTGTGTGAATAAAGCCAAAACCAAAATCTCTAAATAATGTGTTCCTTTCCTTAATCCCCATCTATTTGGACACACGTCTATGTGCATTCAAATTGGCATCAGAATACTTGCAAGGCTTTACTCTCATTTGAAACAGTTGAGATATACTACCTAGATACACAGGCAGCATACTATGGCCATTTAGCAAGAAGGCTTTAGAGTTAGCTTGACAGGGGCCAAATCCTCAGTCTATAATTTATTAGATTTGTAATCTTAGGCAAATTCTTTAAATTCAGTGTGCCCCAGTTTCCCTTTTTTATAAAGTAAAAATAATTGTAGTATTTATCTCATGAGTTGTCATAAATCTCAAGCCAACATTTATATACATGGGCATGTATAAAGGAGTGAGTTCTCCATCATTTCAAATATTCAAGTTTAGGCTGGACAGCCACATGGTGGGGGTGTTGCATTGGACTGAATAACTGCTGAGATCCTTTCCAAATATGACTATCCTTTAGAAAAGAAGGTCCAGTGCCAAAGAACAAAATTCACTTTGAGATAAACCCAACTGATGGCTCTCATTTTGAAAAGGAGGCCAAAGACACACAAACTATTTCAAACTAAGATAGAAATAGGCCAAGTCGCCTTGCTGTTGACTCAGCAGCCAGAGAATCACGGAGAGTATGCTGGAGTTAAAGTCAGGAGAACTGGGCTGGAGTCCCAGTGCTGCTCTTGGCTGTGTGGTCATGGGTTAGTTAGGTAATGGATGTGGTTTGCAGTTTCTTCATTTCTAAAATGGGTGTACAAGTTTTTTTTTTATTATTTTCCCTCAAAAAGTATTCATGAAGATTAAATGAGCCAATGTAAAATTGCTTTGAAAATGGTAAATCACAGTATAAATACAGGTATTATCATTTGAAGAGCTCAAATTACACTACATTACACTATACATCATTAGTTCTGAAAATAACATACATAACCTCAAACCCTGGCTGAGAATAAGCTATTACTTTAAATATCATGTTGGGTATAGAAGCTGAAAAAACTGCCACTTTGTAGATTCCTGCATATTTTCTCAACTACTCAAGAGTGGAGACTTTAATTTACCTTTAAGGCAGGTAATGACTTTATTTTGGGGAAAAACAGAAAACACAGAACCATGCCATATATTTATGCAATATAAGTTAGGTCTTACTTGCTGTTTTTAGGAAGCCAGAGGTCATCTTCCACCTGAATACTGATGTCTTAGACCCAGAACTTCTCTGTTTCTCCTCTATAAAAATGAGATGTATCTTTTATCAAAGATTTTCTCTACAGATTTTCACTCAAATATTTATGGAACCTCCTCTCTATGCCAGGAGAGTTAGAGTGTTAAAAAGTCTGACCTACTCCTAATGGTGTTCACCAGTTACTACAGGAGACAGAAAAAATAAGCAACAATTACACAAATAATTAATGATGATAAATGTATGAAGGACAATGAGTCAGTGAAAAGTACTATGAGGATCTGTAAGAAGAGGACCGATAAATGTGGAGTTAGGATGAATTTAAGTGAGGAAAGAATATTTAACCTGAGTCTGGAAAGATAAACAGAACTGACCCAGCTGGGAGACACCAGGTGAAAGCAGAATATTCTGGGAAATATTTTTTATTGTCTCTGTGAAAATGAATGTTATTTTGTCTGGGTTTAGACTATGGCGTCTATAAATAATTTCTTATTCTTAGAGGGTTTTGTATGTTCTTTTCTGGGTAGATGGTATCAGGAGTAGCACACTGAGATGGAAAGGACTTTAGTAAGGTGAAGGCTATTACACCATAATTTTTCTCTTATCCTGGAAAAGGTGCTGTGAAAAGAATAAGATGAGGCTCAATATTGACTGGACATGAGACACTTCATATGTGGCATTGTGGAGTGTAGTCTTGTTAGGTTGATTATATTAATAGCTTCACTTGGTGCCTGTCCAAAGGCAAGATTACTCTCTAAGACTGGATTTTTATCTTAAGTAAGAGGACAATTCAATTGTATCATCTTGTGAAAAGGCTGATGCTGGGACAGGAAATGAAGACTCGCATTTTGCACCTTTAACTAGAGTGTAGTCTGGCTTTAAACTTGGACTTAAAATTACGATGACCAGATGTGACTGTTTTGAGTTGTTCTCTGTGATGTACTGTCCTTCTTCTCCAAACTTTCAATATACTTCTTACTAAAATGCAAAGCCTGACCTCAGCTGTGCACCTTGAATCAATGGAAATTTCTCTTCCATACTTGGGAAGGTGTGTGGACAGGAGGAGAGTCAGCCTCTGGGGCCTAGAGCAGTGGCAAGAGCAGCATCACCCCCAGGAGCCAAGTGTGCCCAGCAACACAGTGATCATGCATCAGTCCAAACATAGTGACAATGTTGAAATTTGCCTGAGCCCTGAGCTCCTGTAAAACAGGGGTCCCCAACCCCCAGGCCATGGACTGGTACCAGTCTTTGGCCTGTTAGGAACTGGTCTGCACAGCAGAAAGTGAGCAGTGGGCGAGTGAGGATTACCACCTGAGCTCAGCCTCCTGTCAGATCAGAGGGACGTGGCATTAGATTCTCATAGGAGTGCAAACCCTACCATGAACTGCACATGGGAGGGATCCAGATGCTCCATATGAGAATCAAACTAACACCTGATGATGATCTGAAGTGGAACAGTTTCATCCTGAAAACCATCCCACACCCACCTGCCATGTCCATGGAAAAACTGTCTTCCACAAAACTGGTCCCTGGTGCCAAAAAGGTTGAGGAAAACTGCTGTAAAACAGGGATGGCTAAGAAGTACTCCACCTAATCTTTTGTGTTCTGGAAAACAGCTAACTGCAAAGAAACACCCTTCCCCATATGACTCTGATGATTCACGGATGCCCATCTTATTTACATGTGGTAAGACACAGACACTCCAAATTCCCATTGTTTCATAAATGATTGGCTAAAATGCTTGTTCCCTAGGTAATCACATGGTCAGAGAGTTCTCCTTATTTTGCTAGTCCCTTTCTCCTTCTTCTAATATTCTTTTGAATAAAGTATCTCTTTACTAAGTCTGGATTTTTTATTTGACAGTGATGAGATGAAAATTCATCCTCAGTGGAAAAATGTGGGGCCCCTTCCTTCACACATGAGTTAGCACCCCAGAGAACGCTCAGAGAGTTTAAGAAGGCTAATTGGTAACCATTAGGCCAGCAGTTCTCAAGTTATCATAATTTTGCTATTAAATATGAAATGTATTCTTATTTTGTGGATTGATTTTGAGAACAGAACATCTGGGTTACATGAAAAATACTTTTTAATGGGAAAGACACCACAGGTATCACAACCAGCCAACCTGGAATAAGCAATTCTTGCTTAGATATTAGAAATTGCTCCAGCATTAAAATCTAGTCTATTATAAGAAATATGCAGTTACAAAAAAAAATCCTTATCTCCAAAGGCAAAGATTTTGCCTCTGGCTGGACATAGCTAGAAATAACTCCTCTTTCCCCACATGCCAGGAAATGCAGTCCCTGATCTTTTTTCAAAGGTGACCCCAAATACCTCTGACACACTTCAAAACTCAACACATCCTTTCTGTCTTCACGACTTCTGATTTTCCAACCTTCTTTAGACATTGAGGCCGTGCCAATCTTTAATCAAGGCAACATTATTAATACTCCAACTCTTGTATTTACTTATGAGTTAGACATGCAATCCTTTAGAGTAAGAATGGTAGAAATAGAGAAAAAAAAAGCAAACTTTTGGAGTCAGACAAATCTAGGTTCAAATCAGCCAAAGTAATACATTTGCTTTGTTGTATGAAAGGCATGTTAATTGAAGTTAACTTGCTTATCACTAAAATGGGAATAATGATAGCTACATGAAATTATTAATATCAAGACTGATAATAACTAAAAACTTTATGAAAAGTGGTTAGTCTTGAGTAGATGGTCACTAAATATTACTTCCTTCTTCTTTTACTCATGCTGAGCACATTTTTTTTTTTACCACATTTTCCATTTTCTCTATCTCAAACTTAAAGCAATGATTAGCACCCAACACTTATTAAAGTCTATTATTTAGCCAATCTTAAATTATTTTGGTTAGATTAAATTGATGAAAGAACACAATTAAGCTCTAACAATTTAGAAAAACATCTAAGCCCAACACTGAATCAAAAATACTTCTGCTGATACTCCTTTTTCTCTCTTGCTCTGTCTGCTTTTCATTTCGATTTTCTTCAAGAATTAACTATTGGCTCCCATCCAGACCTTTCCATGAGGCAGTGGTGGTTACCAAATCTTGGCTAAGCCAGGGCCAAATGGCAGCTGGGGGTGGAGGGGAGGCTGGGGATGGAAAGGTATATAGAATTGTGGTCAAGGAGGAAACGGGACCAAGGACAGTGACCAAGACTTGTGAGTCTGTGGCTGAAGAGGCAGCCAGTGGGGTCAATATACTGACTACCTAAAGAGGGAATGAACATGTAAGTAAAGATAATGGAAGCTATGTTCTTCACTACAGAAGGAAGTTCAAATGACTTGACTAGGATAATTCTTGTGTTTTTTTGGATTGGAATTGGAGGTGTTGGTGGAAACTCATGCTATATAAATTATACACACATACTCATGATTTAAACGTATATGTATGTAATATACATATATAATATCTACATATTTTTATACTCTTAGGATTGCTTCAATACTTCTAATTCCAATAAAAAATATAGATTAATAGTTATAGAGATATATCTAAATATGTATGGTGTGTACATACAAGATATAACCATATGTAAATATTCATATACTTGTGTGTATATGTACATAGGCATGTGTGTGCTTGTGTATGTGTATGTGTATAAATATATTTATTTCTTAGTGTGTCTGCTGAAAATGTCAATAAGCAATGGGATCTCAATAGCAATGAGCATGTCAAGAACCCAAATCTTGACTTCTAAGTGTCATTCTTTACTAATGTTCTATGGAAAAATGGCTGATTTAGAGGGATGCAGTATAAACAGTGCAGAACAAAAGTAGAATATTTTATTATGTTAAAGGGAAAAGCATAAATACAAAATGATGAGGGTTTGTCAAACAGGCACAGGGTCAGCTTGAAAGGTGTTCTGCTGGCTAATTATGAGATAATTTAAGTATTAAAATAAAGATAAAAATAGACTGTAACTTGTTTAATATAATATAAATCCATAAGTGTATACTGAAATAAATAAGTAAATATATACATAAACTAACAGAGAGAAACTCTTTCTTACAATCAAATGTCAACTAATGTAAAATAAATGATGAAATTAGAGTAACATTATTTATATTCATATTAATAATTGATTCACACAAGAATCCTAAATGGATGCTAAACCTATAAGAAAATGTTTGGCAAAGAACAGGATAATTATATCATCTCAAAGTATTACCCCCACAAAATATGTATAATTACAAGGAGAAAATAGTATGTACTGTTCTTGTTCTGGCTACTCTTCAGGATGAAGCCCCACCCGAAATTTGGTTTAGATGTCAAGACTGATGATGACACACCTCCATACCAAGTGGTATGAAAAGGTTTATTACTCACATAATGAGACTTTTGGGGAGCAAACTGGGAAGGCACCCCAATTCTAGTTCAAAAGTGGCTTGAGAGAGCAAGAAAACTAGACTGAGCCAGAGTTTTTGTTGTAGTCAGGGGATGGGCTTGGGCTGCATCTTTCTACCAGGGGCTTGTGTGGTTTAAATATTGTCCTGGCACTAAAGGAAGGAGCACCCTGTTCACTTATCACCATGCTCAGATGTAGGGCAGAATAGGAAAAAGGAGACATGAACTTGAAATACGCTAGCATTCCGTCATCAAAAAATGGAATCAGACTCTTTATGATGGTTCACCCCTGATGTTTGAATGGTGACTAAAAGGTACCATGTTTCTTGAATTTGAACTTGTTTAAGAAAGCCATTATGGCATCAGGTGAGGCCTGCAGCCTGAGGCTAATAATGGAGGTGAAAATTCCATCAAATGCCCTTGTTCAAGAGCTTCAAGAGCTTGTCATTGTGAATTACGAGATATGAAATTAGTGCCTAGGACACTATCAATGATGTTTGGAACTTGAGGGGATAAGAAGCATTTGGTGAGGCTTCGTGTTATGGATTTAATATGTTTACAAACATATATGACCTTGGTTTTGTATCTTTGGGGCAAAAGATCCCTAGAATTCTCTATTCCACAGGTGCCAGTTCTTAGACAATAGCCTGAGAGTCTATACGAAATGTGTAGATGGCTTCATTACTGGCCCAAGCATCCTGTGCTAAAATAATTGCCTGAAGTTTGGCCAAGTGTACTGGCCCTTGTGGCCTGTCTTTTATCAAGGATGTCCTGTTTAAAGGATAAAAAGCGGCAATGTTCCACTGAGCTCCCTGATACGTGACAGTGGCAACACTATCTGTGAGGTGCACAAACTCCCATTGCTGTTTACTCAATTCATACCCAGTGACTCCCCAGGAAGCAATGAGGCCTGGGAAAGGGGTGACCTTACCAGACACATGGTGTCTGAAAAAATACTGAGAAGAAGGAAGGCCACTCCTTCCTGCAGCTGGGACATACCAGAGAGCCAGTCCGGCTTCATCCTGTAACAAGGACACCTTTGTAGCCATGCCGAGCTTGCAGGTTGCTGCTTGCATGATCTGAGACATAATTGGCAGCTAGGAAACTGAGAATTATTAGTTCAGGGCCTGTGACAGCCTCTATTTCAGGGAGTGCTCACTATGTGACCAGCAATCGGCTCTCTAAGGGCATAAAGCATGAGACTGAGGAGGGCAGCTTTTTGGCACTTGAGGACCTTAGGCAAGTTACGGTTGTCAGGGATGACCCAAAGAGGAGTCTCTGGGACCACTAATGATGTAAGAGTTTTTCTTGACCCCTTCATCAGACTTGCGACGGGTGTGCCCTGTTCATTCGGTCCACTGTGCTCAACCTCTTGCAGGAAGAAGTATGTGAGTGAGCGAGGGTGAGATCCGGCTGGCTGCTTTGGGTGCCCACAAGAACAGGCCCCGGGCAGGCCTCACAGCCAGACCAGGGATGAGCAAATGAGTGTAGGATCTGACCAGCTGCTTTGGGTGCTGGCAGGAGCAGGCTCCATGCAAGCCCCTCAGCGGTACCCAGGTGGGGGTGCCTGTGACCCCTGAAGCCCCAGAGGGCATGTTACAATGTTCCCTTAGCTCCACCATTTGTGGGCAGCAGTGTGTTATCAGCTCATTGCACCCCTTGCTTCATTGCGTGGGGCAGCTGCCCTCCACCAGCAAGGGCAAGGGCCATGTGACAGCGTTTTTTGGGTACCCACACTCAATGGATCCCAAGCTCTTGTCCAGTGTTCAAGAATAATTACATCACATGGACACTTGAAGGATGCTGAAGGCAGAGAATTGTATTTAGCAATGGAAGTGGCTTTCAGCGGAGAGGGGAGCTGGAGAGATGAGACAAGCAGATAATCTTCCCTGAAGGCTGGGTGTCTCTGGCTGGCTCTTCTCCAAAGTTAAGCCATCTCTCCACTGAAGTCCAGCCGTCCCTCTGAAGTCAAGTCACCTCTCTCCAGTCAAGCCACTTCCCCTTCTACTAACTTAGTCTGAGGTCTTTATAGGCACAGGATGGGGGGTGGGGCAGGCCATAGGCAGTTTGGGAAAAGGCAACTTTTGATTAGTATAAAGACTTTATTCAGAAAGAAGCAATCGGGAAAGAGCAGGCAAACAGGAATAGAAGTTCTCACTTTGGGCCACGGGCTTCAGGATTTTTGGCTGGAATGTGGGGTTTCGTGGGGGACCCGCCCTTACCTGCCTCTATCACTAATAAGAGTGCCTTATGAACTGCAATTTGAACAGGTTCTAGAGCCTTTTTGTTGGATGAGGCCCCACCCAAAGTGGGCCGATTTGCAAATAACAGCATAAATGGACTTAAGTACAACTTGTAAATGAGAAGTATGTTGTCTCCAGGACACCAAAAGACCTAAAAGACATTTAGTTTATTTTAATGTTGTGGAAACCGAGAGGATCAACAGCTATTTCTTGACAGCGTGAGAGATGATGCATGCTAGAGAGGCCTACCCCACTTGTTCCAGAGACCTCAGTTTTATATGAAATAAAGCATTTTGTACTCTCTTGATCTGTGTGCAGTACCATTGGTCTTGATGTATGAACAAATTTGGGGTGGGAGTTCACTGTGCCTCTGCAGTAAGGTCAGGGCATTCCAGTGGAGACAGCAGGCAGATCCTACCTTAATTATATGATCAAATTTGACAGCCACAGCAGCAGTACAAATCAACATCATTTGCCTCCTGACATGATGTACATAGAAGGAGACAACACTATTCCTGTGGTATTATTGCTAAAAATGCATCACCTCCATCTAATCTTAAGGAAAGATCGGAAAAATTCAAAGTGAGGGATATTCTGATTTGATACAAAAAAACTGGCATGTATTCTGTGAAATAACATCATGAAAGAGAAAAAAGATTAGGGAACTATTCCCGATTGAAGGAGATTAAAAACATAACTAAATGCAATTCATGATCCTGAATTATATCCTGGACTAGAGGAAAATTATTCTTATTTGTTTGTTTGTGTGTGTGTTTGGCTAAAGGGAATTATTGGAGCAATTTCTAAAATTTGGATGGGTTCTGTGTATTGGTAAAATTTTACCAAATTATTGATTTGGATAGCTTTACTTTGGTTATGAAGAGTGTATATGAAATACATATTGAAGTACACATTGAAGTACACAAAATAAAAGGAGAGAGAGAGAGGAAAGGGAGAAGGGAGAGGGGAGAGGGAAGGAAAGAAGGGAAGAGAGAGCATAAATGTGATAGAATGTTAACAAATAGAACCTGGGTAACTATTATAGGAGTTTTTTGTACTATTCTTGCACTTTTCCTGTAAATTGTGCTTATTTCAAATTTGGAAGCTTCATCTATATTAAATAGAATTTTAACCTCATCAGAAAATGTGTCTTAATTAAGCTCTCTATTAGAAAGAAACAATTCTTAAACAGGACCCTCAAAAGCAATAATCATAAAATTTTAAAAATGACAAATATGATCTTTTAAATTAAAAATCCTTCATCAAAATAAAACACTAAGTGAATAGCCAATATCTTGACAAGGATAAAATAGTCACAATATATGTATATGACACAACACTTATATCCAGAATATATAAAGAACATCTTTAAATAAATAACAAAATAACAGCCCAATTTCTAAGTACTAAAAATAATTTGAACAAGTGCTTCAAAAATACACTCTCTAGATGGCCAGAACTCATTAGTCATCAGGAAAATAAAATTGAAACCACAGTTAGATACCCCTACACACCCAAGAGATGGCTAAATACGAGAAACTGGCAATACCAAGTGTTAGAGATGATGTCGAGCATTGAATTTTTCGCACATTGCTATTGGGAGAGTAAATTCATCTGCTCCATTGGAAAACACTTCTGCTTTTACCCAATAATTCTATTTCTAGGTATATACCCCAGATAAATGAGTGCATACATCCACCAAAAGACACATACAAACATTTTGTAGTAGCTTTTTTCATATTACCCAAAAACTTAAATGTTCATCAAAACAAAAACAATAAATAAGTTGTAAAATAATCACTTAAAAGTTGAATAAAATGCACAAATTACTGATAAACACAGAAGCAACAGTTAAACACAAAGACATTGCCTGGAGAGAAAGGAGCTAGAAACAAAAGAGTACATACTGTGATTCCATTTATAGGAAGCTCAAGGAGAAACGAGACTACATATTTAGTGATAGAAGTCAAAATAGTTGTTACTTCTGAAGGAAACTTGATTTGGAAGGGGCATGAGGGAAAAGTCTGGAGTGATAAAAATATGTATGTCATGACCCGGGTGGTAGATATAAGGATATTTACATTTATAAAAATTTGTTGCACTTTACACTTAAGTGTACACACCTCAATAAAAATATATAAGGCCACAGAGACCATCTATTTTATAGATTACCATTTAACTTGAAACCATTATGGGGCTTATAAAAAGTCTCTGCTTGGACGGGCACGGTGGCTCACACCTGTAATCCCAGCACTTTTGGAGGCCGAGGAGGGTGGATCATCTGAGGTCAGGAATTTGAGACTAGCCTGGCCAACATGGTGAAACCCCATCTCTACTTAAAATACAAAAATTACCCGGGCGTGGTGGCAGGCACCTGTAATCCCAGATACTCAGGAGGCTGAGGCAGGAGAATTGCTTAAACCTGGGAGGCAGATGTTGCAGTGAGCCAAGATCACACCATTGCACTCCAGTCTGGGGGACAAGAGTGAGATTCATCTGAAAAAAAAAAAAAAGTCTCTGCTTGACTTTGACTATATTTCATTCCTTCTATACACCTGTATCTCCTAAAAAGATCCTATGAATAAGGCCAAATCTCAACAATAGGTGGAAAACTCAGCCAAGGAGTCAAATATTTCTGATGTGGGTTTCACATCTGTGGCACCACCTATTCTCTGTATTGAATAATACACATTTATACGTGTCGTGACTGACAACAAAGAAAATGAATGAGAATGTTTCTATTTGAAAAGGTAGTGGAAACAAAGCCAAATTGAGTTCTACTAAAGTGCACCCTGGACTTCCGTATAAATTGATGTTTTAAGAGTTGGAGAATTCAAGGTGTCCTTCACATGCAAGCTCCATCCTACTTACATCTTGAGTTAATTCTGTCCCAAACTGGGTGTACGTCAAGAGCCTCCAGTCATAGCTGATTCCAGAGTTAGCTGTGCTACCCAGAATCTGGCATCTGGAAGGCTTGAGAGAAAACTTAGATGTCCCATGCATCTTGTGTCCCAGGGCAGCGAACAAGGATTACAAATAGTTTTCATCTAGGATGTGAGTTTACTTAGTGGGAGCCCTGAAACCCTGACCAGCATCTGCCAGTCCTTTCCCTTGGGAAAAAGAGTCCCCTCTCTCATCTTCCTGGATGCTAATGTTCATATTTTAAATTGCCATTTTATTACCTAAAACAATGACTCTTCCACCTCCATCATACATCTAGAAAGCCCTGCTGCTTGTAATGCTACTCTAATCATGTGATGAATTGGGCCTCCTTGAACGATAACCCTGGCCTGAAAAAAATCTCATGCCCCTGGACACTGTGTGTTAGAATACTGTAAGAACATGGCTTTTGAGGATAGATCTTACAGGTAGGTCATTTTTCTAAGGCCCACCCCGCTCAGACAAAACTTCTTTTTATTCTTCATCACACTACTCATCTGACAAAGGGCTAATATCCAGAATCTACAAAGAACTCAAACAAATTTACAAGAAAAAAACAAACAACCCCATCAAAAAGTGGGTGAAAGATATGAACAGACACTTCTCAAAAGAAGACATTTATGCAACCAACAGACACATGAAAAAATTCTTGTCATCACTGGCCATCAGAGAAATGCAAATCAAAACCACAATGAGATACCATCTCACACCAGTTAGAATGGCAAGTATTAAAAAGTCAGGAAACAACAGGTGCTGGAGAGGATGTGGAGAAATAGGAACACTTTTACACTGTTGATGGGGCTGTAAACTGGTTCAACCATTGTGGAAGACAGTGTGGTGACTCTTCAAGGGTCTAGAACTAGAAATACCATTTGACCCAGCCATCCCATTACTGGGTATATACCCAAAGGACTAGAAATCATGCTGCTATAAAGACACATGCACACGTATGTTTATTGCGGCACTATTCACAACTGCAAAGACTTGGAACCAACCCAAATGTCCATCAATGATAGACTGGATTAAGAAAATGTGGCACATATACACCATGGAATACTATGCAGTCATAAAAAAGGATGAGTTCATGTCCTTTGTAGGGACATGGTTGAAGCTGGAAACCATCATTCTCAGCAAACTATCACAGGGACAAAAAACCAAACACCGCATGTTCTCGCTCATAGGTGGGAATTGAACAATGAGAACACTTGGACACAGGAAGGGGAATATCACACACCAGGGCCTGTCGTGGGGTGGGGGGAGTGGGGAGGGATAGCATTAGGAGATATACCCAATGTAAATGACGAGTTAATGGGTGCAGCACACCAACATGGCACATGTATGCATATGTAACAAACCTGCATGTTGTGCACATCTACCCTAGAACTTAAAGTATAATAAAAAATAAATAAATAAACAGCCTCCTGACTTGTCCTCTTCCAAGGATCTCCTTGCTGCGACACATATTCAGTGCAGCAGTCATGTTGAGTTGTCCAAAATTAAATTCGACCACATTACTCTTATTATTAAAATCCTCCAGTGACTTCTCATTTTTTATAGGCAAACATCCACACTCCATAGCAATGAAAGGTCCTTCCCAACCGTATACTTGTTATGCTCCTTCATTAGAGCCTGATATTAAATAAGTAAATACTGAGTTAATGTTTGTTGATCGAATGAATGATTAATGGATAAGTAAATGTACTGATGTCATTAATACAGCTGAATATTATAGATATATTTTGAATCATTTTTAGTTTGCAACAGAGAGTTAGGGGAGCAAGAAACTGCCTTTGACTAGATTGTGTATTCACTGCATTCAGCGTTCACATGACTGGGAACAAAAGACTATTCTGCTAATATGTAAGTTTTCATATAGATGTTGGTTCTAGAGAAGCTTTTATTCAAATGAAACAAAACAAAGAAACCTTGAGTCTAACTCTGTTGCTTAGGTTTCCCTTTGTTCACATCTACAACTGAACAGAGATAAATATGCCTTTTCCCCACATAAACATAATTCCCAGGAAGCCAATGTCCACCTCAATTGATTTCAAGCCATAGCTATGGAGAGACTACACAGCAGTTCATTACTGAGTTTCCGTCTCTTCCTTATTCCCAATACGTCTTACGGTCAGTAAGATTTATTTTCCCAAAACACCAATCTTCTTACCTGCTCTCCAATCCTGCTTTAATATTCCCCCTCTCAGTTAATAGTATTTTGATAGGACCATGCTAGTATTTAACAATAGCCTGAATTTCCAGCCTGCATTAGAAATGAACAATGGTGAAATTTCAGGAACCAAGGTAAGCTGCTGTAAGAAATCACTGGAGACAGAATAGTCAGAAAATGAGATTTTTGCCTCATATTACTGTGATCTTCAATAGTTACTCCTAGAACATTTAGATATTTATGTCCTGTGTGAGTCTTCTCCAAAAACTGTAGAAGTAACGTGCCCTTGTTTTACAATGTGAATGGTATTAACTTTGGTGCCCCTGTACAATTGACTCTTCCCCACTAGAATATGGGCCTGGTAATAAAAATCCTATGGTCTTGGCTATTCAGTTTCTCTCTGAATGTTGGCATTTGTTTTGAAACCCATTTTTTTTCTGAATGTAACCAGAGCTGCTATGTTTATGTATAACAACAGGGAGTGAGAGAGATAATGAAGCCAGGATCGATTGCCTAGTAATAGCTGTGATTCCATAGACATTAAACGGTATTTGTAATTTAGGCCCCTAATATGGCGTAATGCCCTATCTTGTGTAGCTATTGATTTTTCAATAGTAGAATAGCCCCAGCAAACCTTTCAGGGCTAAATTTTCCCTGTTATATCTAGCAAAGAACAAAAGGCCCCTTTTACAGGAGCCTAGCCCAGAGAAATGTTTTCTATTCTGAAAGCTTTAAGGGCTCTCTGGTTTATGGACTTAACTTTCCAATGTGATTTCTGCATGCATCTCTTTCTTTGCCTCCTACAAAACTAAAAAATAAAGCAATATTAGGAAAAGGTCTTTTATTATTTAGCAGCTACCAGCAAGGAAGCAACAAGAAGCAACAATGACTTATCACTGACTGCTCTAAGAATGATGTTCTGAAATGACCCATTACTCAAAACAGACATATAGAGCACTGGAATAGAATACGGAGCCCCCAAATAAATCCACATAACTTGTTAACTAACCTTGGATAAGAGTTCCAGGACCATACAATGGGGACTGGATAGTGTCTTCAATAAATGATGCTGGGAAAACTGAAATCCACATTCAGAAGAAAGAAATTGGACTCTTATATCACAACATATATGCAAACTAAATCAAAAGGAATTAAAATTTAAACATAATCCTTGAGGCCATAAAACTATTAAGGAAAACCATAGGGAAAAGGCTTCTTGACATTGTCTGGACAATATTTTTTTTGGTATGACACCAAAAATACTGGTAACAAAAACAGAAGTAGACAAGTGGAAAGACATCAAACTGAAAAGTTTATGCACAGCAAAAGAAACAATCAACAGAATGGAAAGGCAACTTATGGAATGGAAAAAAAAAACCTGCAAACCGTATATTCAATGAGGGGTTAATATCCAAATATATAAAGAACTAACACAACTCAATAGCAACAAAAAAACTGATTTAAAAATAGACAGAAGACCTGAATAGACATTTCTCAAAAGAAGATATATAAATGGCCAAGAGGTATGTGAAAAGGAGCTCAACAACACTAATGATCAGGAAAATGCAAGTCAAAACCACAAATAAGATGTCACTTCACACCTGTTAGGATGGCTCCATTCAAAAAGACAAAAAAGAACAAGTGTGCGCCAGGATGAAGAGAAGAGAGAACTCTTGTATGCTTTGGATAGGAATGTAAATTAGTACAGCCATTCTGTAAAACAATATGGAGATTCCTCAAAAAATTATAAATAAGACTACCATATGATCTACCAGTCTTACTTCTGTGAATATATATCCAAAGGAAATGAAATCAGTATCTCAAAAAGCTCCTTGTACTCTTATGTTCATTGCAGTACAATTCACAATAGCCAAGATAAGGAAACAGCCTAATCGTCCATCAACAAATAAATGGATAAAGAAAATGGTCTAGATAGAGAGCCTTATTTAGCTTTTAAAAATAAGGAAATGCTATCATTTGCAAGTAATATGGATGAACCTGGAGGACATTATGCTAAGTTCAATGAACCAGACACAGAAAGGCAAATACTGCAGATCTTACTTGTATGTGGAATATAAAGTCAAATTCATAAAAGGAGAAAGTAGAACAGAGGTTGATAGGGGCTGGGGTAGAAGAAATAGGAAGATGTTTGTCAAAGGATACCAGTGTCAATTACGAAAGATGAATACTTTCTGAAGACCTAAAGTACAGCAACATAAATATGGTTAACAATAATATGTTTTACTCTTTAAGTTTACTAAGGTTAAATCTTGTGTTCTCATCATACATACAAAAAGAAAAAGACAATAGTAACTATGTAAGGTAATGAACATGTTAAATAGCTACATTGTGGTGACTATTTGACAATGTATAGGTATATCAAAACATCAAGTTATATACCTTAAATATATACTGTTTTTATTTGTCAATTATACCTCAAAAACAGTAGAGAAAAAGTCAGTTAGACTGGATTCAATCAAAAGAGTGCACATAGCAAGAAGAGATGATTTGAACAAAATAATACTAATTTTTTTGTCACTGCTTTGTCTAACAACTTTCCAAGAGTAATCTACCCTAAAGGTCTCCACCACCTTTCAGGAATATATCCACAATCTTGGAAAAATAATTTTCATAGATTAAAGATAACCATTACTTTTCATTCTTTATAGATTGAGTAAAATTTGAAAACATTGCTATACTACATTTCTTTTGTAAAAGAAGAGGCAATAAAACCAATGATTTAAGAATCGTGTGTAAATATCAAATGGTAACTATAATTAGATGACATTTTTAGAACAAGAATAAGAGAATGAAGAATTGTAATAATCCATAACCAATCAGCAAATAAATAAGCAAATGTATATTTATTATTACAACAAATAAGCAAAGACACACACACACGCAAACAAACGTATAAACATGACTGAGACCTTTCTAGAATAACCCAGCAACTGCCAGGGCTTCAGAAAGCATGAAGCATGAAGACAGACTGCAATTTATTACAGGTTAAATGTTGCTGAAGGGTGACCTTTTAACCAGATCATCCTCCACTATGTTACTCCCGATGAGTTTTTCAGAGCTATGCCCCTTTTCTGTAATTTCAGAGTTCCAGGCCATATTCTTATTCTGAAATGATATTACCTATCCTTGAATAGCTTGATTAGCTCTATTCTCCATAGTACTATAACCACAGAACTCAAGCTTTTGGCTTTCACCTTAGATTTGTTTAGATAAATACTATCAAGGCCAATCAATGACTGAATAATAAGTAGTTCTCACTGCTGCATTCATGCTGGCCTTATTTTGTGTTTCCCTAAATGTTGTTTACACACTGCTATAAAGAAATATGTGAGGCTGGGTAATTTATAAAGAAAAGAGGTTGAATTGGCTCATTGTTCTACAGGCTGTACAAGCATGGCACCAACATCTGCTTGGCTCCTGGCGAGGGCCTCAGGAAGCTTACAATTATGGCAGAAGGTGACGTGGAAGCAAGCACATCACATGATGAGAGCAGGAATGAGGGAGAGAGAGCAATAGAAGAGGTGCCATACTCCTTTAAACAACTAGCTCTCAGATGAACTAACTAAGCAAGAACACACTCATCACCAAGAGGATGGCACTAAGCCATTCATGAGGGATACACCCCCATGATCCAAACACCTCCCACCTGGCCTCATTTCCAAAATTGAAAATCACATTTCAACATGAGATTTGGAGGGGACAAACATTCAAACCATTTAATTCCACCCCTGACCCCCCTTGATCATTAATATTGAGTGTCAACTTGACTGGGTTGAAAGATGCAAAGTATTGTTCCTGGGTGTGTCTGTGAGGGTGTTACCAAAGAAAATTAACACTTGAGTCGGTAGACTTGGAGAAGCAGACCCACCTCAACCTGGATGGGCACCATCTAATCAGCTGCCAGCACAGCTAGAATAAACCAGACAGGAGAAGATGGAAGAGCAGACTTGCTGAGTTTTCCAGCATTCATCTTTCTCCTGTGTTGGATGCTTCCTGCCCTTGATTATCAGACTCCAAGCTCTTCAGCTTTTGGACTCTTGGACTTACACCAGTAGTTTGCCAGGGGCTCTCAGGCCTTTGGCACAGACTGAAGGCTGCACTGTCAGCTTCCCTACTTTTGAAGTTTTGGGACTCGGACTCATCCACCACTGGCTTCCCTGCTCCTCAGCTTGCAGATGGCCTATTGTGGGGCTTTACCTTGTGATCATGTGAGTCAATTCTCCTTAATAAACTCCCTTTCATATATACATATATCCTATTAGTACTGTCCCTTTAGAGAACCCTGACTAATACACCATCGAAATCGTATGTTCTTCTCACATTTCAAAATAAAATTATGCATTTGCAATAGTCCCCAAAAGTCATAACCCATTTCAGCACTAACTCAAATGCCCCAAGTCCAAAGTCTCATCTAGAGATGAGTTCCTTTCACCTATGAGCCTGTGAGATCAAAAATAAGTTATTTACTCCCACATATAACGTGGCACATTCCTATTCCAAAAAGGAGAAATTACCCAAAAGAAAGGGTCAATAGGCCTCACACAAGTCTGAAACCCAACAGATTGTCATTAAATCTTATACCTCCTAAACAATCTTCTTTGACTTCTGTCACACATCCTGGTGTGAGAAGTGGGCTTCCAAGGCCTTGAACAGTCCCCCACCATGTGGCTTTCCTAGATTCATACCCTGTGGCTGCTATCATAGTTTGGTGAGTGCTTGTGGCTTTTCCACACTGAGGTTGCAAGCTGCCGGTGGCTCTATTATTTTCAGGTCTAGAGGGTTGTGGCCCCCTTCCCACAGCTCCACTAGGCAGTGCCATGGTAAGGACTAGTGTGGGTGATCAAACACCATCTTCGTCCTCTGCACTACCCTAGTAGAATTTCTCTGGCAGGGGGTTGGTGGGGGAGCTCCACCCATGTGGCAGGCTTCTGCCTGATCACCCAGGCTTTTCCATACATCCTGTTAAATCTAGTTGAGAGTTGTCAAGCCTCTTTCACTCTTGCATTCTGTGTGCCTGCAGGCTTAACACCATGTGGAAATTGTGAAGGCTTACAGCAGCTTGTGCTCTCCAGATTGTATCTGGGACACTTGTACTTTCCCTAGCTGTATCTGTGGCTCACTGAGCCATGACTAAAGCTGGAGCAGTTGGGATGCAAGGAGCAGTGTCCCAAATCTATGAATAGCAGTGGTTCCCCTGGCCTGGTCACTGGAACCATTCTTTCCTCCTAGGCCTCTGGGCCTGTCATGAGAGGGGCTGCCTTGAAGACTTCTGAAATGCCTTCAAGCCCTATTCTCATTGTCTTGAATATTAGCACTTGGCTCTCTTTTAGTCATACTAATCACTTTAGCAAAGTAGTTTTTCCATAGGCTGCTTGGATTCTTTCTCTACTACAGGGCTAGGCTGAAAATTTTCCAAACTTGTACACTCTGATTCCCTTTTAAATGTAAGTTCTAAGTTTAAGTCATTTTTTTTTGCTCCCGTATCTGATCATAGGCTTTTAGAAGCAGCCAGGCCACATCTTTAACACTTTGTTGCTTAGAAATTTCTTCCCCCAGATACCCTAGGTATACCCTACTTGCTAAAGCGATTCTGCAGCTTTGCAGAAAGCATGGTGCTGACATCTGCTTCTGGTGAGGGTCTCAGGAAGCTTACAATCATGGAAGAAGGCAAAGAGGCAGCAGATGTGTCACATGGCAAGAAGGAGAAAGTGGGGCAAGGTGCCACACACTTTTAAACAACCAGATCTCACATGAACTCACAGCTGGAACTCACTCATCACCAAGGGGACGGCATAAGCCAAGAGATCTACCTCTATGATCCAAACCCCTCCCACAAGGCCCCAGCTCCAACACATGGGATCATATTTAAACATGAGATTTGGAGGGTACAAACACCTAAATCACGTAATTCCATGTCCTATTTTAGTTAAGCTTTTATTTTCTCATAAACCATATTTTACAAACCCAAAGACTACAAGGAAAATATCAATTTGCATTCTGACACCACTACTGGCATACTCTGTGACTTTGGGCATGTCCATGTAACATTGATGAGCACAGTTTTCTCTTCTGTAGCAAGCACTCCTCTGCCTAATTCATATGACTAAAACAGTGCTTCTCAAACATATGGTCTCAGGAACCCTTTAAAATCTTAACAACTAGTAATGACCCCAAAAAGGTTTTTTATAATATGAATTTTATATATAAATATTTTATTGGAAGTCCACTTTTATGAAAATAACCTTTTTTCAAAAATTTCATAAGAAAAAAATAGTATTATTTTACATATTTGAGGCATCTTTTTAATGCCTGGTTTAATAGAAGACAATTGAATATTCATGTCAACTTCTGGATTCGATCTGTTTCAATATGTGTCTTTGGTTGAAATACATGAAGGAAACTTGGGATCATCAGACATATAGTTAGAAAAGGGTGGAGTATTTTAACAGCCTTTTTGGACAACTGTGGACATTGTGCTTTGATATTACAACAAAACTGGAGAAGTGGTAGGTTCTAAATGATTAGTTGCAACATGGAATCTGAAACCACATCATGAACTATTTGTAATCTGGCATATTAAGATCTATTTATCTATCTTGCACTTTGAATGGATCCTTTGCTCATGCATCTTTTTGTAACATGAATCATCTCAAACACGTTGGTTCATTGAGTTATGCAGGGCTTCAAAATGTTAACATATTTCATTATACAATATTAAAAATCACATTTGTTAATATGATGATGGTTCTCATTAACGGAATCTTTAAATTTTGAAAAGCTGTCAAACTCATGGTGGTAGACACAAGTTTTACAAATTTTAATATTTATCAGAAAACTTGAATTTTATTATTGGCAAAGAAAGCTGTTAGTTGTTGTCCTTGATGAAACAGGCTCACTTTATTTTCATTCATTTTGAAGGAAACATTTGCTAAATACCCAAGCTTGAGCAGTCATTGTATGGCAGTTGTTCCTTGAAATAAAAATCCTGTTTTTTGATAAAAGCAGCTAGTTCAGCTTGCAGCTCAAAAATTGTACTAGTGCTTTTCCTTGAGAAAACCACCATACTTCGGTATGGAAAAGAAATATTTTATGCCTGCAGTTTCCAAGCTGTGTGCCAGAGCACCCCCTAAAGCACCAACAAAAACTCACAGGAGCACCACAGGGTACTTAAAAATTTCAAGGGAGACACGGCATCATTTAGCAAATACTGGGCAATCTACTAGCTAGAGGTAGTTCAGTTTCAACATTAGATCGCACCACATCCCTTTTAAGGATGCCATAGAATTGCCAAGTTGCATTTTCTGCAGTTGCTGTGATAAAAAGCAAGTTACTACTAGAAAATCAAAGTGCAACAGGACATGAAGGCAGCTTCAATCTGATTCCAAGGTTTGAGAAATTTGGGCAGTGACCAACAAACACGTTCCATTAGTAATTGACTTCTAGAATGACATAACATTATTTTTTCAAATGGCTACTAAGTGGAAGACAGTAATATTGATCATCCTAACCATGTATAGGCCTAGGATAACATGTATGTCTTAGTTTTTCACAAAAAATTTAAAAAGTAAGAAAATTTAAAAAATTAAAAATAGAACATAAGGTATAGATTAAGGATATAAAGAAAATATGTTATATATCTGTATACTACATTTCTGTATTAAGCTATGTGTTATTTACAAAGACTCAAACAGTTACAAAAATGTAAAAGTTTATAAGATAAAAAAACTGACAGCAAGCTAAAGTTAATTTATTATTGAATAAAAAATAATTTATAAATTTAGTGTGGCCTAAGTACACAGTGTTTATAAAGTCTACAGTAATGTACAGTGAATGTCCTAAGCCTTCACATTCATTTACCACTCACTGATTGAGTCAACCAGACCACCTTCCAGTTCTGCAAGCTCCATTTATGGTAAGTGCTGTATACAGGCATATCATTTTTATCCTTTACATCATATTTTTACTGTAACTTTTCTATGTTTAGATACACAAATACGTACCATTGTGTTCCAACTACACACAATATTCAGTAGAGTAACAAGCTGTGCAGATATGCAGCCTAGGAGCACTAGGCTATACCATGCAGCCTAGGTGTGTAGTAGACTATACTATCTAGGTTTGTGTAAGTATACTCTATGATGTTTGCACAATGATAAAATTGCCTAATAATGTGATTCTTAGAGTGTACCCCTGTTATCAAGTGATGCATGACTGTACTTAATAAATACAACTGGTAGGATAGGTTGTGTTCTGAATTTTCTTTGGTATAGGGGCCAAAATAAAAAAAAAAAAAACAATCACTAAGGCACTATGGAGAAAGCTTGGGAACCTATTATTTATGTGTGCTTTCTATTTAATCACACAGAATATTAAACAGGTATGTACCCAAGGGTTGAGATAGTTAATGAAAGTAATATGTTTTGCCATTTCATCAAAGATCCTCTTAAGCAAAATTGTCTCCTTTTTTCCCCCTGAGTATTTGGTGTTGAAAAACTACAATAACTACTAGAATAGTTTGGCGCCATTGCCTTGATTCATGCTTTTAACTAAATTGTTTTTCCTTTACCAGTAAATGTCAACAAGTGAAAAAGGCAAATAATTATTCAGTGTTGTTATGAAAATAGTTTTGACCTTACAGAACTATTGAAAAAGGGACTCCTAGGGATCTGTTTACCATATTTTGAAAACCATTAAGTTAAAGGAATGATTAAATATAATCACTGTGATGATGCTTCACATAATGCAAATTGCTGGACAAATTCTACTTATTAATTCCTTGCCTCTCTTTTATCTTATTGCATGAGTCTCTGCCTTAGAAACCAGTGGCCAAATTCTCGGTTTGTGAAGCTGTTCTTTGTTCGTAGTTCTTCTCAGAAGAAACTGTCTCTTCTTGAACTCTAGTCCCAGGCTTCTTGCAAGCTACTGACAGTGGTTCTGGTTTTTTTTTTTTTTTTTTTTTTTCATTTTGTCACTCTCAGACTCCTGTCAACTTAATCCACTCAATGAAGCAGTAATATTGGTTTCAAATAACAGAATATGATATTGGATAATACAGGCACAAAAGAAACTTATTGAAAAGAAACGAGGTAGTTTACAAAACTGACTATAAGGCTGGCATGCCAGGCACAGGTATAAACCAAGGTAGGAAAAGAAGAGCCAAGATCAAGCCCAAGATAACTGCATTTGAAATGTCACTGCTGCTTCTAAACACTCACCCTCTCATCACTGAATTCTCGACTCCACCACAGCTGCCACACACAGATAACCTCTGACAGACTTTACACCTCTGTGTAATTCTCTCAAGATTCAATTCTCTGAGTGGGAACAAGTGATTGACTGTAGTTTAGCCATGGACCCATTCTCCAGCTGTCAGGAGACAGGGAGAATAAGTAGCTTTCCCTTTTCAACTTCTGACTCCTATCTATATAGATCTTTAACCAAAATAGACAGCAGGATGTTTGGTGCTGAGCCGTTAAATTGACAAATGTCAATACTATTCACTCTTTTAATGAACAGTATTTAAACACACACTTCTCACTTACAATTTTTAAGAATGCTTAACCTATCAAAAAAAATTCCCTAAGGAGATATATTTTTTAAAAAAATCAGTAATTCCATCTGGCTACAAGTTCAACATACCTGGTGACATCTGTTTCTCCTATCGGTATTTCTTTGTGATTATGCCATAATATTCTGAATCTACCACCCTCTATCCCTTATCAAATAGTTTGGGGGAATTTGAGGACAAAAAAGATACTAATTAAGTTACATACTTATTTAATTAAGCCATAAAGAAAGAAAACATATGTCGATTCAATAGTACGTAGCTGTGCAACTGATGACTTTATTGTAGTTGATATTTATGATTTTTCTTTGCATATATGTACTTCTTATATTTTTCAAGTCCAGCAAGTACTTTTAAGTTCATTAAAGGCAATCTGCAGGTAAGTGTCTCAAACTTTTATTCCTGATAGACCTGAGAATGGGAGGTTCTGATTATATAGGACTGAAGTGGTTTACCATTACCTTTTAACAGCAGTAGTACAAGGAGATGTTCCATGTTTCAGGGGAATTCTCTGTATGTCGTTCATAATCTTTATTACTCCCATTAGGTAGCAACGACTGTGTTTTCCCTGGAGAGGTAGACTCAATCACACTAGCCAACACTATAATCCCTGTTTTGGCTTGTTTTCTTAGTGATAAGAGGAGCCTGACTTGATCAAGTGAAAATCTAGGAGTCTAGTTCAATGGAACTGTTATTGTGTCCCCTGATAAATGCATTCTTCCTTTGGCATTAAAATCTGTAAACCAGTAGAGCCAAGAGTAACAGGGATGGAAAGCAAAAAGTATGCAAGTGATTAATTAGATGGAATTATGACAGGTACCATTTTCAATTCCATCTCTTATTTACCTATTCTGTAATTTATAGCTGTGGGAGAATTAGCACCACATATTGACTGCTGGTTTAGAACATATACTGTATCCAGAAGGACAGAAGTTGTTTTTCTAGCTAGCACCGTAACTGATCTTTGATGGCTCATTCCACTGTAGGATAGATAGGCTAGCTTCTTCAAGATGAAGGGTTACATTTACGCATTCATTCAATGTCTTTTTTTTAAACTATACAGTAAATTCACTTAAAAATAAATACTGTATAATTTACTGTCTTACTCCTTTTGGACTGCTGTAACAAAATATCAGCCTGGCTAATTTATAAACCATAGAAGTTGTGTTTTTCACAAAATTTGTTTTCTAGAGGCTTAAAGTCAAGGGGCAAGGGATGGGCAAATATGGTGTCTGTTGAGAGTTGCTTTTTGCTTCTAGTGTGGAGACCTTCTGCTCTGCCCTCAAGTGGTGGAAGGGCAAAATAAATTAACTCTGTGTCATTACACGATAGAAGAGAAGGACAGGCCAGGAAGCTCTCTGAAGACTCTTTATAAGGTCTTATTCATGACCTTATAAAGATTATTAAGTCATGCTCTTACGACTTAATTACCTCCTCAAGGCCCTACCCTTTAAAACTATCACATTGGTGATTAAATTTCAACCTATGAATTTGAGCGGACACAGTCATACCACAGCATTCTGCCCTGGCCCCCAAAATTTATGTTCTTCTCACATGCAAAATGCATTGTCCAGAGTCTCATCTAAATCAGATTCACATGAGACTCAAGGTACAACTCACCTTGATGAAAATTGTTCTCTAGCTGTGAACCTGTAAAATCAAACAAAGTATGTACTTCCAAAATGCAATTTTGAGATAGGCATAAGATAGACACTGCTATTCCAAAAGAGAGAAATAGAAAATTTAAAAAAGGCTAATACGTCCCAAGTAACTCCACAACTCAACAAGGCAAGTAAATAAATAAATAAAGATTGAGGCTTGAGAATAATCTTTGACTCCATGCCCTGCCTTTTGGACACAATGGGACAAGTGTTGGGCTTTGCTGGGCACAGCCTATGCAGCAGGTCTTGGGTTGGAGTTGGGTGCCTGTGGCTCTCCAAGGATGGCATTGTATGCTGGTGGCTCTACAGGTCTGGGACCTTGGGGATAGCCCTGCCCCCATGGCTCCACTAAATATTGCCCTAGTGAGGGTTTGTGGAGGTGGCCCCTCCCATAGCTCTGCTGGGCATTGCCCTAGTGAAGAGTTCACAGTGTCCCTGCTACCCTGGATTTACCCCAATACGGGCTTTCTGTAGTGGCTCCATCCCATGGACCTGCTGGGCATTGCCCTAGTGGGGGTTTTCTGCAGAAGCCCCACTCCTGTGGCAGTTCTTCACTGAGACCCAAAGCTCTCTGAGGTAGCCTTTAAAAGCTAGATGGAAGTAGCCATTTCTCCAGAGTTTTTGTACTTTGTATACTTGCAGAGTTGGCATCATGCAGATGCCACCATGGTTTATCGCTTGTGACTTCTGGAGAGACAGCCTGAGCTACATCTGGACCCTCTGTAGCCACAGCTGGGGATGCCAAGGATCACATGCACTGGAATGCAGAAATATAAGACTTGAGGTGGTTCTGGGCAGCAAGTCCCAAGTTCTGGTGGACTCCCTGAACCCCTTCTTTAAAATATTTCTGCCTTCAAGGCCCTGGAACTCTGAATCTGTGATTAAAGTGACAGCATTTCGAAGATTTCTGAAATGCTTTGGGGGTCTTTCTTCCACTGTTATGATGAATGTCAGCTGGCCTGTTTACATTCATAGTAATCTTCTTATCCAACTTTCACTTTGCCACATCCTTGGTATTGTCTCCCAAGCATGTTTTTTTGTTTTCTTACATGGTTAGGCTGAAAGTTTTTCAAATATTTAAGTACTACTTATATTTTGATTATGAATTTAATTTATTATTTTTTTTTTATTTTGAGACAGAGTCTCACCCTGTCACCCAGGCTGGAGTGCAATGGCATGATCTCGGCTCACTGCAACTTCCACCTCCCAGGTTCAAGCAATTCTCCTGCCTCAGTCTCCTAAGTAGCTGGGATTACAGGCACACGCCACCATGCCCGGCTAATTTTTTGTAACTTTAGTGGAGACAGGGTTTCACTATTTGAGCAGGCTGGTCTCAAACTCCTGACCTCGTGATCTACCCGCCTCAGACTCCTGAAGTGCGGGGATTACAGGCATGAGCCACTGCGCCCAGCCTGAATTTTATCTATAATTCATTTCTGTCTTCCTATGTTTTACTCCAAACAACCAAGAGAAGCCGTACAGCTCCTCAACCCCTTGCTTAGAGATTTCTTCCACCAAATATCCTAGTTTATCACTTGCAAGTTCTCCTTTCCACAAAGCACTGGGAAATTGGCACAATTCAACCAAGTTCTTAAGTAATCTTTAAGAAGACTAAGGCTTTCCCTACAACCCTCTTCTTCTTCTGAACCCTCAAACGAATCTTTTTTAACTCTCTGTTCATGGAAATGTAGGCTTTTTCTATCATTCACTTCTAAATTCTTTCTGACTTTACCCATTACCCAATTCCAAAGCTGCTTCCACAATTTTATGTATTTGTTACAGCAGAATGCTACTCCTGGTACCAATTTCTGCCTTAGTTTTACTTCAGACTGCTATAACAAATACCACAGCCTTGGTGATTTATAAACAATCAAAAATTATTTCTCATAGTTCTGGAGGCTGAGGAGTCCAAGATAAAGACATAGGCAGATCTGGTGTCTGATGAGGACTACTCTCTGCTTTCAAGATGGCACCTTCATGCTGTGTCCTAAAATGACACAAGGGCAGAAGAGATAAATTCTGTGTCCTTACATTGCAGAAGAAATGGAAGGGCCAAGCAGCCCTCTGAAACATCTTTTGTAAGGTCACTAATACCATTCATGAGAGTTCCACCCTTATGACTTAATCACCCTCTAAAGGGCTTAACCTCTTAATACTATCATATCAGTGATGAGGTTTCAACATATGAATTTTGGGAGACACATTTAGAAGATAGCATTACCATATATGAGAGACCAAGATGTTACAAAAAACATACAGTAAGCCCTTGAAGTACTGACGAAACTGAACTAAGAGACAAGCAGGACTTATTTTCTGGTCCTGACAGGATGAAGTAAAGAAATGCAGAAGCCACCAGGGGTTGCTGAAAACACCTCTAGTTGTCCTCACTGCCCATTAGCATAAGACGCTCCCAGCAGTTCCATGACAGTTTACAAATGCCATGGCAATGACCTGCAAGTTACCTCCCCTTTCTATGGCAACAACCGGGAAGTGACACCCTTTTCTAAAGATTTCTGAAATAACCCACCCCTAATTTGCATGTAATTAAAAATGGGTATACATACTGCTGCCAACAGCCCATATCCTGCTGACCCTGGGCACATTGCCTAGGAGTTAGCACTGCTCCACAAGGAACAGCTCTGGTTCAATAAAAGATTGTTGTCTAATACCACTGGCTCGCCCTTTAATTCTCTCCTGGGTTAAGCCAAGAACCCTCCCAGGCTAAGCACCGATTTCAGGACTCACCTACCTGCTTGCATCATCCGGTGACCACAAAGATAATGAAGACGTCAATATGGCAAAGATGCCAATATGGCGATCAGCCATCAGTGAGATGGCAAGACAGCAGTTGGCTAGACAGTGAGAGATGGTGAGAGGGCAATCAGCTAGATACCCAGAGATGGTGAGATAACAATTGGCTAGACGGTGAGAGATGGCAGCAGTAACAATAAAGAGGTGCTAACACTGCAGAGCTGTAACACTAACCAAAGGCTCTTTGAAGAGCCATTATCTTTCCTGACAGGCTGTGGGGCCAATTGGATGGGTGAGCAGCCACAATGCTGCCTCCTGTGAGACCCACCAATCCAGTGGGTTGTTCACAGGACCACGGGCTGGTCCCCTCACAGCAGCCAAACCTACCCAAGCTGGGGGAACCTGGGGAAGACCTCCACCTTAGCCCGAAGTTGGAGAATGATCAGTGACATTTTGGCTCCTGTGGACTGGTGAGTGTCCCCTCTACCCCCACCAATATCAGGTGAGCCAAGATATTAGGGGCTCTGGCTAGGTAGTCAATTCAAAGTCCCCTGTAGCGTGCCTGACCAACTATATCCTTTGTCGTCCCTTCTCTTGGTCCTTTCTTCTCCAAAGCCATTACATTTTTCTGTCAGTCATTTTATTTCATTTTCTTTTCTGCTCTGATATTTATGTTTTGATTGCAGGAATTTTTTTTTCTGGCTTTAGCTCCCTGATAGTTTTATTTGGGTAATTATTTAAGCAGGACACCAGGTTGTAAGAGATCCCCAATTGTGTTGACTCTGGAATACCAGAGTCATATTGCTGTGTGGCCCCAATCAAGTGTTTGGGGTTCACTCATGGCTGTCCCCTGGATGTTTCAGGGTTTTCAGCATGGTCAGCCCCTAAATACTACAGGATTTTTGTCATTTGGTTTGAGGACACTCATTGACTGATATTCAGGTGCTCCAGGTTTCTTGGCACTGAGTATCTTTGGCTGCCCCCAGATGCTCCAGAGTTCTCAGCATTTGCATTCCTTCTTGGATTGTAGGTTAGAGGCCCACTTGAGAGGAATCCCAGGCTTGTCTTTTCCTGATTTCTGCCCTAGAGTTTCATCACTCTATTTTCACTTTTCCTTTTATACTTTGCCTAGTAAAAATATCTCTTTTGTCATATTTCATTTGCTGGCAAGCACAGTACTCTAATGCCTGCCTGTATCTCACAATCCATTTTTGTAGCACTTTGCTACCTATACTTACACCTTCTCTGCAGGAGGTAAAAATCTGAAAGAGAAGAATAATGAGAGCCCAGTTGCTTTTCCTCTTGCTAGACTTAGAAAAACTTCTGTGTCTCGAAAAGATACTTGTTACACACAAGGACAATGGCAAGCATCCCAGAGGATTCACCATTAGGGTGTCTTCTGGGTAACTGGAGCAAATTCAAATTAGGCTTAAAGAAAACAAACTCATTTTCTAGTGTAACACCATTAGTGTGCAGTACACATTGGGAGACCAAAAAATTTATTCTAAAAATGGTTCTTCATGTCAAAATACTATTTGACAGTTGGACTTATTTTATTTAAAAAAAAAAGGAAAATCAGGAAGGTACCGTCTGTACAGACTTTTATGGCCTTTTACTGGCTTATGTTACTGCCAGGCACCCAGAAGCAACACCTAAGGGATCTGCTTCTAGCTGCTCCCTGTAGAAGGCCTACACCCTCCTCAGAGTCTCCTCAGTCCTCCAATCCTGAAGGGGGGTCCCATTAGTTCTATAATGCAGGATTCCACCCCTAGATCATCAGGCATCCCTCCCTCTTATCCAACTAGCCCCAGCCTATACCCCTTGTTTCTCAAAGAAGTAGCCCAATCAGTACCACCAGGAGTGGGGCCCCATATCAGCCCCTAAAATTAAATCTGTGTCCATTGCAGGAGGTAGCTAATGGAGATGCAGGAACACTTTGAGTACAGATGCCATTTTCTATGTCTGATTTGGCTTTATGTGAGGAGAAATTTGGCCAGTTTTCAGAGAATCCAGGAAGTTTATAGAAGAGTTTGTTAAGTTGGCCATGTTCTTTGATTTAACTTGGCATGAATTGCCAGTATTGACATCTAATTGTTGTGCTGTGGAGGAAAAGTGGAAGATTCTGAGTGCAACCTGTGAACGTGCAGATGGAGTGGCCACATGTAACCAAGTCCATTCCAATGATCACATGAGAAGAGATGCATTTCCAGATCTAGACCCTCCTTGAAATAACAAAGGGGGTTCCCAAGATCTTGAACACAGAAATTACATGGTTACTTATTTAATAGAAGATATAGAAAAGTGTATGATTAAGCCAGTTAATCATGACAAGGTTAGAGAAGTAACTTAGAGAAAGAATAAAAATCCCACTCTGTTTCAGCACCATTTGGTTGAGGTACTTAGGAAATATACTAATGCAGACCCAGATTCCCTGGAAAGGCAAGCTCTCCTGGGTATGCATTTTATTACTCAATTTGCCCCTGACATTAGGAGAAAGCTACAAAAACCAGTAGTGGACCCCAAACTCCTATAAGCCAACCATTAAACTTGGCCTTTTTGGTTTTACAGCAATAGATAATAGCAAAAAAGTGGGAAAAAATAGAAAATGTAATAGGTAGTGGCTGCTTTAAGCCCCCTGCCACCTAGGGTTACCCATTCTGAAGTGGTGTCACAAGATCCATATCGGAGATGCCCAGATGAGAGCCCCCAGCTTGACAGCCCCTGGGCCAGAATCAGTGTGCCTACTCTGAACAAGAGGGCCACTGGCAATGAGAACATCCTAACTATTCTTGATGAGAAATGGAGAAAGCTCTCCATCAATACTAGAGCTAAACTTTTTCCATTTACCCCCAATGTGTTGCCTTGCTCAAGTAAAAATACTTGGGGGTCCTGGAACCTTGATCCAACAGATAGTTTCCTATACTGGTAGACAAGCAGCCACCCAAACATTTTCCTTCAGTATCTCCATTACTGGGTGAACTCTCTGGTAGCTCACCCAGAGAGGTCACCCCTTAAGCAACATAGTTTGCCCCTTCCCTTTCTCATTTAATACTACAGGATCCCCCTTCTCTGCCTCTGCTTGTCTTTCATAGCTATCATGGCACACAAAATTTGGCCAGATAGACAGGTCCCAATTATGTAAATAATTTGGACGCAGCTATCTTGTATAGGTAGCTTTATGTGTTTCTGTTTATGTGTACACACAGGTATTGTGATATGTGTTGTGTCTCGTATGCTATCAAATGACTTATACATAAAAGGGTGCACATAAACAAAACAAATAAGATTAAATGCTTCTCAGGCACATGTGACTTGGTAATCTTTGGGTAAATGAGCCTTGTATAAGATTATTAGTTTGATGGGAATGTTGTGTCTTTTACAGTTTAACTTTAAGACTCTTACCTAGGTGAACCACTAATGTTCACAGGCTTTATAATGGCTAACAGAAAAGTGGCTTTACATAGTGATTGGTTTTATATGGTCTTTTAGTTATAAAATAAAAAATGAACCAGCGCATTGAAAGACAGATGTGAAGAAAGTTAAAGAATATAAAGATGTATTCTTGGTAAGAAAGCATATAAAAAGTAATGTTATATGAGGAAAAATCCGGTATGGTAAATTCTTGTCCTAGAATAAAATGACTGGCTATTTAAGGAAGAGGTAGTGTAAGACAAGTCAGAAAGTCCAAGCATGTCATAGATAGTCTATATGAATTGTGATAATGTTTGTAAAGATGAATTCACGAAAAATAATTGTGTGTAATTAGCTATAATTAACAAAGAATTATTTATAATAGTCTTCCTAAAAACAGTCTTCATATTAAAACAAGATTTTAAGTTATTGATTTCCTGTACAATTCTGTAAACTGTTTCTTTAAAAACGTTCTCCAATTTATATCTCAGAGGTTCAATTGTTGCTTTATCTCACTGCTATCAATTTTTTCTCCTTTTGATAAAGACTGAGCTATAACTCTCTTGAGCTTTCGTCAGCACTTGTAACTTTTTCTCCTCTGGTTCTAACTGTTGTTATAACATGATGATAAAATATTTTATCTTGGAGTTCTATAAAAACAATGTTTTCCCCCAGTATAACTTGACCTTTTTCATATGTCACCTTATTTTTGGTTTTTGGTTTTTCAATCTTTTATTTCTTTAAAAAAGTTTATAAGGAGTAATGACTGCCTTCCCACCTCCATTTCAATCTGGTCTAAAATGTTTAATTTGCTATAGAAACCAAAAATCTTGGCCAGGTGTGGTGGCTCACATTTGTAATTCTAGCAATTTGGGATGCCAAGGAAGGTGGGATATTTTAGGCCAGGAGTTCTAGACCAGCCAGGGCAACATGCCAAAGCCCTGTTTCTACTAAAATTACAAAAATTAGCCAGGTCCTGTAGTGCACACCTGTGGTCCCAGCTACTCAGGAGGCTGATGGAGAAGGATTGCTTGAGTCCAAGGGGTGAAGGTTGCCATGAGCCAAGATTGCACCACTGCACTCCAGCCCAGGCAACAGAGCCAAACCTTGTCTAAAAAACAATACAAAACAAAACAAAAGAACCTAAAAACCTAATTTGGGTCATGATGACAAACAGGGTGATGGACATACTTCACTTGTGTCCCTTTTAGAATTTAGGCCAGGTTCAAAAGGTCTTTCAAAAATATAAAAATAAAATATTGCCATTTCCCCCAAAGAAAAAGAATATCTCCCCTGTTGAACCAGGAGACGTAGTCCTATTAAAAACTTGGAAAGAAGGATCCCCTGAGGATTAATTTCACCTGGTTACCTATATATAACCAGGGAACTGACCTCAACTATGTCTAGTCCACTATCAAAAGTGTCCTCCCAAGTCTCACCTGTTTTTTTACCCTTCCTGGGACCTGTGATAGCTATCTTTTTACTATTATTTTTTGCCCCTTGATTGTTTAACCTCCTTGTGAAGTTTGTATTTTCTAGAGTACAGCAATTCCATGTAAAGACAATTCTAGCATACGACTTCCAACTCATCCTGTCTTTTGACTTAGAGAATGAAAATATCCTGTCCTTGGGGCCCTTATATCAGGTATCTAGAGATTTTTACTCATCCAATCAGGCAGGGCCTATGTCCGTAAAGTCAGCAGAAAGTGGTTACAGAAGATGGGGTCCCACCCTTTTGTAGCTTCCTTAAGATTAAAGAAGAGTATCTAATCTCTGAGGGGGAAATGAGGTAGGAGACTGACAGGACTTATTTCCTAGTCCCAACAGGATACAGTGAATAAATTGGCAGGATTCAGCCGATGGTGCTAAAGGCAACCTCTAGTTGTCTTTGCTGTTCATTGGCATAAGACAGTCCCACCAGTGTCATGAAAGTTTACAAATGCTATGGCAACAGTCTGCAAGTTACTTCTTATTTCCATGGCAATGACCTAGAAGCTACCACCCCTTTTCTAGATATTTCTGAATAACTCACCCTCTAATTGCATGTAATTAAAAGTTTCTATAAATAGGTATACACATAGTTGCCAACTGCCCATAAACTGCAGACTCTGAGCACACTGTGTATGAATTATTCCTTCTCTGCAAAGAGTAGCTCTGGTTCAATAAAGTTTACTATATAACACCTCTCACTCTTGAATTCTTTCCTGAGCAAAGCCAAGAACCCTCCCAGGCTAAGCCCCAATTCCCAATTTTGGGGCTCACCTGTCCTGCATCATAACCATAAGATACAGGGAATGCATATCAAGAGAGTTAAAGGTTTATTCTGGTGAGTACTGCTTCTTTCATGATTGGGGTCAAATATAAACACAAAATCTACTACTAGGTATCTGCTCCTGTAAGAACAGGGTAAACCTCCTGGGGCTCAGAATTGATTGCTGCTAATGAAAAATTTGACACTCAGTGGTAGAGGAAGACAGATTTGAAGTGCAGTTGTGAACACATAAACAGACTCCATCCTTGCCTCTATAACCACTTAGTTGAACCTATTGGGAAGCTGCTTGGATGGCTAAAGAATGGGGCTGGACCTACATCTATTCCATTTAGATAGTAAATTTCTCTTCTGGAGTGGTTTCCTTTCTGTTGGTTGATTTATTTTACTTTGGTTTTGGTCATCCCCATAGACAGTCTTACATTTTAAGCCTACTTTGGAAGATTTCTCCATGTGTCTTCTGGCTAGATAATTAGCCACTGCTAATAAACTTCTAATAGCTTATTACTTCAAGTCATCTCTTCTCCAAGGAAATGAATTTTGAGATATATTACCAATTTTCTACTCAGTGGGAAGAATATCTCCTCACTCCTCTGCAATATCCTCCCTGAGTGAGACAAGAACACTCTTTAGACCACTTCTGGTTATACCAATCTTCTGTGCAGAGCCATGGATAAACCAGGCTTGATTTATTTTCCTCTTGAATGAGATATTTACAGTTAATTTTCCAGGTGACCATAGATGTAAGCTGAAGGGTGACATAATCCTGACATGTAAGACAATGGGAATATGAAATAACTTATGCAATTTACTTGCAAAATCAGAACATGCATGAGCAGTTATGTAAATACATTTCCAATTGGTAATGGACAGCTGCTAGGAACTCTCAATTTTACATCAAAGTGAACCAGAAAACAGTCAAGACATAATAGGAAAACTACTTAGTAGAATTACCTGATGACTCATAACCAGGCATCTGCATCTAGTCAACAGGTTGGCAAACTTCTGAAAGGGGCTACATAGTAAATATTTTAGGTTTTGGGGACTAGACAGTCTAACAGCCTAAAGTCAATTCTACTATGGTAGTGTGAAAGCAGCTATAGACAATAGGTAACTGAATGAGTATCGTCGTGTTGTAATAAAACTTTATTTACAGACACCACAATTTTAGTTTTATGTAATTTTAAGATATTATAAAATATTGTTCCACTTTTTATTTAATCCTTTACAAATATGAAAACCATTCTTAGCTCACAGGCTACATAAAAACAGGCCAGATCGTCTTGGGGACTGTAGTTTATCCATACCTACTCTAGGCTCTATAACAAGGCCTTAATAAGAAGCCATGAATTGCTTTGAAAACCAGAACAGTTGTTTGCCAAAGGGGTTATAAATTTGCTTCAAAACCCTAGGAGACTTTACTGTGATTCAACCTTCAAAGGTTTGCCACAAGCTACATACAGCTTTCTGGTCGGCTGTCAACACATTGAGTGATACTAGATATGCAGGTTCATGAGGGCAAATGTGGATGAGCTGCTTTAATTGCAGCTGAGACCTGCTGGAGAGTCATTACCTGCTATGAGATCTTCTCAAAGGACGGCAGTATTTTAGGTCTCCCAGTAAATCCGTGAACAAAACACATCAAACTTTAGTTATCCTTTGTTTCCAAAATTCAAGAGACCTACCAAGTGTGGTGCCTCATTAATAATGGTAAGATACAAGAAAAGGTACAAAAGATATTTCTAAAAAGAAAAGAAAAATTGTTTAGCAATTTGATCATCTTAAATCCCATTAACTCTATTATTTTACTCAGTAAAAATATGGCAGTTGGAAAGAAGATATAATTCAAACAGTGAATTTCTCATATCTTAAAAGTATAACTTGATATGTTTTACATGAGTCAGTCCATGTAAATACCATAGGGATAGAGACATATAATATTTGCTTCTCCCTAGAAAGTGTTATTAATCCAGTTTAATCAACATTGATTAGTTTATCTTGAGTTTTATTTAAACGGAAACCTATTTGTCTTCCTTCACCTGACAGCAGGCCTATGATATTATCCATGTTGCTGAGTGTAGCAGTTCCTTCTTTTTTACTGCTATTATTCCATTCTGTGAATATAAAGTGTTCAGCAAATTAATGAAAACTGATGAAGAATAAGTGTTCTGGTGACTTAAAGACACCAGACAAACTTAAATAAAGACAAACTCCAAAAGTTAGAAAAAATTAAGTTAGCTACATACTTTGCTTCCTAAACACTAAACATGGAAAAGAACACCCATGGAGCTTTTTAAAAACAAAACAAGCTGGGCACAGTGGCTCACACCTGTAATCCCAGCACTTTCGGATGCTGACGGGGGGGTGGATCACCTGAGGTCAGGAGTTCGAGACCAGCCTAACCAATATGGTGCAAACTCATCTCTACTAAAAATACAAAAATTAGCTAGACGTGGAGGTGAGTGCCTGTAGTCCCGGCTATTTGGGAGGCTGAGACAGGAGAATTGCTTGAACCTGGGAGGTGGAGATTGCAGTGAGCCGAGATCGTGCCACTGCACTCCAGCCTGGGTGACAAGCGTGAGACTCCATCTCAATACAAACAAAGAAACATAAAATTGTACACTACACTAAGAACTCTATACTGCAAAAAGCAACAGAAGAAAGGGCCACATATATGCAAATGCCTGGTCACTATGTCTCTAAGTATCAGCTCACACACTATTAAGTAAAAATAACATTGGCCAACTAGATGCTGAATTTTAAAAACACGAATAAAAAATTATGGTTAAACACACACACACAAAAAACAAAAGAACTAATAGATAACATTGAAATCTCTTGAGCATAGTTAATTATAAACAACTATTGCAAATATGGCATTGGTATATAATATTAATATTAATTATGTGAATCTTAAAACCCAGATTATATCAGCAAAATGCTGGGTAATAGTAGAGGAGTTTTGTGGATGAAGAATAAAGAAAGCTAAGGTAGAAGTGAATTCCTCAACTCACATATGAAAAGTAATTCATGTTATTTAAAACTGAATACAGATAATTTGACTACAATAAGCTTAATTAAAATGCTGTTAAAAACAAAAGTTGACCAATAATAGGATTTAAAACATGGTTTATACTTCGCACAGGCTTTGGGTTTGGGGAGCTTTCCATGTTACTACATAGAGGTCTACTTTATTTTTCTCAGTCCCTACAGAGTATTCCCTAATAAAGATATTTTATAAATAATTTAAACAGCTTCTTTGGAATGACATGTGGATTGTTTCTAAAGTTGGCTATTACAAATGATGCTTAAAAAACAGGTGTGAAAATATTTCTTAAAATATATGTATTTTAAATTATGATACATAATGACTATTTAACTTCCAAACAGAATTCACTCATTTACATTTATGAACATTCTGGGTATAATATCCAGAGGGAATTAAACCACTATCTCAGAGAGATATCTGCATTCTGATGTTCACTGAAACATTATTCACAGTAGCCAAAATACAGAAACAACCTGTCTGTCAACGAATTAATGGATAAATAAAAGAGATAAGGAATATATATATACACACACATACACACACAAGCACACACACACACATACAATGGAAAATTATTCATCCTAAACGGAAATAAAATTCTGCTATTTACAAGAAGAAGAATGAAACTGGAGGACCTTCTGCTTAGAGAAATAAGTCAGACATAGAAAGACATATACTGCATGATCTGACTTGTATGTGGAATATAAAAAAGTAGAACTCATGAAAATAGAGTAGAAGGGTGGTTACCAGAAGTTATGGGGTGGGAGAAATGGAGAGCTATTGGTCCAAGGATGCACACTTTGAATCATAAGGAATAAGTTCTGGAGACCTGATGTGCAGTAGGATGACTATAGTTAATAATCATGTATTATATGCTTGAAATTTGCTAAGAGAATAGATATTCAGTATTCTTACAACACACACAGACACACACACACACAGGTATGTCAGGTGATGGATATGTCAATTAGCTTGATTGTGGTGATCATTTTTATAATATATACATATATCAAAATAGTATATTTCCAGTTTTTCACTTTTCTTTTAATTTTTATTATCATATATTTTACTATATAAAATATTTTTAACTAACATGATGTCAGTCCAGCCTGACCAACATGGAGAAACCCCATCTCCACTAAAAATACAAAATTAGCTGGGCATGGTGGTGCATGCCTGTAATCCCAGCTACTGGGGAGGCTGAGGCAGGAGAATCATTG
Organism: Homo sapiens; assembly: GCF_000001405.40. NCBI lineage: Eukaryota > Metazoa > Chordata > Mammalia > Primates > Hominidae > Homo > Homo sapiens. The sequence goes on from NC_000002.12 coordinate 14,464,581, forward strand.
GAACCTGGGAGGCGGAGTTTCTGGTGAGCTGAGATCACACCATTGCACTCCAATCTGGGCAACAAAAGCAAAATTCTGCCAAAAAAAAAAAATTCTGGACAGAATTTTGCATAGAAAGCCCTTTTTCATCCCCAAATTATAATAATAACATAGTACATTTTCTTTTTGTAATTCCAAGGGATCTATTTTTTGTTTATTTTGACATATAGCTCTTAGGTTCTTTTGGCATTATTTAGTGTGTAAGAGTAAGTAAGGATATATTTTTATAGTTTTCCAAATAATAGCAAATATCCAGAAATAACTTATAAAACAGGTCATCCTTTCACCATAAATGTGAAATGCTACCTTTATCCTATGTATTTGAATATATATACATATATATTCAAGTACATTCTCTCTATATATGTGTGTTTATAATATCATATATATACACACACATATGTGTGTGTGTGTGTGTGTGTGTGTGTTACCTCTTTCAATTCCATAGTGTTTTAAGTAATCTAATTTTGGCATACTGAAAATACTGATAAGAAAAATTCTTATTTTTTCTTTCAAAATTTCCTTTGCATTTATAATACATTAATTTTCCAGATAATCTTTAGAATCAGCTTATCAAACTTTGTTAGAAGTGTATTTTATGTTAATCGAGACAATACTGGAGCTTGTAGAATAATTTCAAGAAGAAAGACTCATCTAACATATTTGAGTATTTTCATGCAAGGGCAGAGTATGTTTCTTCCTTTATTATTCTTTGCTCTCCTAAAGTAAAGATTTATAAGTGGTTTATAATCCTTTTTTACTTTATATTAAGTTTATCTCTAGTTTTTTATAGTTTTTGCTATTATTATGGCTATAATTGTCTTTAATTGCTATTTTTAATTGAATGTTAATGTGTTAAAGGAAAACCATTAATTTTTGTATACTGATTTGTGTCCTGTTAAGTTCATAAACTAGATTACTACTTCTAAAAGTTTTATTTGATTGTTTTGACCTTTAGGTATAGAAAATCACATTGCTTGCACCTTACTGCAAGTTCACAAATCCTTTCCATTACTTATACTTTGTAATTTTTTATCTGTATTTAAATTAAGTAGTCCAGTGCAGTCAATATTGAATAAATGGTACTAGTTATAGCAGGCCAGTTTTACTTTTATTATGAATTCTTACAGTATTATCAAAGACGTTCTTTATCAAGTGAGGCAGTTTTTCCTATTTGCAGTTTGTCAAGAGTACATTTTTAGTTTTACTATAAATTTGCGTTGAGTATTATCAAATGACTTCTTTCATATAGTGTCATTATCATGTATTTTCTCCTTTCACATTATCAAGTAGAGAATTACATCAACAGTTGTCCTAATTCATATCATCCTGAACAAATTCTACTTAATCATGGCACACTAAATATGTAATTTTTTATAATAGTTTGGAATCTGAATTTATATTTTTGAATAAAATTTGTCGATAGTTTTTATTTTTCTATATGTGATTAATTTGCATTTTTGGAACAATGATTTTGCCAGGTTCATAGACTGAGTGAGAAAGGTCCATTAAAACTAGATTCATGTATTATTTGCTGATTAATAAATTAAATAACTTAGAAGTTATCTGTTAATAAATAGGTTACTAAAACTTGCCAGTGAAATTAGAGCTAAATTTTTATTTTTGTGTCAAGTATTTGCCGAAATTCACTTTCTAAATTGTTATTGAACTATTTAAATTTTCTACCTATTCTTGAATCAAATTTTGTAATGTATATTTTTGTCAGTCTTACATGTTGTTATAATTTTTAATATTATTTCATGCATTTGCATAAAATGTCACAAATTTCTAAAATACGTTATGTTCCTGTAATTATGCTCATTATTTCATACTAACAATTTTCATTCTAGTACTCTTTTTTCCCCTTTCATCAGACTTAACAAAAGAGTTGTCTATTTTATGAATCTTTGCAAATAAGTAGCCCTTGATTTTTATTTTTAAGCCTATTTTTTATATGGAATTGTAATTGGAAGATTTAAAAAGTCAATATTGCACTGGAAAATATAAAATAAAAATTAATGTTTAATTCTATGTGTTTCCCAATCTCCCTCCTCTCCCCAATATAATACTTAACTCTGGATTCTGTTCCTATTCCAAAATTTTCTAAACATTTGAGAGCATTTTAAAAAATTGAATGGATTCATACAATATATTTTGTATTGTGACTAAGTATTTGTTTAATTTAACACAATATCTTTGGTCCAGTTATGGCAACATAACAAACAATTAGAATGTGCACTATATCTTCTATTATAAATGTACAGAAAACTGTGTAAACAGATAAGAAAAAAAGTGTGAGAAACCCTACGAAATTCCCATATAAGCATGTAAGGAGAAATAAAAGCACCTGAGATCTAGAATAAAATGAAATTTAAAGCCAGACTATTAAATTCAATGTATGATACCACAATAGACAGGAGTTGAGGGTACTGAGCATCAGTGTTTTGACTGTTTTTCCCCTCCTGGGGTGTATGTCACAGAGGTTGGCCTTCAATTTTAATGCCTACACAGAAATAGATGATATAGCCTTGGCCCTATAGAAGCATACAAATGGAATTGAAATGACTTGATAAAGTCAACTCTATGGAGACACTGACCATCATTAATCAGGAAGGTATAGGAAAAAACTCCACAAATTAAAGAAGAAAAACAACCTACTCTAGTAACAACAAACTTCAGAAACTAAAGAGAAATAAATTTTGCAGGCAACAAAAGAAGAAAACTAATATATACATAAAAAGTAATTATAATACTATCTTATACAATCAAAATGTGTAAGGAATTAAAAATGCTAAGAACAATAAAGTAAAATACACAAAGGAGGTAGAAGGACAAGGTGTTCTAAAGTCATAGGGCTGTCTAGTAAGTGGTTAAAGCTATCTATATTCGACTGTCATAAGTATGAATTTTATGATCTATAGGATATTCAAAGATGAAATACTGAAGAATAAATACTAAGATTCTAACAGAGAAGACATAGTAAATGATTAAAACTTATACATACAAATGAATGGAGAGAAAAAAGTATAAAAGAAATGGAATATGTATCTATAATCTATCTACCTAAACCAATAATAAAATAGTGTAATGCAAACATTCATTAATTACATTAATTGTAATTAGACTAAATATCTGAGTGAAAGATTATCACACTGCATAAAGTATTTATAACATTCCATTCTCTTTCCAGATAGTTACCATTTTTGTTGTCTGGTATTGGATAATTTTTGCTTTCCAGTGTTACACATATTTTGAAACTTTGCTTTCTAGTATTTTAGTGACATTTAGGATGCAACAGAGTTAAACCTATTTACTTATGTAGCATACATTTGAATCCTGAGGGCTACCAAGAGTCTACTGCTAACTTCCTGAACTCTCCTGGAAACATGAGAAGAGAATGAAGTTTTCATTGTCTAAATAAAGACAAACAAAACCCAAATCTTCTCATCTTTCCAGAAAACACAATAGAAAGAAGAAACTTGGGTTCTATTTAGAAAAGCAAATAAGAGAACAAAAAACATAATGCACTTTCAACTTGATGTCTAGGGATTTGGACAAATAGACACTTTAAAAGAGATTTAGATTGTGCTTATAATACCCAATCAAGATAGCCTTGCCCTGCAGAGTAATGCATTGATGAAAACCAAAGAAAATATATGGATCATTTTCATTTGTGTAAATAATAGCCTTGATATTCTTTGGTCTAAATAGAATATAGTACTTAAAATATGTTCAAAATTGGATTCATCCAGATAAATAAAGGAAGAGCACTGTGAATCATGAATTACTTGACTTCCAACATCCCTTGTAAAGACATCTGGAAAGCATACCAGAAAACTCACCAGTCTTTTTTTTTTTTTAATTGACAAGTAAAATTGTATAAATATATGGTGTACAACATAATATTTTGATATATGTATACATTGTGGAATGTCTGGCTAAAGCAAGCTATTTAAGATATATATTACCTCACAAACATCATTATTTTGTGGTGAGAACAATTTTCAAATGTATAATACATTGCTATTAACTGTAGTCACCATGTACAATAGATATCTTAAACTTATTCTTCCCATCTAACTAAAAGGTTATGTCCTTTGAACAACATCTTCCAAATCTCTGACTACTCTGTCTCTGGTAACCACCACTTTACTCTCTATTTTGATCAGTCTAACATTTTCACTCCACATATAAGGGAGATCATACTGTATGTGTATTTCTGTGCCTGGCTTATTTTATTTAACATAACATGGCATAACATAATAACCTTCAGGTTCATACATGCTGTCATGAATGACAGGAATTCTTTTGTTTTTTAAAGCTAAATAGTATTACATTGCATATGTAAATATATATATAACATATATAAAATATATATAACATATATATTATATATATATATAACATTTTCTTCATGCATTCATCCATTGATGAACACTTAAGTTGATTTCATAGTTTGGCTATTTGGCTATTATAAATAATACTACAAACTGCAATCAACATGAGAGTGTGGCTATCTCTTTGACGTATTTATTTCATATTCTTTGGATAGCGAGATTGCTGGATCATAGGGCACTACTATTTTTAATTTTTAAGAGACTTCCATACTGGTTTCCATATTTTCCACCAACAGAGGTACAAAGGTTGCTCTTTCTCCACAGCTTTGCCAATACTTGTTATATTTTGTCTTTTTATAAAAACTATTATAACAACGATGTGATGTTTCTTTGTGGTTATAATTTGCATTTCTATGATTAGTGATGTTGAGGAACTTTCATTTAACTGTTGGCCATTTGTATGTCTTTATATGAGAGATGTCTAGTCTGGTCCTTTATTTGTTTTTTTACTATTTAGTTGTTTGAATTTCTTATATATTTTGGATATAAGTCCCCTATCAGATTATGATGTGCAAATATATTCACATATTTAGTAGTTTGTTTGTTCACTTTGCTGATTGTTTCCTTTGCTCTGCTGAAGCTTTTTAGTTTAATCCCATTTGTCTATTTTGTTTTTGTTGCCTCTGCTTGTGGTGTCATAGTACAAAAAATATTTGCTCAGACTAATGTCATGGAAATTTTTCCTTATGTTTTCTCCTAGTAGTTTTAGTTTCAGCTCTTATGTTTAAGTGTGTAATTCACTGTGTGTTGACTTTTGTATATAGTGTGGGAAGGATTAATTTATTCTTTTGCCATGTGGATATCCAATTTTCACAGCACTATTTATTGAAGAGATTGACCTTTCTCCATTGTGTACTCTTGGCATCATTGGCCATATATGACTGGATTTCTTTCTGAGCTCTCTATTATGTTCCGCTGATGTATATGTCTGTATTTATTCCACTACCATACTGTTTTAATAACTTTAACTTTGTAATATTTAATAGATTTTCAAATCAGGTAGTCTGATGCCTTTACTTTGTTCGTTTTGCTCAAGATTACTTTGGCTATTCAAGGTCCTTGGTTGTTCCATATAAATTTTGGGATTGTCTTTTCTATTTCACAAAAAGAAACTTAATTGGAATTTTACAGAGATTGCATGGAATCTGTAGATCACTCTGGGTTTTATGGACATTTTAACAATATTAAGTCTTCCAATCCACGAACATGGGATATATTTCCATTTATTTGTGTCTTCTTCAATTTCTTTTTCAATGTTTATAATGTTTAGAGTATGGGTTCTTCACCTTCTTGGTTAAATTTATTCCTAAGCACTTTATTTTTCTTTGTAATCATTGTAAATAATTTTTTGATTGTAAGCGTTTTCTTTATTTATTTTTTTGGCTGGTTCATTGCTAGTGTATAGAAATGCTATTAATTTTTGTATATTAATTTCTATTTTGCAACTTTACTAAATTTGATTATTGTAACAATTTTTGGTAGAGTCTTTAGGGTTTTCTATATATAAAATCACTTCTGCAAACAAACACAATTTAACTTTTTTTGGTGATCTGAATGCCTTTTATTTCTTTCTCTTGCCTAAATGCTCTGGTTAGGACATTCAATACTATGTTGAATTGAAGTGGTGAGAGTGGGCATCCTTATCCTTTTCCTGATTTTCATGGAAAAGCTTTCACCTTTTCACTATTTGATATGATGTTAGCTCTGGGCTTGTCACGTATTGTCTTTATTGTGTTGAGGTACATTCCTTCTATACCTAATTTCTTTGGAGTTTTTATCATAAAAAGATGCTGAATTTTTTTGCATGCCTCTCCTACATCTATGGAGATGATTTTTTTTGTTATTCATTCTGAAAATGTGATGTATGTAATCACATTTACTGATTAGCATATGTTGAATCATCCTTGCATACCAAGGATAAATACCACTTTATCGTGATGAATGGTACTTTTAATGTGTTGGTGAATTTGGTGTGCCATAATTTTGTTTAGGATTTTTTCATATATGTTCATCAAAGATCATGTGCTGTACTGGCTTTTAATTTATTTTGTAGTACCGTTGTCTGGCTTGGGTACAAAGGCAATGCTGGCCTCAATATGACTTTGAAAGTTTTTCCTACTCTTCAATTTTTTGGGTGAGTTTGAGAATTGGTATTGGTTCTTTAAATGTTTGGTAGAATTCAGCATTGAAGCTAACTCTGGTACTGAGTTATTTGATGGGAGATTTTTAGTACTAATACAATTAATATTGGTCTATTCAAATTTTTAATTTTTTCATAATTCAGTTTTAGTAAATTTTATCTGTCTAAAAATTTATCTATTCGTTTTATCCAATTTTCTGGCATATAATTATTCTTTATGTGATCATTTGTGTTTCTGTGGTATCAATTAAAATGTCTCCTTTTTCATTTTTGCATTTCTGATTTTATTTACTTGAGTTTTCTGTCTTCATTTTTTTATTTAGTATAGCTAAAGTTTATTGATTTTCTTTCTTTTCTTAAAAAATTAACTCTTGGTGTCATTGATCATTTTTAGTTGTTCTATTCTCTAATTTGTTTATTTATGCTTTTAACTTCATTATTTACTTCCTTCAACTAACTTTGGGCTTGGTTTGTTCTTTTTCTTTTCTAATTTCTTGAGATATAAAGTTAGATTGTTTATTTGGGATCTTTCTTCTTTTTTAATGTAGACATTTGTTGCTATAAACTTCTCTTTCAAAATTTCTTTGCTGCATCCCATAGTTTTGATATGTTTTATTTCTATTGTCATTTGTCTTAATGTATGTTTTTGAGTTTTCCTTTTAATTTTTTCTTTAACCCATTTTTTTGGGGGGAGGAAGTATGTTGTTTAATTTTCATGTATTTGTGAATTTTTTGAAGTTCTCCCTATTGTTGATTTCTAGTCTCATACCATTGTGGTTGAAAAAGTTACCTGATATAATTTAAATCTTATGAAATTTGTTAAGATGAGTTTTGTGGACTAATAAATCATCTATCTTGGAGAATGTTCTGTGTGCACTGGAAAAGAATGTGTATACTGCTGCTGTTGAGTAAAATGTTTTGTATAAATCTTAGGTCCATTTGGTCAAAAGTGTAGCTCAAGCCCAATGTTTCCTTATTGATTTTGTGTCTGAGCAATCTGTTTATTGTTGAAAGTAGAGTACCAAAATCCCCTCATATTATTATATTACAATCTATTGATATTTTCTTTATATATTTTGGTGTTTTGAAGTTGGGTGCTATGTATTTATAATTGTTATATTTTCATGATGAATTGGTTTCTTTAACATTATATAATGATCAACTTTGTCTTGTCTTACAGTTTTTACTTAAAGTTTATTTTATCTGATATTAAGTTAGCTATCTGCTGTAGTTTGAATGTTTTCCAAAGTTCATATGCTGGAAACTTGACCTCCAATTCAAGTGTTGAGAGATGGGACTTTTAAGAAGTGATTAGGACATAAGGGCTCAGCATTCATAAATAGATTAATATTGTCATCTCAAATTGGGTTCATCAAAATTGAGATCCAAAAATAAATACAAAGGATCAATGAAACCAAAAGCTAGCTCACTGAAGGGATAGACAAGGTTGATAGACAGCTAGCCAGATTAACAAAGAAAAAATAGAGAAGATCCAAATTAGTGCAATCAGAAATGACAAAGGTGACATGACAAATGATCCCACAGAAATACAAAAAATGCTCAGAAATTATTATAAGCACCACTATGCACACAAACTAGAAAATTTAAAGGAAACAGATAAATTCCTAGAAGCCCACAACATCCCAAGCCTGAAATAGAAAGAAATCAAAAGCTTGAATGACATATTGAGTTGCAAAATCAAATCAGTAATAAAAAAACCTACCAACCAAACTGGGCCTGAAAAAGATTTATTTACAACCAAATACTACTGGACATACAAAGAAGAGCTGGTACCAATCCCACTGATACTATTCCAAACCATTTGAGAAAGGGACATTTCTTACTAACTCATTCTGTGAAGCAAGCATCGCTCTAATACCAAAATGTGACAAACACAGAAGAAAACTACAGGACAATATCCGTAATGAGCACAGATGCAAAAATCCTCAAAATATCAGCAAACAAAATCCAGCAGCACATCAAAAAGCTAGTTCACCACTATCAAGTAGGCTTTATTTCTGGGATGCTTGGCTGGTTCAACATATGCAAATCAATACATGTGATTCATCACATAAACGGAATTAACAAAAACTACATGATCATCTCAATAGATGCAGAAAAAGCTTTTGAAAAAATCCTAAATCTTCATGATAAAAATCATCAACAAACATGAGAAAATAGATCGAAAGAACATACTTCAAAATAATAAGAGCCATCTATGACAAACTCACAGCCAGTATCACACTGAATAGGCAAAAGGTGGAAGCATTTCACTTAATAACTGGAATAAGACAGGGACCCCTGCTCTCACCACTCCTATTCAACATAGTACTGTAAGTTCTACTCAGAGCAATCAGGTAAGACAAAGAAATAAAAGGCATCCAAATAGGAAAAGAAATAAAGTTATATGTCTATACTGATGATATTAATGACTTCACCAAAAGACTCCTATAGCTGATGAATGAATTTGGTGTGAAGTTTCATGATACAAAGCCAATGTACAAAAATTAGTAGCACTTGTGTACACCAATAACATTCAAGCTGACAGCCAAATCAAGAATGCAATCTCATTCACCATAGCCAGAAAAAAAGGAAATAAAACACCCAGGAATACATCTAACCAAGGAGATGAAAGATCTCTCTAAGGAAAACTACAAAATACTGATGAAAGAAATTATAGATGATAAAAATAAATGAAAAAATATTCTATACTCATGGATTGGAAGAATCAATATCATTAAAATGGCTGTACTGCCCAAAGGAATCTACAGACTCAGTACTATTTCTAGCAAACTACCAATGTCTTTTTCTCACAGAATTGGAAAAAAAAAAATACGCTGAAATTCATATGTAAAAAGGCCTCAATAGCCAAAGATATCCTAAGCAAAAATTAAAACTGGAGGCATCATACTACCTGGCTTCAAACTATACTACAAGCCTATAGTAAACAAAACAACGTGGTACTGGTACAAAAACAGACAAATAGACCAATGGAACAGAACAGAAAAAACAGAAATAAAGCTGCACACCTACAGCCATCTGATCTTCAACAACATCAACAAAAATAAAAGATGGAATAAAGGACCCCTTATTCAACCAAAGGTACTGGAATAGCTGGCTAGCCACATGCAGAAGTATGAAACTGAACCCCTGTCTTTCACCATATACAAAAATTAACTTATCATGGATTGAAGAGGCAAGTGTGTGGCTCATGACTGTAATCGCAGCACTTTGGGAGGCTAAGCCTGGAGGATTGAGCCCAGGAATTTGAGACCAGCCTGGGGAACATAAAGAGACCTCGTCTCTCCAAAAATAGAAAAATTAGTCAACTGTGATGGCATGTGCCTATAGTCCCAGCTACTAGAGATGTTGAGGTGGGAGTATGACTTCATCCTGGGAGGTTAAGATTGCAGTTAGTCGTGATGGCACCACTGTACTCCAGCCTGGTTGACGGAGTAATACCCTGTTTCAAAACAAAAGCAAAAACAAAACAAAACAAAAATCAAAAGTGGATTAAAGGCTTACATATAAGACTTAAGAGTATAAAAATCCTTGGTGAAGACCTAAGACATACCATTCTGGACATTGGCCTTGGCAAATAATTTATTACTAATTCCCCAAAAGCAATTGCAAAAAAAAACAAAAGTTGACAAGGGGGACCTAATTAAACTAAAAAGCTTCTGCACAGAAAAAGAAGCCATCAACAAAGTATACAGGCAACCCACATAAGGGTAATAATATTCTCAAATTATGCATCTGACAAAGGTCTAATATACACAACCTATAAATAGTAACTTAATTCAGCAAGCAAAAACCAAATAACCCTTTTTAGAAATGGGCAGAGGACGTGCACACATACTTCTCAAAAGAAGAAATACATGTGGCCAACAAATACATGGAAAAATGTTCAACATCACTAATCATTAGAGAAATGCAAGTCAAAACCACAGTGAGATACCATGTCACACCAGTCAGAATGGCTATAATTAAAAGTCAAAAAATAACAGATGTTGGTGAGGTTGCAGAGAAAAGGGAGTGCTTAAACTCTGTTATTGGGAATGTAAATTAGTTCAGCCACTGTGGAAAACAGTATGGGGATTTCTCAAAGAACTTAAAATAGAACCACCAATTCAACCCATCAATCCCATTACTAGATACATACCCAAAGGAATATAAATTGTCATATCATTATGTCAAAGACATAGAATCAGCATAGGTGCCCATCAACAGTGGATTGGATAAAGAAAATGTGGTAAAACACACCATGAAATACTGTGTAGCCATAAAAAAGAAGGAAATCATACCCTTCACAGCAAAATGGATGCAGCTGAAGGCCAGAATTCTAAGTAAATTAACAAAGGAACAGAAAACTAAATACCATGTGTTTTCACTTAAAAGTGGGAGCTAAACATTGAATACTCATGGACATAAAGATAGGAACAATAGACAACGGGGACTACTAGAGGGGGTAGAGTGGGATGGGGGTGAGGGTTGATAAACTACCCTTTCGGTACTGTGCTCGCTACCTGAATGACAGGATCATTTCTATACCAAACCTCAATGATGCACAGTTCACCCACATAACAAACCTGCACATGTACCCCGTGAACCTAAAATGAAAGCTGAAAAAAAAGGTCCTATAATACATGAAATTCTGCTTCAGATTAAATTGCCATTGTAACAGTACATTTTTACCCAGAGTATTATGATGGCAAAATGGTTAATATAGATTTATTTTTAAAAACCCAAGCTCAACCGATCAGAAGCATCCAGGTAACATATAACTAGAGACTTTCTAATGGAAAAGAACAAATAGGGCAACTGTATAAAAGTAATGGATCAAATATTGTCTTTCTCTTACTTCTGCATTCATCTCATAAAAGCCTGACTTCATTCAGTTTTGTGCTTCCTAATTGACAATGCACGATTTGCTCAAATAAACAATTTTTTTAAAAAGTTTGGGTTCATAATTCATGACTGTGGGTTTGTTATGAAAGTGAATTTGGTTGTCTCTTGTTATCTCTCTCATCACGTGATACGTTCTGCCATATTATGACTCAGCAAGAAAGCTGTGACCAGATGCAGCTCCTTGATCTTGGACTTCCGAGCCTCCAGAACCATGAGCCAATAAATTTCCATCGATAATAAATTAATAATTTTCAGGTATTCTGTTATAGCAGCAAAAGATGAACTAAGACATTGCTGCTGCTTTCTTTTGGTTTCCATTTGCATAGCATATCTTTTTCCATCCTTTCACTTTCAACCTATGTGTCCTTACTGGTGAAGTGAGCCCCTTATAGGCAGCATATAGTTGTCCCTCTTTTTAAAAAATCCATTCAGCTACTTTACATCTTTTGATTGGAGAATTTAGTCCATTTACCTTCAAAGTAATTATTGATAAGAACTTACTACTACCATTTTGTTAATTATTTTATGATTGTTTTATGGATCCTTTGTTCCTTTCTTCCTCTGTCTGCTCTCTTGCTTTTTGATTAGACAGTTTTCCCTACTGGTATGCTTTAATCTTTTACTGTAAATCTTTTGTGTATCTCTTATAGTTACCAAAATGCTTACATAAAACATCTTACAGTTACAAGAGGAGTATTACAAGCTGATAACAACTTAACCTTGATCACATTAAAACATCCAAACATTTATCACACACATACATTTTATATTTTTGATGTCACGTTTTACATCTTTTGTTTTTTATCGTGTATACCTTAACAAACTACCATATTGTAGTAGTTTTACCTTTTAACCTTCATACTAAAGATACAATTGATTGGCCGGGAACGGTGGCTCACGCCTGTAATCCCAGCACTTTGGGAGGCCAAGGTGGCAGATCACCTGAGGTCGGGTGTTCAAGACCAGTCTTACCAACATGTAGAAACCTATCTCTACTAAAAATACAAAAAATTAGCTGGGTATGGTGGTGCATGCCTGTAATCCCGGCTACTCAGGAGGCTGAGGCAGGAGAATCACTTGAAACTGGGAGGCAGAGGTTGCCAGGAGCCGAGATCATGCCATTACACTCCACCTTGGGCAACAAGAGCAAAACTCCGTCTCAAAAAAAAAAAAAAAAAAAGATATAATTGATTTGCACACCACAATTACAGTTATAGGGTACTATGAATTTGACTTTGTACTGACTTTCACCTGTGAGTTTCTCACAGATTTTTTTATCAATATGTGGTTACTCTCGGAGTGGCTATGTAGATCTTCTTTGCCATCTGGTATGCATGCAGCAAACAAACCGAAGGGATTAAATCTTACTTTCATTGAGTGTTCAGAAATATTAATGATTAGGAGAAGTCCAATAGGGACGTAACTGTGTAATGACACAATGTGAAGCAGTAATGCTTTGTGTTAAAGAATGTGTCTGCATTGTGCCTAAATTCCTTTTGAGAATTCCTTTGACTTAAGGGAGTTATCCATTAGTTATTAGAAATTTGTGAAATTTCTAAGCTCCACATAAAGATCACTTAAATATCCATGTATACTTACGGCGTTATGGGTGAGAAAATGATAATTTGGAAATTCACTTACATTATCTGAACATATGACACTTATTCTTAAATCTCCATAGTTTTGTTTTTGGTTTTCCTTTCCCTGGACAGCTCTTCTTCCTATTGTTTATGTACCAAACTTTTGTATGTCTTTCAATATTCAAATTGTCACCTCTTCTGTGAAGTCTTTTCTAATCTCATTTACTTTCCCTCCTGTCTCACTCCCAGATATAACTGATCATGCCTTTCTTCATGCCTCACTCTAACCTAGACCTTCTTAGCTCCTTTCTTGTCTAATTCTTTATCTGAACCCTGAGTTCTTTCAATATATAGATTACTTTCCTGCCCTCCCCCTTATAATAAATCCCAGTTTCTAACACAGAGTGTTGGCCTAACAAATATTTGTCAAATAAAAGAGAGGCTAGTGAAATTCCATTCTTCACAGAGCTCTATTGCCTTGTTGTTCTTGGGTCCTGATTACGTGTTCAATTCAGCAATTGCAAGAACAAAAGAATTCAATCCAACATTCTATCTCAAATCACACTCACTGAGCATTTTGTATGTTATACTTTGTCACATAGCTTAAATGAGCACAAGTAAAATGCATGCTATCTGACTCACGTATGAACTACTTTGAACTTCAGGATAAGTCTACAATGCAATGAAAATGAAAGGGATAGTTTCCTTAATTACCTCTTTTTGTGTTCAAACTGGAAGTCTGGAAATGGTAAATCTCATTTAAAATGACAATCCTGAGCAAAAACTTGAAGGTATTGAAGAAGTTAGGCATACATATCTGTGGGAAGAGCATTTCAGGAAAATGAAATGGTCAGTGTGAAGGTTTTACTGCAGAAGGTTTCAAGGAACACCAAAGAGGCCAGTGGGGCCAGCAGAGAACATATTGAACAAGGTTGATAGTAAAGTGAAATGAGGTAAGCAAGGGAGTTGGAGGACTCAAATCATATATAGCCTTATAGGTCACTATGAGGACTTTGGCTTTTATTCTAAGGCATATGGAGAGCCCCTGAAAGGTTTTGAATAGAAGAACAGCATATTTAAGCATATGCGCTTTTTTTTGTTTCAAAGACTCTGGTGGTTGAGTTGAGAACACAGTGCAGGTATAGAAGGGTGGAAAAAGGAGATTGCTATGGTTCTCCAGATAAGAAATGATAGTGGTTTGGATGATAGCAAAAATGGTGAGAGGTGATTGGATTCTGTACATGCTATGGGGGTATGACTTACTGATGATTTAAATTTGGGATATGAGAGAAAGAGAAGTTAAAGATGACTCCAAGGTTTTTACTTTGAGCAAACAGAAGAATGAAGTTGCCACCAGGTTAAATGGAGAAGATTGTAAGTAGATTTAAAGTAAGAAAATCAGAAGTTCAGCTTTAGGTATGTTAAGGTTTTTTTCATGCCTTGTAGATATTTAACTGAAGATTTCAAATGAGCAATTGAATAAAGAAGTATGTAGTTCAGAAGAGAGGTCTGGGCTAGAGGTATAAGTTTGAAAGTTGTTGGCATAGAGATGGCATTAAAGGCCAGGAAAATGGTTAACTCATCAAGGGGATAGGATTAGATTTATAAAAAGAAGAGGAAGAGGATGTGAAGTTCCAAGGACTGAGCTCTTTGAGAGTCAAAGAGATCTAAATTCAAATAACAGACTCCTGAATATGAAGCTATATGAATTAGAGAAATTCATTAGTTTCTTTACCTATAAAATATAGAGGTGTAAGTATTTGTGATCATGTTCTTAAATGTCTGAATTATGATAAATGCTTATTAAGTAATAGCTATTTATTATTATTTTAAAGTAACAAAATAGTCTATATTCAAAGGGTCCCCTGCCAATGTAATCCATACATTGAGGAGATCAGATTACAAACCGCTAATCAGGCAAGAGAAGTCCATTTTTAAATTTTCCTGCTGGGTCAGGAGAATGATTAACAGGAGGAACATGAAATAACCAAGCTCTTTCTCGCTAAATTTGAAGAAGTTTCTCAATCTTGACTTTTTACCTCTTGGTGACATGGACTCTTGTTGACAAGTCCTTTTTTTCTGGAAATAGACATTCCCTTAGGCTTCCCCAGATCAGAATTTTGTGGATTTCCTCTTTTTCTTGGCTATCCTTCAAATTCAGCTATTATCAGAATTTCCTTCCAAGCACTCTTCATCTCTCCTTACCTTAGGTTACCTTCTAAATACAGATGACTTCAAAATATTTGTCTCTAACTAAGATTTCTCTCATGATGCTTAGGCCTACATGTGTGACTGCCTATACTTACTGGACATGTTCCTTGATGCCCAGAACCTTTGAGTGCATTGTTTCTGCTGCCTGGAACATAATTCCCTCATCTGGCTGAATTCTATGTATTATTCAAGTTGGAAGTCACTTACTCTTGGAAACTTTTCTGACACCTCTCTGTACTCCAATGAATGCATGTGCACACAAATATACTCTCATTCAGGGTTAAGAAGCATTCCCACCTTCAGTATCCACATTTAGCTATTAGAGGTCTTAAATGAGGGGGGAAACTCAACTTTAGGCATTTGGAGAAAGATGTTGCATTCCCTACAATCATGATATGAGCCTTGGAATAAGGAAGCCAGTTTATTGTAGGTCAGTGGGGATCTGAAACAAATAGAAAGATAATATATAAACGATCAAAAGCAAACAAGCAAACAAACGCAGTATCAAGATCACAAGAGTCACTAACCTAGTTAATATCTGTCAATGATTTTATAACTACTCTGTGGAGATTAAAATTGGCAAATAAACATTGCAGTCCTGTAGTTATATGTGTCTATATCTGTATGTGGATGCATGTCTACACATATATAGATAATTTAGTGAGCTATATTTAATTTCTGCTACAATTTGGGCACTGATTTTTAAAATAAACCTTATACTGTCTTTCTAGATACTTTAATTAAAACAATAGACCCAGGCATATATTTTGTAATTTTCAAAGAGGAGTAAAATGAGAAATCTCATAGATTCCTTATGGGACATACTACGGAAGCATGAACACATGAAACCCTACTATGATCTACATATTACATATGAACATACTACAGAAACATGAACATATGAACCCCTAAACAGTTCTATTCGTCTAATTTCATAAACAGATATGTAGGGAGATAGATAGATTAGATAGATAGATGATAGATAGATAGATGTGACTATAGATACAGGTATAGATGTATATGTGTGTATGTTTGTGTGTGTATCTAGCAATGATACCACAATGCTAAACTAGTGTTATTTAATCTTTCAGGTTAAATGATAAAATCTCCTGAGCTACCTATATAATGAAAGAACACTGACTTTTATTACCCTCACAGCACAAGATAAGTACTAATATACAAATAAATGAGTGTAATCACCGCACCATTTAGTTCATAGGGCCAACCAAAATATGTAAGCTTTTGATCACTGCCATCTGCTGCCAACCAATGCAATCACAGTCACCAAAGCTTATCACTAATCATAGACATTACCTATTGTTTTCTCTGCCCAATATCCCCTTTATTCTCCAGAAGCAGCATGCTTCTACTTCTGGGAACTGTCTCTCCTCTATTACAACCATTGTCATGGAACCTGTTATGCTGTTACAAAACCCCACACTCTAGTCATAGTTCACTGATCCAAGGGTTGGCACTTGATCCAAGGTGTTCTTCTAAATGTTTGTCCTAGAACATCAAGTAACCTTTTTCAGGAATAAAATCATAACTGGTCAATATTTAAAAGCAGTGATGACCATGGAAAACACCAGAGTGCACTGAAAGAAGCAGGAATGAGAGATGGAGACAAACATTTAGCAGCAGGTCCATCCCTAATTCTGAGGACTAGCTCCATCTCTACCCTTCGTGGACCTGTGGCTCAATCTTTCCTTGAAATTCACAGCCAATAGAGGCACTTCTTAGCAGAGTCTTGTTGAAGTTGTGTTTTGGTCACCTGCAAACAAAAGCCTAGAATAATAAACTGAACACCATCGAAATCTAAATATGTATGACCATGCATAAGTCTTCATTTCTACCTAGGCTTGTATTACCAATATAAATAAGTAAGAGGTTGGAGAAGGTGAAGTCTAATAATCCTTTCAGATTTAATACTCTGTGAGATGAGGACATTCATAGGACTAATCTTGTTTCTTGAAAATGCCCATCCTGGGCTCTGCTAATAATATCCACAAAATGGTCACAAATGCAATAAGCACATGGTATGGAAGAGAATACACACTTCCAACCTAAAAATCCTTTAATGTATAACCCATGGAGTGGTATACAGATTCATAAGCTTTTAAGATAGAGAGCAAGTAGAAACAGTTCTGAGAAACAGAGAAAGGAAATGGGCACCCTTTATACTACCTCTCAATCAGTCCTTTTAGGATCTAAACATTTCCACTTTACAAAAAAAAAGAAAAAAGAAAAAAAAAAAACCTCCTACTAATCACTAGTGATTTAAGGAAATTGGAATATATGCCTCTTTTCTGATAATCCATTTGATTATTTCTCCTAATTATTATAAAAAGATAAATTATTTTAGTATCCACTAGTAATTATCTTAAAGAATACAGGGGGTCCAATGGAATAAAAAGTGAGAAAAAAGGAAAAAAAATAAGACAAAGAAGAAAGAGAGGAAGAAAGGGAAAGAGAGATAGAGGAATGAGGGAAAGAAAAGAAAAAAAGTGGGGGGAAGACACAAATCAAAGAATAAGCAGAATAAAGGCTGGGAGTGGTGGTTCATACCTGTAATCTCAGCATGCTGGAAGGCCAAGGCGGGCGAATCACTTGAGGTCAGGAGTTTGAAACCAGTCTGGCCAACGTGGTGAAACCCCATGTCTACCAAAAATACAAAAATCAGCCAGACATGGTGGCATGAGCCTGTAATCCCAGCAACGCGGGAGGCTGAGGCAGAAGAATTGCTTGAACTGGGGAGGAAGGGGTTGCAGTGAGCTGAGATTGTGCCATTGCACTCCAGCCTGGGCAACAGACTGAGTGAGACTCTGTCTCAAAATAAATAAATAAATAAATAAGTTACAGAATAAAACTGGGAAATAAAAATTTTATGACAGAGACAGAGAAAACTGAAAAGAAGACAGCACGGAAGTAAGAAGATGAGATACCACATGGAAGCAGCTGAGATTTCCTAAGAAGTGATGCTTTGGTTCCAGTTTCATCTAGAGATATTTACAATTCAGTCAGAACCCACAGTGTGCCATGCACTGTGGAATGCATTTGGCTTACATTCAGTCTCTAAGATACTCATGATCTCCCCACTAGGTAGCTTTGCTGATCCAGTTTTTAAAAGAAAAGCCAGCAGAAGACAAGAAACAAACAAAATCAGAGCTGAACTGAAGGAGATAGAGACACAAAAAGCCATTCAAAATATCAACAGATCCAGGAGATTGTTTTTTTTTTTTCAAAAAAATTAGTGCTATAGATAGCGTCTAGCTAGACTAATAAAGAAGAAAAGAGAGAAGATTCAAATAAACACAATCAGAAATTACAAGGGGGATATTACCACTGACCGGGCAGAAATACACACAACCATCAGAGAATAGTATGAATATCTCCATGTACATAAACTACAAAATTAATAAGAAATGGGTACCTTCTCCCAAGACTGAACCAGGAAAACACTGAGTCCCTGAACAGACCAATAATGAGTTCTGAAATTGAAGCAGTAATAAATAGCCTACCAACCAAAAAAGCCCAGGACCAGACAGATTCACAACTGAATTCTACCAGATGTGTGAAGAAGAGTTAATACCATTCCTACTGAAACTATTCCAAAAAAAAAGGAGAGATCCCTCCCTAACTCATTCTATGAGGCCAGCATCATTCTGATGGTAAAATCTGGCAGATACACAACAAAAAATGAAAACTTCAGGCCAATATTTTTTATGAGCATCAGTGCCAAAATCCTCAGCAAAATACTGGCTAACTGAATCCAGCAGCACATCAAAAAGCTTACCCACCATGATCAACTATGTTTTGTCCCTGGGATTCAAGGTTGGTTCAACATATGCAAATCAACAAATGTGATTCCTCACATAAAGAGAACTAAAGACAAAAAACACATGATTATCTCAATAGACACAGAAAAGCCTTTGGATAAAATTCCACACCCATTCATGTTAAAAACCCTCAATAAACTAGGTATTGAAGGGAAATACCTCAATAAACTAGGTATTGAAGGGAAATACCTCAAAACAATAAGAACCATATATGACAAACCTATAGCCAACATCTTACTGAATGGGCAAACTTGGAAGTATTCCCCTTAAAACCCGGCACAAGACAAGGATGCCCTCTCTCACCACTCCTATTCTACATAGTATTGGAAATTCTGGCCAGGGCAATCAAGGAAGACAAAGAAGTAAAGGGCATCCAAAGAGGAAGATAGGAAGTGAAACTATTCCTGTTTGCAGATGACATAATTCTATATCCAGAAAACCACATAGTCTTAGCTCAAAAGTGTTTTAAGGATACAAAACCAATATGCAAAAATCACTAGACTTCCTATACACCAACAACAGTTAAGCTGAGAGCCAAATCAGGAACAAACTCCCATTCACAATTGCCACAAAAAGAATAAAATACCTAGGAATATGGCTAACTAGGGAGGTGAAAGATCTCTATAAGGAGAACTACAAACCACTACTCAAAGAAATCAGAGATGACACAAACAAATGGAAAAACATTGCATCCTCATGGATAGGAAGAATCAATATTGTTAAAATGGCCATACTATCCAAAGCAATTTATAGATTCAATGTTATCATGCTACCTGACTCCAAACTATACTGCAGGGCTACAGTAACCAAAACAGTATAGTACTGGTAAAAAACAAAAAAACAAAGACCATATAGACTAATGGAACAGAACAGAGAATCCAGAAATAAGAATATATACCTACAACTATCTGACCTTCAACAAAGTTGACAAAAACAAGGAATGGGAAAAGAATTCCCTGTTCAATAAATGGTGCTGCAAGAACTGACTAACCACATGCAGAAGATTAAAACTGAACTCCTTCTTTATATCATATACAAAAATTAACTGAAGATGGATTAAAGACTTAAATGTGAAAGCCAGAACTATAAAAACCCTGAAAGATAATCTAGGCCATACCACTCAGGACTTAGGCCTGGGCAAAGATTTCATGAAGAAGACACCAAAAGCAATTGCAACAAAAGCAAAAATTGACAAATGGGATCTAATTAAACTAAAGAGCTCCTGCACAGCAAAAGAAATTATCAACAGAGTAAACGGACAACGTATAGAATGGGAGAAAATGTTTGCAAACTGTGCATCTGACAAAGATGTAATATCTAGCATTTATAAGGAACTTACATTTACAATAAAAAAACTGACCCCATAAAAAAGTGGGGAAAGGATATAGACAGACAGTTTTTAAAAGAAGACATAAATGTATCCAACAATCATGCGAAAAAAAAAAAAAACTCAACATCACTGAATCATTAGGGAAACGCAAATCAAAACCACAATGAAATACCATCTCACAGTAGCCAGAATGGCTATTAAAAAGTCAAAAAAATAACAGATGCTGGTGAGGTTGTGGATAAAAAGGAATGCTTACACACTGTTGGTAGAAGTGTAAATTAGTTCAACCATTGTGGAAGAAGGTGTTGTGATGCCTCAAAGACCTAAAGACAGAAATACCATTCAACCCAGCAATCCTATTACTGGATATATGCCCAAAGGAATATAAATATTTTTATTGGAAATAAACATGCATGTGTATTTCACTGCAGCACTATTCACAATAGCAAAGACATGGAATCAACCTAAATGCCCATCAATGATAGACTGAATAAAGAAAAAGTGGTACATATATACCATGAAATACTATGCAGCTACACAAAAGGATTAGAACATGTTGTTGCAGGGACATGGATGGAGCTGGAAGGCATTATCCTTAGAAAACTAACACAGGAACAGAAAACTAAATACTACATGCTCTCACTTATAAGTGGAAGCTAAATGATGAGAACACATGAACACAGAGGGAACAACACACAGTGGGATCTATCGGAGGATAGAGGGTGAAAGGAAGGAGAGGATCAGGAAAAGTAACTAATGGGTACTAGGCTTAATACCTGGGTGATGAAATAATCTGTACAACAAACCCTCATGACACACACTTACCTATGTAACAAACATGAACATGTACACCTAAACTTAAAGGTTTAAAAAATAAACCAGGATTCTGTTTTCCCCACAGCTTCACCATACACTTTTGGTGATAATGTAAATTGGTTCAGCCACTGTGAAAAGCAAATTGAAGATTTCTCAAAGAACTTAAGACAGAGCTATCTCATTACTAGATATAGGCCCAAAGAAAAATACAACATTATATCAAAAAGACACATGCACTCTAATGTTCATCACCACACTATTCACAATAGCAAAAACACAGAATCAATCTAGGTGCCCATCAATGGTGGACTGAATAAAGAAAATGTAGTATACACCATGGAATACTATGAAGCCATAAAAAAGAATAAATCATGTCCTTTGCAGCAACATGGATAGAGTTGAAGGCCATAATCCTAAATGAATTAATGCAGGAAGAAAAAACCAAATGCCACATAATCTCACTTATAAATGGAAGCTAAACATTGAGCACTTATGGACATAAACATAGGAACAATAGATACCTTGGGCTAATAGAGGAGTAGGAAGGTAGGAAAGCATGGGTTGAAAACTACCTATTTGGTACTATGCTCACTATCTATGTGCAATATACCCTTGTAACACCTCACACATGCACCCCCTGTATCTAAAATAAAAGTTGAAAAAAAATGGTAAAGTTGGTATATTTTATATGTATATTTTACTTACATTTAAAAAATTTTACAAATAATAAAATAAAAGAAGAAAACTCTGAAGTTCAGAGAGTTTTGCCCCAGACCATAGTCAACAGTGAGAAGAAGAGGATTTCATGTCACTTCTACCTATGCTTTTTCAGTTTTGCTCTTTGCAACTTTACACAATGGTCCCAAGGTCTACAGATAGTTCCATCAATTCCTGAAGAAAAGAGTGCGCAAAATGGATGGAAGATCTTGTACAGCGGTGGTTCTCAAAATGCGATCATGGGACTAGCATCATCAGCATCATGTGGGAACTTGCTAGAAATGGAAATTCACGTACACCCCTCACTAAACTACTAAATTATAACTCCAGCAATCTGTCAAGGCTTCGATGTAATTCTAATGTATGTTTAAGTTTAAGAACCACTGTTGAATACCAGTGGTTCTCAAACTCTAATGTGTATCAAAATCATCTGGAGATCTTGTTAAATGAAGATTCTAATTTGGTAGCACTTGAAAGGGACATGAGACACTTCTAATAAGCTCCTCGGTAATACATATGAGCTGATCAACAGTCTAAGTTATGATTAACAAGGATCCAGCTCACTTTTTTTTTTTTGAGATGGAGTCTCACTCTGTCACCCAGACTGCAGTGCAGTGGCGTGATCTCAGCTCACTGCAACCTCCACCTCCCAGGTTCAAGTGATCCTCCTGCCTCAGCCTCCCAAGTAGCTGGGATTACAAGCATGCACCACTATGCCTGGCTAATTTTTGTATTTTTAGTAGAGATGAGGTTAAACCATGTTAGCCAGGCTGGTGTTGAACTCCTGACCTCAAGTGATCCAGCTGCCCTGGCTTCTAATACTTTAGCCAATGGCTATATGTGGTCATTCACAATAATAAAAATCAAATGAAATTTAAAATTTAGTTCCTAGCCACTCTAGCCACACTTCACATTCCCAATAGCCACATGTTGCCAGTGGCTACCACATTGGACAGCACAAAATACATTTTCATCATTGCAGAAAGTTTTATTGTAGTGATCTAAAACTCTATTAGAAACAAAGAATCTCTGATGATTCACCCAAACATTAAAGTTTGAGAAACACCCTTCTATATCACTGGACTTTTATCTCCATGAAAACAGGAACCAAGATACTCCATATATGAAGTAGTTCTAACCCAGTTCCATGACATCCACACACTGAGCACCTAGCACATTGTATATTGGAGGGCAGAGGAAAAGGATGGGAGACAGGCAGGTGTGCCTCTGATTCCGGATCCCAAGCACAAATTGGTGATTCAACATCTTGAGGCTGTGCCACCACATGGAGCTCACAGATAAGCCTAAATTGATGAATGAAAGAGTCTCTATTTGTTTCTGTTTTATCATCTTATTGATGTGCCCAAAGCTCTCAATGAATGATACTGATTTTGTCATCTGCATTTCAGTTCTACCCTAGGATTCTAAAAGTTTCAATTATCTCTGTGGGATTCAACTTTCCAAAACACCAGCACATGCTTTTAGGAATAAAGTTATCTTACCAATATTTTATATTTTCCTTTTTGCCATGCAGGGTATCCCAAATCTTTCCAGGTCTCTGAATCTACCTTCCTGGCAAAGCTGTAGGATACTGCACCCTCTGTCTTCACCCAGGCCCTCCAGCAAGGTGTTAGCCACAGCTCTGCTACAACACAATGGGGGTCTCTCTAATGTGTGCCACCCTCGTGTGTGTTCTGCACTCTTGGCTACCCTGACGTTGGCTGAAGAGCTGGAAAAAAAAAAAAGACGCATTTACAGGATTGAGAAGGAGAATCTTTTCAACCCCTCTCTCCACATCACCATGCAATGTGATGTTCTTTACCATTTCTTCCTTAAGAAAATAAACTCTTACCAGCAAACACCCTTCTCCAGATATCATAGTCACAGAACTTGGCTCACTGTTTTATAAATAGGCACCCAACAAGAAATTGTACCATATATTTAAGAAAATGTTTTATCAGATAGGTTTTGAATAGGTTTTTAAAATAGAGCAATTTGGCTTTAACTGAGGCCCAAATCTTCCATGGTGGCTCCCAAATTTCCCCCTCTCCACTAACGTGTCTCATATAACTACTAAACAAACACGGCCATTCTCACATGTTGGTTCTGAGTCCACCAGTGAACTGAGAAGATCCTTCCTAAATTCTATGAATCAATCCAAAAACATAAGCACTTTCTTTTTTTTTAATTTAATTTAATTTAATTTTATTATTATTATACTTTAAGTTTTAGGGTACATGTGCACAATGTGCAGGTTAGTTACATATGTCTACATGTGCCATGCTGGTGTGCTGCACCCATTAACTCGTCATTTAGCATTAGGTATATCTCCTAATGCTATCCCTCCCCCCCTCCCCCCACCCCACAACAGTCCCAAGAGTGTGATGTTCCCCTTCCTGTGTCCATGTGTTCTCATTGTTCAATGCCCACCTATGAGTGAGAATATGCCGTGTTTGGTTTTTTGTTCTTGCGATAGTTTACTGAGAATGATCATTGCCAATTTCATCCATGTCCCTACAAAGGACATGAACTCATCATTTTTTATGGCTGCATAGTATTCCATGGTGTATATGGGCCACATTTTCTTAATCCAGTCTATCATTGTTGGACATTTGGGTTGGTTCCAAGTCTTTGCTATTGTGAATAATGCCGCAATAAACATACGTGTGCATGTGTCTTTATAGCAGCATGATTTCTAGTCCTTTGGGTATATACCCAGTAATGGGATGGCTGGGTCAAATGGTATTTCTAGTTCTAGATCCCTGAGGAATCGCCACACTGACTTCCACAATGGTTGAACTAGTTTACAGTCCCACCAACAGTGTAAAAGTGTTCCTATTTCTCCACATCCTCTCCAGCACCTGTTGTTTCCTGACTTTTTAATGATTGCCATTCTAACTGGTGTGAGATGGTATCTCATTGTGGTTTTGATTTGCATTTCTCTGATAGCCAGCGATGGTGAGCATTTTTTCATGTGTTTTTTGGCTGCATAAATGTCTTCTTTTGAGAAGTGTCTGTTCATGTCCTTCACCCACTTTTTGATGGGGTTGTTTTTTTCTTGTAAATTTGTTTGAGTTCATTGTAGATTCTGGATATTAGCCCTTTGTCAGATGAGTAGGTTAGGAAAATTTTCTCCCATTTTGTAGGTAGCCTGTTCACTCTGATGGTACTTTCTTTTGCTGTGGGCAGAAGCTCTTTAGTTTAATTAGATCCCATTTGTCAATTTTGGCTTTTGTTGCCATTGCTTTTGGTGTTTTAGACATGAAGTCCTTGCCCATGCCTATGTCCTGAATGGTAATGCCTAGGTTTTCTTCTAGGGTTTTTATGGTTTTAGGTCTAAAGTTTAAGTCTTTAATCCATCTTGAATTAATTTTTGTATAAGGTGTAAGGAAGGGATCCAGTTTCAGCTTTCTACATATGGCTAGCCAGTTTTCCCAGCACCATTTATTAAATAGGGAATCCTTTCCCCATTGCTTGTTTTTCTCAGGTTTGTCAAAGATCAGATAGTTGTAGATATGTGGCGTTATTTCTGAGGGCTCTGTTCTGTTCCATTGATATATATCTCTGTTTTGGTAACAGTACCATGCTGTTTTGGTTACTGTAGCCTTGTGGTATAGTTTGAAGTCAGGTAGCATGATGCCTCCAGCTTTGCTCTTTTGGCTTAGGATTGACTTGGTGATGTGGGCTCTTTTTTGATGCCATATGAACTTAAGTAGTTTTTTCCAATTCTGTGAAGAAAGTCATTGGTAGCTTGATGGGGATGGCATCGAATCTATAAATTACCTTGGGCAGTATGGCCATTTTCATGATATTGATTCTTCCTACCCATGAGCATGGAATGTTCTTCCATTTGTTTGTATCTCTTTTATTTCATTGAGCAGTGGTTTGTAGTTCTTCTTGAAGAGGTCCTTCATGTCCCTTGTAAGTTGGATTCCTAGGTATTTTATTCCCTTTGAAGCAATTGTGAATGGGAGTTCACTCATGATTTGGCTCTCTGTTTGTCTGTTATTGGTGTATAAGGATGCTTGTGATTTTTGCACATTGATTTTGTATCCTGAGACTTTGCTGAAGTTGCCTATCAGCTTAAGGAGATTTTGGGCTGAGACGATGGGGTTTTCTAGATATACAATTATGTCATCTGCAAACGGATAATTTGACTTCCTCTTTTCCTAATTGAATACCCTTTATTTCCCTCTCCTGCCTGATTGCCCTGGCCAGAACTTCCAACACTATGTTGAATAGGAGTGGTGAGAGAGGGCATCCCTGTCTTGTGCCAGTTTTCAAAGGGAATGCTTCCAGTTTTTGCCCATTCAGTATGATATTGGCCGTGGGTTTGTCATAGATAGCTCTTCTTATTTTGAGATACGTCCCATCAATACCTAATTTATTGAGAGTTTTTAGCATGAAGGGTTGTTGAATTTTGTCAAAGGTCTTTTCTGCATCTATTGAGATAATCATGTGGTTTTTGTCTTTGGTTCTGTTTATATGCTGGATTACATTTATTAATTTGTGTATATTGAACCAGCCTTGCATCCCAGGGATGAAGCCCACTTGATCATTGTGGATAAGCTTTTTGATGTGCTGTTGGATTCAGTTTGCCAGTATTTTATTGAGGATTTTTGCATCAATGTTCATCAAGGATATTGGTCTAAAATTCTCTTTTTTGGTTGTGTCTCTGCCCAGCTTTGGTATCAGGATGATGCTGGCCTCATAAAATGAGTTAGGGAGGATTCCCTCTTTTTCTATTGATTGGAATAGTTTCAGAAGGAATGGTACCAGTTCCTCCTTGTACCTCTGGTAGAATTCGGCTGTGAATCCATCTGGTCCTGGACTCTTTTTGGTTGGTAAGCTATTGATTATTGCCACAATTTCCATTCAAAGCAGTGTGTAGAGGGAAATTTATAGCACTAAATGCCCACAAGAAAAAGCAGGAAAGATCGAAAATTGACACCCTAACATCACAATTAAAAGAACTAGAAAAGCAAGATCAAACACATTCAAAAGCTAGCAGAGGGCAAGAAATAACGAAAATCAGAGCAGAACTGAAGGAAATAGAGACACAAAAAACCCTTCAAAAAATTAACGAATCCAGGAGCTGGTTTTTGGAAAGGATCAACAAAATTGATAGACCACTAGCAAGACTAATAAAGAAGAAAAGAGAGAAGAATCAAATAGACGCAATAAAAAATGATAAAGGGGATATCACCACCGATCCCACAGAAATACAAACTACCATCAGAGAATACTACAAACAACTCTACGCAAATAAACTAGAAAATCTAGAAGAAATGGATAAATTCCTCGACACATACACCCTCCCAAGACTAAACCAGGAAGAAGTTGAATCTCTGAATAGAACATAAGCACTTTCATGGGTATTTAAGAGTTCTCATCAATGGTCATTCATTTTACTTAAAAAAATAGATATAATCTGTTATGTGAATAAAAATACAGTACAGTATTTTGAAATCAAAAGTAATGACTTCTAGAGTTTTATAAATATTCTAAATTCAGAATTCTACCAAAAAATCTTACCTTATGTTTGGCAAAGTCATGATGTTCTTGCAGAGCAAGTGTACTTGTGAATAACTGAAGTCCCAGCACTTTGTGGGGAAGGAAGCTTTGTCAAATAAAAAGCATCAGTGCTGATTTGACTTGATTGTGCTTTTCTATTACTAGTATTATTGATTTTTTAATGAAAATTTTCTGTTAATTACTCTTTGTTATTGTCAATATTTGTTGCAGGTTGTTTGATTAAATCTATAAGGTATGGAGATGCAAATTTAAATCAAGTATAATCTGAGCTTCAATTTGTCGAATAACTAGATTTTAAAACATATTCTTACTGTGATTCATTCCATCACAAGATGTTTCCCAAGCAATCAGTTAGGCCAGGCCCTGTTCTGAGCATAGAAGTAAGCACTGAGCAAAATCGTCCAAAATCACTGCCCTCAGAGATCTTACCTGAATTATTCATGCCCTGTTTTTATAGCAAATGTGTGATAATCTCTAAGATTTGCTTTTATTATGACTTCATTGCTATAACTGAGTTCATTTTCAACTGGAAAAAGGGATGGTATAGGTGATGTCTAAGGTACTTCCTCATCAACATGAAATACAATCAAAACGGCTCAACATTTCAGCACTAAATGATCTCTAGTTTGTCATGATTCTCTTCTTCATGGCTGCTGCTGCTCAGGGCAACTGTTTCGGAACAAATACTAAAAAATAATTTCTTTGAATAGTCTCAAGTTAAAACCTTCAAAATTATACTCTACTATCTGCCTAAATCTACTAATTTATATCTGAAATTTCCTTAATAAGCTTTATTCAGCACACTCATCCTGCAGCTCCTATCAGCAATTGAGTACCTCAGACACCCCTTCAAGCTCATGTCACCTCCCTTTCTCCAGCACCAATTTGGGCTTTTGTTTCCTGCTCAGTTCTGTAGCTAAAGCCTCACTGCATGTTTTCTGGGCAGCAAATGAAATTCCAATATGGGCAAGCCGGCTCAGTGGAAATTACTCATGGCTTAGCATATGGGAGTTGCATAGCACAGGAAAAGGCTTTGTAATCATTCCATTCATTGGTCTGAGCTGAACTTTTAATGGGAAATTGTAATGAGACTGTCTGAGTCACTGCTACTCACCAAACAACCTACATCTTACAGACTAGGAGAAGAGATGTGCTTTCAAAGCCACTCCATTGTTTTGAGTATATGTCTGTGCATTGTAATTCCCAGAATCAATTTTTATTGCATTACGACTCGTACTGGGAAAATAGCCCAAGCTCTGAGGCTAGTCATACCTGCTTTCTCTCAAATTCCCACTTGCACTTGGCTGTTTTATAGAAGACATTTGTACCCTGTTTGCTTACCCACATGTAAAGTGAAACTTTTTATTTATGTTGTAGATTTTTGAGATTAGAGATAAACTAAAATTTCTAGAATTTACTTGGAATACAGTAGGTGCTTAAAACACACACGAATTGCTGAAAAATTATAGTTCTCCGCCCCTTCATTTATGAATTAGAATAAGATTTGATGCTATTTTTAAAGTAATTGTTTTAATGTCTCTAATATATACATGTAATAATACGTATCGTCATGTCAAAAATCAGTGAGAAAGAGCCTCATATGTTAGCCAATCTCATGGCTTAATTTGTTTGATGTATGGAATATGTTGTTTAAATGAACATAGCTCATTTGACATCCTGATGTAAATGGATAAAAGATGAGCTTTGCTAGTTGAAAGCAGAGAGGAAGCCTAGAATTACATTTCCTCCCAAAAATGGATCCAGAAGGATTTCACTGAACTTCCACTAAACAAAGCCTAATTTGAAAACCACTAACCAGATTTTCTGCTTTATAGATGAGTTAATTTACAACTAGAGCTGTAGACTTTCCCAAAATCACCTATATACGAGCTAGGATTACAATCCAGGTGCCCAACTCTGAGGCCAAATATTTTATATTCAGTTTACGTATTTCATTCATTCAACCGACGCTTGCTGAGAACAGACCACTGTGCCAGGCGCTGTGTGAATTTCTTTGAGGGTAAAAGGTAATAAATTTTTAGCCCTGCTCTTGGGTAGGAAAGAAAATGGGAGGCATTTGACCACACCACCCAAAAAATACAGGATAGAATAAGGGAAATTTTGAGACGAGGCACTAAATATCGTGGGGAGGTGAACAGAATAATTTGTGTCTTCTTGAAACATGAGGTTGTGGAAGCCTAGAGTAATTGCTTTTAAAGAGAGCCGTTAAAGAATGGAATAATAACCAGGCAGAAATATAGAAAGCACATGCCAAGAGTAAGATAGAGGATGAACAAAGGCAAAGACTCAGAAAAGCATTATCTAGAAATAGTGAATATTTCAAGATTTCCGGACAATAGTACACCAGTAGGGGTGGTGAGAAATAAGAATTTTATTTTAATTTCGTCCAAAGTTATGTAAGGTTTTGAAAGTCTGGCCAAGAGGCTTGGAATTGATCCTGCAGGCAGTGAAGTGTCATTGAATGATTATGAGGACTTGAATGAAATACTAGGGGCTGTGTTTCAGGAAGATTATTCTGATGCTAATGTGGAGAAAAATATGCATTCAACAACGTGGAAATCATTTTGATGACTCCGTGACCTGTTTTAATGCACATCTCCTAAAAACTTAATTTTTCAGTAGTTTATACTTTTTCTTCGCTTCACCAACTCACCACCAACATTCATTTTGTTAAGTTTGAGGAGAGAAAGACACTGCTATCTATTCAGTGCCTCCCAGCTAATAAATGTTATTATTTATTCTTCATATCTGTGACCTCTCAACTTGGGAATTATAACCAGTTTTCAGATAAGGAAGCTAGTAATTAAATGCCTTGTCCAAGGTCACACAGGTAGTAAGGAATAAAAATGAGAGTCTAACTCAGGCCTGTGTGATTCTAAAACATGAGCTTCTACTCTGTGTGGCAGTTTCTAGAATAAACCAAGCAGTTAGGGTCACAGCTGTATTAGGAAGTGTCTGGAAGCTGAGAATGGCCTGGGGGTGGGGGATAGAGTTCCTCTTGATATTGAAATGTTTCTTTAGCAGAAGTAAATGGGAATATCGAACAGTATCAGTCACTGAACATTCACACTGTTCAAATCCTGTTGTGAGATTGCATAAGGACCTGGGAATGTATGCAATGCCCAGAGAATAACAACCACAACAAATAGAGCCAAAGGTAAAGAGACTTGGGAAAATGAAAAATTACCTTCCTGGGTTATGCCTACAGGAAGACAAACACCCTAACTGGTAAATGTTTTGAAAAGTCTGATGTTACTTGAGTCTGGACCATAGGGTTTCCTGCTTACATGGTCTGAGTTAGTATGTTCAGGCTAAGGCATGGGGAAAGGAGGGAAAGTCTATTTGGACTTAAACTCATCAAAAGAGAAACATAAACTCATGATCCAGTACCACATCTTCATCTTATTCATCTCTCCTGCAAACAAAATCTATAGAGATAACTTAAAGCATTAAAATGCAAAATTCTTCACTCAACATAGAATATTCTTATCATACTGGCTGGCCACACGGTGGCTCACGCCTGTAATCCCAGCACTTTGGGAGGCTGACATGAGTGGATCACGAGGTCAGGAGATCGAGACCATCCTGGTTAACATGGTGAAACCTCGTCTCTACTAAAAATACAAAAAAATTAGCCAGGCATGGTGGCGGGTGCCTGTAGTCCCAGTTACTCGGGAGGCTGAGGCGGGAGACTGGTATGAACCCGGGAGGCAGAGGTTGCAGTGAGCCGAGATTGCGCCACTGCACTCCAGCCTGGGCGACAGAGTGAGACTCCATCTCAAAAAAAAAAAAGAAAAAAAAAGAATATTCTCATCATACTAGCATTAGATCTCCATGAAAGCAAGGACTTTATATCTTGGTTGCCTGAGCTTAAATATCAGCTCTCATACTTGCTAGTTAGGTGATGTGGGGATTATTACTTAACTTCTTCAGTTTTCTCATCTGTAAAATATAATGCTAAAGTTGTTTACCTCACAAAACTAAATTAAATAAGTTAATATATGTAAAAGCACTAAAAATAACAAGCACATAGTATGCCCTATGTAAATATCTGCTATTATTTTATCACTATTAATTGTTGCCAATGATATTATCATTATTATTATTGTTATTCTTCTTCTTTTGTTGTAGTCCCTATATTCCAAACATTACTGCACAAAACAGCTCATAGATGATATTTGTTGAGTAAATGGATAGATTAATGAAAATTCAACCAAAGTAATTTGTGACAAACTAATTTCTACCCAAAATTCAATTGATATCTACCAAAGTAATATCTAATCACAACGATCCCATGACTGGATGCTCATTGAGGCAAAACTAAGCATTCAGCAAATTAGGATTCTTGGTGCTCAAGATGCAAGGCGAGTAGGATGCATATTTCCCAGGCCCTTTATAGAACAGTTAAATCAAAAGTGTCGTTTGGGGTAAACAAATGCTGCACTCTGCACAATACCTGAAGACTTCCTATGATAAGCCAAAAAACAAATAAATAAATAAGAAAAGAAAGAGTATAGTATTGATTTAGCACTGTTAATTTGTAAATTTATATTGAAATTCTTAAAAAGCTTTATTCTTTTTGATCTGGCTGTTCCACTTATAAAATAAAATAAATACACCCACAAAAGAAAAAGCTTTATGCAAAAAGCTGTTTACCTTATTATTTTAATGGTAAAATACTTAATACTTAATTAGCCTAAATATCTACGTATAACAAAATGAATAAATAAATTGGCAAACACACCAAATGGAATATTAGGTAGACATTTAAAATAATATATACTGAGAAATTTGTTGATATTACACAAAATTCTTTTAGACTATAGCAATATGTAGAAATCATTGCCAAATTCATGGGAAAAAAAGAGAACCATATATTTAGAACATG
This sequence comes from Homo sapiens, assembly GCF_000001405.40. Taxonomy (NCBI): domain Eukaryota; kingdom Metazoa; phylum Chordata; class Mammalia; order Primates; family Hominidae; genus Homo; species Homo sapiens. The sequence continues at coordinate 14,496,999 of NC_000002.12, forward strand.
CTTAAATTATGATTTATGAATATATACATAGAATCTCTGTGAGCCCTTTGAGTTTATGTGACAGTACATGTTTATATGCACAGTGCTCATGGTTTATGCCAAATTGTGTGTTTATGTCCGTGTCTATGACCTCTCAAAAAGTTAAGCACCACGACTTGCAAGCACCTCTAAATCCAGAGTGATACATCTCCAGTAAATCAGCTATAGACTCCTGTATCAAGAGAAGACCGGATATATCTGGTAACAAATCTAAAGGCTTGCCACTCGAAGAATCACACAGGGATGGGCCAACTATGGCTCATAGACAAAACCTGTCCCTGGCCCATGAGCTAAGAATATCTTTTTACATTTTTAAAGAGATGTTGAGGGAGAAAAAGGAAGATATAATACAAAGAACATTTGTGGCCTTTAAAATCTAGATATTTGACCGGGAGCGGTGGCTCATGCCTGTAATCCCAGCACTTCAGGAGGCCAAGGTGGGTGGATCACTTGAGGTCAGGAGTTTGAGACCAGCCTTGCTAACATAGTGAAACCCATCTCTACTAACAAAATACAAAAATTAGCCAGGCATGGTGGCAGATGCCTGTAATCTCAGCTACTCTGGAGGCTGAGGCAGGAGAATCGCTTGAACCTGGGAGGCGGAGGTTGCAGTGAGCCATGATCATGCCACTGAACTCCAGCCTGGGTGCCAGAGTGAGACTCTGTCTCAAAAATACTAGATATTTATTCTGATCCTTTACAGTAAGTTTCCTGACCTATGTGCTTCAAACAATGTCAAGATGCAGAAGAATTTTGACAAACAACCTCATATCAATCTTTAGTTTTCCACATAAAGTAAAATGTAATGCAATTTTTTTCTGAAAATGGTTTGAATTTGTTAGTTGAGTGATTTGCAAACAGAACTTTAGAAATGATGTTAAAAGTCATCCAACTGTATAGTCTAAAGTTAAATTTTTCTGACATAAAATCCATTAATTTTGGGATGGAAAATAGAAGGAAGATAAAGAGTATTCATTTTTTACACAAATATGAATGTTTCCCCATACAACTGAATTGAGTCTCTAGTGAAGGCCAGTAGAACTTTCATTAAGTAACACTACATGACTGCTGAAGAACAGTGACTATGTAAACTGAAGAAATTTGAAATTGCTTTTGTGTTTAAATATTGCATAATTCAAATTAATTTCTGATGTAGCAAGGGATTCAAGCCTATTATAATATTTGAGAATATTTTGGTGCTATAGTTCAATAGATCTCTATTTGTGCTTTATCACAATAAAGAGGCTTTTATTAGAGACAAGCCTAATAAAATATTTAGAATATGTTGGTGCTGTAGTTCAATAGATTTCTATTTGCGCTTCTTCACAATAAATAGGTCACAGTTTAGTTTGCCTCAAAGATCTTACTTTGATAGGCCTTCACTGATTCACTCTTAATGAGGCTTTCCTGGATTTGGCTAGTGAAAGGCCTTTGCAAAGCCTATGAGTTCTGCTCCACTTGTCAGATGTGACCAGAAGATTCCTAACAACTCGAAGAGGGAAAAGAACATGATGTGGCAGGACAGCTTGGCAGATGTTGCAGGGGTAGGCAATCTGACAGAGCGCTGCTGCAGAAACTTTTGAGCCTGCCACAGACCCAGGGCATGTCTGGGGTTTTTGTTCATTGGTGAATCAGTGCAAGGGAGTTGGAAGAAGTATGGGAGCTCCAGACCAGGCTCTGCCCCCATCAGTGTCAACTTGAGCCAATCACTTTCCTCCCCTTGGCCTTAGTTTCCTCAAACATAAATTGAAGAGTGTGCTGATTTAATAATTTAAATTGAATGATTTAATAATCGACAAAGACTCTGAGGAACCTTGTTGCTTGTATACAATATTATTCTGAGACTATCCTAGGATCTCATAGCAAATTAGAATCCTGTTTCTCTGGTTTCTGTTTGGCTCTGAGCTCTACCTCTTGACCACCACATATTAGAGCTTCCATCTACACAATGCTTCGGTATTTATTTCTTCCACAAGTTGCTCCCACCTCCACATATACACCCCAATCCTGGAGAATATCATATTTGGCTTTAACCCCATGATATCTGTTCTCTTTACCCCATTCCAGCTCACATACATTCCTGTTAAGACATTTCTTGGGTACGTCTATCTACGTCCTTAAAAATGGAGTAGATCATTCATTCATTTGAATGAATTGAATATTTTTGAAATATTTTGAAAGTACAATTTAACCAACATTCATCTATGTTTCAATAGCTATGTTTTAGGCTTCTGAAGACTTGAGATCTGTCCTCAGGACCAACCAAACCCTCAGCCATTTACTCAGGGCCTGCTTCTGTACCAACTTCAGCCACAGCAGATCAGAGTCCCACACTTGGTGGAATTCTCTTATCTCACATGGAGTCACCATTATATGAAAACATTATACCAGAATATTGTTTCAAATCTTGGGGCTACTCTACCCATAACTCTCATCCTATGTTATTCTACAAACTGTAGGTTCTTAAGGTCAAATATCTTCTCTTCGCATTATTCTGTATTTCTCTGAACCTTCTCGTGTTCTCTCTGCTGTTTCATTTGAATCTACATGCTGTTGGTGAACAAGCTTCCCTACGTATCCAAATACTCTGCTGCGCATCTCCTTTTGATCTAACCACAACCCAGCTCAGTTAGAGCCTGAGAATCTCACCTCCAGCTCTCTCTAATGAATGACCCATGAGGTCTGTATTCTTCCTCCACCCCATATATTGTTCTAGATATTTTTTTATTCACCTCTATGTGAAGCCCTGGACCAGTTGGAAATCATACATTTACCTGCAAAGAGATCATATGGAATAAAAGCTAAAGTTTATTTGCTTTGAACTGAATAGTCACTCTGGTGATCACAGTTTTATCAGATGCTCAGATTAATATCACTTTGTTAACGCAAACAGGCACTGATAATCATTAGATGAATAATAAAGTTTTCTTGGCAAAACTTTAAAAGCAAAATAATTTGAAGGCTAATGACTTAATCAAAAAAGTTCTTAGTGGTCAAAATTTGGGAGCCAGAGACTTCAGTTTCAGATATGTACTTACTCCAAGACCATCTGGGTTTATAAAGTTCTATCTATCCACCTAGCTGGAGTGTATGTGTATTTGGAGGGCTGCTAGGCAGCTTGGCCAGGAGCTAAATAGACAGCCAAAATTAGATTCTAGGCCACGAAAAATAGCAATTAGGTCAAATCTATCAGCTGCTTTTTGATTTATGGAGGACTCTAAGACTGATGGTCAACACACTGACCCTCAGACACAAACAAAACACCTTTTCTTACCTGGAAATTTGAGAGTTGGTGAAACTCTGTAACACTTATATAAGAAACTTGCTCATTGTACACATGATGAATTTGATGCATTGAGAGGAGAAATGATTTGCCCAATATCACAAAATCAGTTGGTAGTGGAGGACAACTAAAACCCCAGTCACTTGTTTTCTGATCTGGTAGCCTTTCTGTTATACAACTTTTTGATGGGTTGAAACAGGAACTTTATAAATACTACCATGAAAAAAACAAAATGAATTACTGAATAACTAATTAAACAGTGATAAATAAGCCCATGAGCAGTGGTGTAGCTACTTGGAAGGCTGAGGCAGGAGCATCACTTGAGCCCAGAAGTTCAAGTCTGCAGTGAGCCATGATCAGGCCATTGCACTCCAGCCTGGTTAACACAGCAAGTCCCTGTCTCTTAAAAAAAGGGTAAATAATATAAAAACGCATTATGTAAAAATATATGATATATAAATATATGTAAAATAAATCCATATTATGTTATAATCTAAGAATAAATAGTCATAAGTTATTAAAATAACAAAAATTCATTGCAAAGATAATTAAGAATAGATATATAAAATAGATAGGTCTGAACATATTTGGTATCCTGTTAGTACTTGTAGGTTCTCTTTTTTTGTTTTTTGTTTGTTTGTTTGTTTGTTTTTGTGATGGAGTCTCGCTCCATTGTGCAGGCTGGAGTGCAGTGGCAAGATCTCAGCTCACTGCAAACTCTGTCTCCCGGGTTCAAGCAATTATCCTGCCTCAGCCTCCTGAGTAGCTGGGATTACAGTTGTGTGTCACCACGGCAGCTAATTTTGGTATTTTTGGTAGAGAGAGGTTTCGCCATGTTGGCCAGGGTGGTCTCCAACTCCTCACCTCAGGTGATCCATCCACCTCGGCTTCCCAAACTGCTAGGATTACAGCCGTGAGCCAACACGCCCAGACAGGTTCTCATTTTACACAGTAAGTAAGCACTAAGCCTTCACAACAAGAAATCATTCACATTACGTCTATGAGTTCAACTGTTTAATCATTGTAAATAATAGAATCTACTGATTTGCTTGTCTTGTGAACATTTTTGAAGACTATATTGTATTATACAGTTAGACATAATCAGAGTTCTTTTTTTATTTACTTATTTTTATTTTATTATTATTATACTTTAAGTTTTAGGGTATATGGGCACAATGTGCAGGTTAGTTACATATGTTTACATGTGCCATGCTGGTGTGCTGCACCCATTAACTCATCATTTAGCATTAGGTATATCTCCTAAAGCTATCCCTCCCCCCTGCCCCCACCCCACAACAGTCCCCAGAGTGTGATGTTCCCCTTCCTGTGTCCATGTGTTCTCATTGTTCAATGCCCACCTATGAGTGAGAATATGCGGTGTTTGGTTTTTTGTTCTTGCGATAGTTTACTGAGAATGATCATTGCCAATTTCATCCATGTCCCTACAAAGGACATGAACTCATCATTTTTTATGGCTGCATAGTATTCCATGGTGTATATGTGCCACATTTTCTTAATCCAGTCTATCATTGTTGGACATTTGGGTTGGTTCCAAGTCTTTGCTATTGTGAATAGTGCCGCAATAAACATACGTGTGCATGTGTCTTTATAGCAGCATGATTTCTAGTCCTTTGGGTATATACCCAGTAATGGGATGGCTGGGTCAAATGGTATTTCTAGTTCTAGATCCCTGAGGAATCGCCACACTGACTTCCACAATGGTTGAACTAGTTTACAGTCCCACCAACAGTGTAAAAGTGTTCCTATTTCTCCACATCCTCTCCAGCATCTGTTGTTTCCTGACTTTTTAATGATTGCCATTCTAACTGGTGTGAGATGGTATCTCATTGTGGTTTTGATTTGCATTTCTCTGATGGCCAGTGATGGTGAGCATTTTTTCATGTGTTTTTTGGCTGCATAAATGTCTTCTTTTGAGAAGTGTCTGTTTGTATCCTTCGCCCACTTTTTGATGGGGTTGTTTGTTTTTTTTCTTGTAAATTTGTTTGAGTTCATTGTAGATTCTGGATATTAGCCCTTTGTCAGATGAGTAGGTTGTGAAAATTTTCTCCCATTTTGTAGGTAGCCTGTTCACTCTGATGGTACTTTCTTTTGCTGTGCAGAAGCTCTTTAGTTTAATTAGATCCCATTTGTCAATTTTGGCTTTTGTTGCCATTGCTTTTGGTGTTTTAGACATGAAGTCCTTGCCCATGCGTATGTCCTGAATGGTAATGCCTAGGTTTTCTTCTAGGGTTTTTATGGTTTTAGGTCTAATGTTTAAGTCTTTAATCCATCTTGAATTAATTTTTGTATAAGTTGTAAGGAAGGGATCCAGTTTCAGCTTTCTACATATGGCTAGCCAGTTTTCCCAGCACCATTTATTAAATAGGGAATCCTTTCCCCATTGCTTGTTTTTCTCAGGTTTGTCAAAGATCAGATAGTTGTAGATATGTGGCGTTATTTCTGAGGGCTCTGTTCTGTTCCATTCATCTATATCTCTGTTTTGGTAACAGTACCATGCTGTTTTGGTTACTGTAGCCTTGTAGTATAGTTTGAAGTCAGGTAGCATGATGCCTCCAGCTTTGCTCTTTTGGCTTAGGATTGACTTGGTGATGTGGGCTCTTTTTTGGTTCCATATGAACTTTAAAGTAGTTTTCTCCAATTTGGTGAAGAAAGTCATTGGTAGCTTGATGGGGATGGCATTGAATCTATAAATTACCTTGGGCAGTATGGCCATTTTCACAATATTGATTCTTCCTACCCATGAGCATGGAATGTTCTTCCATTTGTTTGTATCCTCTTTTATTTCATTCAGCAGTGGTTTGTAGTTCTCCTTGAAGAGGTCCTTCACGTCCCTTGTAAGTTGGATTCCTAGGTGTTTTATTCTCTTTGAAGCAATTGTGAATGGGAGTTCACTCATGCTTTGGCTCTCTGTTTGTCTGTTATTGGTGTATAAGAATGCTTGTGATTTTTGCACATTGATTTTGTATCCTGAGACTTTGCTGAAGTTGCCTATCAGCTTAAGGAGATTTTGGGCTGAGACGATGGGGTTTTCTAGATATATAATCATGTCATCTACAAACAGGGATAATTTGACTTCCTCTTTTCCTAATTGAATACCCTTTATTTCCTTCTCCTGCCTGACTGCCCTGGCCAGAACTTCCAACAGTATGTTGAATAGGAGTGGTGAGAGAGGGCATCCCTGTCTTGTGCCAGTTTTCAAAGGGAATGCTTCCAGTTGTTGCCCATTCAGTATGATATTGGCTGTGGGTCTGTCATAGATAGCTCTTCTTATTTTGAGATACGTCCCATCAATACCTAATTTATTGAGAGTTTTTAGCATGAAGGGTTGTTGAATTTTGTCAAAGGTCTTTTCTGCATCTATTGAGATAATCATGTGGTTTTTGTCTTTGGCTCTGTTTATATGCTGGATTACATTTATTGATTTGCATATATTGAACCAGCCTTGCATCCCAGGGATGAAGCCCACTTGATCATGGTGGATAAGCTTTTTGATGTGCTGCTGGATTCGGTTTGCCAGTATTTTATTGAGGATTTTTGCATCAATGTTCATCAAGGATATTGGTCTAAAATTCTCTGTTTTGGTTGTGTCTCTGCCAGGCTTTGGTATCAGGATGATGCTGGCCTCATAAAATGAGTTAGGGAGGATTCCCTCTTTTTCTATTGATTGGAATAGTTTCAGAAGGAATGGTACCAGTTCCTACTTGTACCTCTGTTAGAATTCGGCTGTGAATCCATCTGGTCCTGGACTCTTTTTGGTTGGTAAGCTATTGATTATTGCCACAATTTCAGAGCCTGTTATTTGTCTATTCAGAGAGTCAACTTCTTCCTGGTTTAGTCTTGGGAGGGTGTATGTGTCGAGGAATATATCCATTTCTTCTAGATTTTCTAGTTTATTTGAGTAGAGGTGTTTGTAGTATTCTCTGATGGTAGTTTGTATTTCTGTGGGATAGGTGGTGATATCCCCTTTATCATTTTTTATTGCATCTATTTGATTCTTCTCTCTTTTCTTCTTTATTAGTCTTGCTAGCAGTCTATCAATTTTGTTGATCCTTTCAAAAAACCAGCTCCTGGATTCATTAATTTTTTGAAGGGTTTTTTGTGTCTCTATTTCCTTCAGTTCTGCTCTGATTTTAGTTATTTCATGCCTTCTGCTAGCTTTTGAATGTGTTTGCTCTTGCTTTTCTAGTTCTTTTAATTGTGATGTTAGGGTGTCAATTTTGGATCTTTCCTGCTTTCTCTTGTGGGCATTTAGTGCTATAAATTTCCCTCTACACACTGCTTTGAATGTGTCCCAGAGATTCTGGTATGTTGTGTCTTTGTTCTCATTGGTTTCAAAGAACATCTTTATTTCTGCCTTCATTTTGTTATGTACCCAGTAGTCATTTAGGAGCAGGTTGTTCAGTTTCCATGTAGTTGAGCGGTTTTGAGTGAGTTTCTTAATCCTGAGTTCTAGTTTGATTGCACTGTGGTCTGAGAGACAGTTTGTTATAATTTCTGATCTTTTACATTTGCTGAGAAGAGCTTTACTTCCAACTCTGTGGTCAATTTTGGAATAGGTGTGGTGTGGTGCTGAAAAAATGTATATTCTGTTGATTTGGGGTGGAGAGTTCTGTAGATGTCTATTAGGTCCACTTGATGCAGAGCTGAGTTCAATTCCTGGCTATCCTTGTTAACTTTGTGTCTTGTTGATCTGTCTAATGTTGACAGTGGGGTGTTAAAGTCTCCCATTATTATTTTGTGGGAGTCTAAGTCTCTTTGTAGGTCACTCAGGACTTGCTTTATGAATCTGGGTGCTCCTGTATTGGGTGCATATATATTTAGGGTAGTTAGCTCTTCTTGTTGAATTGATCCCTTTACCATTATATAATGGCCTTCTTTGTCCCTTCTGATCTTTGTTGGTTTAAAGTCTGTTTTATCAGAGACTAGGATTGCAACCCCTGCCTTTTTTTGTTTTCCATTTGCTTGGTAGATCTTCCTCCATCCTTTTATTTTGAGCTTATGTGTGTCTCTGCACGTGAGATGGGTTTCCTGAATACAGCACACTGATGGGTCTTGACTCTTTATCCAATTTGCCAGTCTGTGTTTTTTAATTGGAGCATTTAGTCCATTTATATTTAAAGTTAATATTGTTATGTGTGAATTTGATCCTGTCATTATGATGTTAGCTGCTTATTTTGCTCGTTAGTTGATGCAGTTTCTTCCTAGCCTCGATGGTCTTTACAATTTGGCATGATTTTGCAGTGGCTGGTACCAGTTGTTCCTTTCCATGTTTAGTGCTTCCTTCAGGAGCTCTTTTAGGGCAGGCCTGGTGGTGACAAAATCTCTCAGCATTTGCTTGCCTGTAAAGTATTTTATTTCTCCTTCACTTATGAAGCTTAGTTTGGCTGGATATGAAATTCTGGGTTGAAAATTCTTTTCTTTAAGAATGTTGAATATTGGCCCCCACTCTCTTCTGGCTTGTAGAGTTTCTGCTGAGAGATCTGCTATTAGTCTGATGGCCTTCGCTTTGTGGGTAACCTGACCTTTCTCTCTGCCTGCCCTTAACATTTTTTCCTTCATTTCAACTTTGGTGAATCTGACAATCATGTGTCTTGGAGTTGCTCTTCTCGAGGAGTATCTTTGTGGCATTCTCTGTATTTCCTGAATCTGAATGTTGGCCTGCCTTGCTAGATTGGGGAAGTTCTCCTGGATAATATCCTGCAGAGTGTTTTCCAACTTGGTTCCATTCTCTCCGTCACTTTCAGGTACACTAATCAGATGTAGATTTGGTCTTTTCACATAGTCCCATATTTCTTGGAGGCTTTGTTCATTTCTTTTTATTCTTTTTTCTCTAAACTTCCCTTCTCGCTTCATTTCATTCATTTCATCTTCCATCACTGATACCCTTTCTTCCAGTTGATCGCATCAGCTCCTGAGGCCTCTGCATTCTTCACGTAGTTTTTGAGCCTTGAATTTCAGCTCCATCAGCTCCTTTAAGCACTTCTCTGTATTGGTTATTCTAGTTATACATTCGTCTAAATTTTTTTCAAAGTTTTCAACTTCTTTGTCTTTGGTTTGAATTTCCTCCTATAGCTCAGAGTAGTTTGATCGTCTGAAGCCTTCTTCTCTCAACTCGTCAAAGTCATTCTCCATCCAGCTTTGTTCTGTTGCTGGCGAGGAGCTGCGTTCCTTTGGAGGAGGAGAGGTGCTCTGCTTTTTAGAGTTTCCAGTTTTTCTGCTCTGTTTTTTCCCCATCTTTGTGGTTTTATCTACTTTTGGTCTTTGATGATGGTGATGAACAGATGGGTTTTTGGTGTGGATGTCCTTTCTGTTTGTTAGTTTTCCTTCTAACAGACAGGACCCTCAGCTGCAGGTCTGTTGGAGTTTGCTAGAGGTCCACTCCAGACCCTGTTTGCCTGGGTACCAGCAGCAGTGGCTGCAGAACAGCGGATTTTTGTGAACCACGAATCCTGCTGTCTGAACGTTCCTCTGGAAGTTTTGTCTCAGAGGAGTACCTGGCCGTGTGAGGTGTCAGTCTGCCCCTACTGGGGAGTGCCTCCCAGTTAGGCTGCATGGGGGTCAGGGGTCAGGGACCCACTTGAGGAGGCAGTCTGCCCGTTCTCAGGTCTCCAGCTGGGTGCTGGGAGAACCACTGCTCTCTTCAAAGCTGTCAGACAGGGACATTTAAGTCTGCAGAGCTTACTGCTGTCTTTTTGTTTGTCTGTGCCCTGCCCCCAGAGATGGAGCCTACAGAGGCAGGCAGGCCTCCTTGAGCTGTGGTGGGCTCCACCCACTTGGAGCTTCTAGGCTGCTTTGTGTACCTAATCAAGCCTGGGCAATGGCGGGCGCCCCTCCCCCAGCCTCGCTGCCGCCTTGCAGTTTGATCTCAGACTGCTGTGCTAGCAATCAGCGAGACTCCGTGAGCGTAGGACCCTCCCAGCCAGGTGCGGGATATAATCTCCTCGTCTGCCGTTTTTTAAGCCCATCAGAAAAGCGCAGTACTGGGGTGGGAGTGACCCGATTTTCCAGGTGCCGTCTGTCACCCCTTTCTTTGACTAGGAAAGGGAACTCCCTGACCCCTTGGGCTTTCCGAGTGAGGCAATGCCTCACCCTGCTTCGGGTCACGCCTGGTGCACTGCACCCACTGTCCTGCGCCCACTGTCTGGCACTCCCTAATGAGATGAACCGGGTACTCAGATGCAAATGCAGAAATCACCCGTCTTCTGCGTCGCTCACGCTGGGAGCTGTAGACCGGAGCTGTTCCTATTTGGCCATCTTGGCTCCCTCCCTAGTCAGAGTTCTTAACACATAATTTAGTTAAATATGCCAAGATGCTCTCTCAGGATCTAAAACTTAGAGAAACAGATTTTTTTTTTTTTAAAGCAACCATTCTTGGTCTCAAAGACCTCAATCTGGTATGGAAGGGAGACAAGGCAGATCATTCCAGTATAAGACAGTCATTGTTGGGAGACTGCTGTGTACAGGACATAGGACATGAATAGATGATATCATGGCAAGAAAGGGATCTAAGTATAACGTGTCCTTTCAAACTCCAAAAGGCAAATGCTATGAAGTACATCTTCCCCAGAGCACCCCAAAAGGAAAAAAAGGCTTCCATGTGTTTAGATCTTGTGGATCACCCCAGTGGAATTTATTAAGCAAGGAGATGACTTCAGTTAATAAACAAGAGAAGAATTCTTCTTCCCACTGAGAGAATATATCACCCTCCACTTCTAATTCCCTTTCCCTGCCTTTTGGGAAGGGTGGAAGTGGAAGCTTTGACCATGATTGTGTGTCTGTAAGGAGGATATGAGCTGTGTTATTGGCAATTGTAATGTGGAGGTTAACTCAGGATGTACAGTAACTTTGTGCTCATGATCTCCCAGCAGCCTGATGAAGTGAAACGAACAGGAGACATAGAGCCAAGAAAAGTTCTATAGAATAGTATTCTTTTGAGTTCATGCATGTTATCATACTTGTCCAAGGTTTAGTTCTTCATCTTTAAAGCGAGGATCATTGTGTCTACTGCACCAAGGATAAACTAGGATCATGTATGGGAGGCACTTGGCACCTTCTGGGCTCACAACCCTCATTGGTTCCCATGCTCCCTTTTCTCACTTCAGGAAAAATAAAACAACCCTCCCTGCTGCACACCTGTTACTTGCCTCTCGTTGGTTTCCATGCTCCCTTTTCTCACTTCTGGAAAAATAAAACAACCCTCCCTGATGCACACCTGTTACTTGCCTCTCTGTCTCCTAATAGATCATACTCACCACCTAAACTAATGCTAAACTAGTGATGTAAGCCTGCCATTCCACTGATTAAAGAAAAAAAAAAAAAAGAAACAAAAGCCATCTGTCAAATGCTTACCTTACCTTCACCTGTAAAAGGTGTGAACTCTTACTGGAGCACTCAAGGCCTGCCTAGCCTTCTTCTTCAGCTGCTCTCCCATTCTTCCCATAAAAAGCCATAACTTCATCCAAGCCTATTTAGGGCCATACGGGGACACACACGTAGCAGCACTATCACCTAAAATGCTCTTGCTTTTCTTCTACCCCTTAGATCCTACCAATCTCCTCAAAGCCCGCTTATTCAATAGCTGTTCTCTAAAACATTCCCAGGTAGTTTTGGCTTAAAGTGGTAGCAGCCCCTCTGGAAATATGGCAGGTATTATACATGTCATCAACTTAGCAGATTCTCTTCTATAGCTAAATCTTGCTCAGGCCCTTCATGTGGTAAGCTGGCATGGTAGTGAAACACACCCAATAGTCCTATAGGTAACTTAAAAAATAAAATAAAATAAACATAGAACTTGACCCTTCTGGTTTTTGTTTGTGTTTTGTTTTGTTTTAAGACAGAGTCTTGCTCTGTTGCCCAGGCTGGAGTACAGTGGTGCAATCTCTGCTCACTGTAACCTCTGCCTCCTGGGTTCAAGTGATTCTCCTGCCTCAGCCTCATGAGTAACTGGGATTTTACAAGCGTGCACCACCATGCCCAGCTAATTTTTTGTATTTTTAGTAGAGACAGGGTTTCATTATGTTGGCCAGGCTGGTCTCGAACTCCTGACCTCAGGTGATCCACCTGCCTCAGACTCCCAGAGTGCTGGGACTACAGGCGTCAGCCACCGTGCCTGGCCCACCCTTCTGGTCTTAAGTCTTGAAACTTATACTTGTTTTTTGTCTCAGTTCATTCCTCAGGAAAGGACCTTCAGTCTCTCAAAAAAGTATCAAAAAATTAAAACTCACCAGATCACTACACCAGAAGCCAGACCCCTCATTCACAATGATCACTTCCTGCATCTCCCTAGTTCTTGTTTTCTTACACATTGCTACATTTCTTTCCTGCTATAAAAACCCCTGGTTTTAGTCCATCAGAAAGATGGATTTGAGACTGAGCTCCCATCTGCTTGGCTGCAGCACCTGATTAAAGCCTTCTTCCTTGGTAATACTCAGTGGGTGTCGCAGTGATTGGCTTTCTGTGCCTGGAGCAGCAGGACCTTGACCAAACCCCTGGTGTTTTGCTAACAGTAGGTGCCTTAAAGAGCCATGGATTTTCTACATGTGAAAGTCTCTTTGCCCCAAGTTTCTCAAGGGTAGGAACCAGTTATTAAGTGTGTTTATATAATTCAAAGGATATATGAAGTGGTACGGTCTAAAAGGAAGAAAAAAAAGTATGCTCTCGGAAACAGGCTGCACTTGTGTTTTGAGCACACTGGCTATTTTTAATTAAAATGGTTTATACGAGTGAATGAATAAATACATGAATTTTCCCACCTCCAGCTTCTTGGGGATAAAATGTATAGGTCAATCATAAAAGATAAGAATCTATTCCTTACTAATTCCCAGTTCACCACGTTCCCTTCCGGATGAGAGCAGATGGCTTCAGAAGGGAAGCAAAATCCAAGATGGCAATTTAAATCAGTAACACTTTGAAAAGCTGATGTGCTTACCACCCTCGTTAGTTCCCAACACTGTGTAAGGTCACCTGAGCAATGGACTTGAAACACAATTGAAACAGAGGAGATGGTGAATTTCTAGCCTGACTGTTCATACACCTATTCTTTCTTGGCCTCGCTTTGAAATTCTGCAACAATAAGGCTGATGAAGGGATTCTTTCATGCTCCCCAGGCCTCAGGAAACCTACCATAACACCTCCCACATTCTGTGCCATTTCAGTATCCGCCTAAGAAAAGCAAATACACACACACACACACCACACACACACACATGTCCCTAGAGTTCTCTATAACTGTGTGGGCCTTTCATTTCAAAGTCTTCTTGAAAGTGTTATTTGTGAAGCTTAAAATATGTGAGCTTGCAGGGGGAGGAGACAATTACTTGGGAGAAAATAACACACCAGGATAAGCCACATCACATTGTTTCTTCTGGGACACATTTTGTTCTGGGAAAATGTCCTAATAGCCTCTGATTTCAATGTTACTGCATATCACAGCACTGTGCCTGGGAAAACACAATGACATTTTATATGATGATATTGTAGTGAAATAATAGCTCTTCAGCACCATAAGCAGCATATTGACATGCAACATCTATTAGAAAGAATGGACATTGAATATCAAACCCATCAAATAGTTCTGTGTACAGAATTGGTTTCATGGCAGGGGGCATGGGGGTGAGTTTCACAAACCAAGGTATGATACAAATTTTAGAATAATGTCAGTTGCTTTTTTATTCTAAAGTGAAAAAGAGAAGTGCAGCTTGTTAGGGAGACAGTACTACATAACGTACAAGGCACGGGCTTGAGTCTCCAAGACCAGATGTTGGTAGAGGCACCGTGATGTACAGGTTCTACACCTTTGGGCAACTCACTTCTTTGTGCTTCAATTCCCTAATTTTAAAAATACATATATGGGCCAGGCATGGTGCTCATGCCTGTAATCCCAGCACTTTGGGAGGTCAAGGCGGGCGGATCACCTGAGGTTGGGAGTTCGAGACCAGCCTGACCAATATGGAGAAACCCTGTCTCTACTACAAAAATACAAAATTAGCTGGGCGTGGTGGTGCATACCTGTAATCCCAGCTACTCGGGAGGCTGAGGCAGGAGAATTGCTTGAACCCGGGAGGCAGAGATTGCAGTGAGCCGAGATAGTGCCATTGCACTCCAGCCTGGGCAACAAGAGCGAAACTCCGTCTCAAAAAAAAAAAAAAAATATATATATATATAGATAGATAGATAGATAGATAGATAGATAGATAGATACATGAATAGCTACTTTGTATGATTTCTTTTTGGGGTGAAGATTAGAAAAACATATGTACAACTTCTGAAATATACTGAACAACTACTAGTCATTATTGTTGTCATCATGATGATGAACATGATTAACAAATGTGCAGCATTTTACAGAACAGCTGCCACTGCATTCCTTCTTCACCAGCATTAAGTCAACTACCCTCATACATAGGGAGATCAAAAATGTGACGGCCCCTAACACTTTCCCGGCTACCGAAGACATGCTGGTTTTCTCTGAAGTTTACTGGTAAGATAAAGGTAAACGGTGAGAACCACATCAGCTTTCAGGAATTATGTGCCAAGATAGTTCATGAGCTCCTAAAGAAACTCAGTTCTGTACTTTATAGGCAATTTTGTTTTAACTACCAATGCAGTACCCTATAACAAAACTCCAGGCTCCTGGCTAGCCATCAGAAGTTCATATTTGTTCTTTAGTTTGTATATTACTTTGCCGATGCTGCTGTAACAAATTACGACTAACTTATTGACTTAAAACAACACAAAGTTTTATCACACAATCCTTTCAGACTGTGGTCTCCCTGGGCTAATATCAAAGTGTCAGGAGGGCCACATTCCTTCTGGAGACCTGAGGGAGAATCCATTAACAGTTTCTGGATAATCTAGAGAATCTCCCTATTTTAGGGTCAGCTGGTTAGCAAACTTAGTGGCATCAGGTACCCTAATCCCCCTTTGCCTGTAAGAGTGCATATTCACAAATTCCAAGGATTAGGTCATGGGCATTTTTGGGGTGGCCATGATTCTGACTACCATAGTTTGGCTTTAGATCTTTTTCCAATATTTTTCCAAGAACATAAATAACTTCATTAAACCACGTTTTGCCATCAGTGAAAAGGTAATCTAAACATTCATGGAGTACCCAATATGTGTCAGCCATTTTACATTTATGAATTCACTTAGAACTCAGGACAACATCCTTTGGTGTACTATTAAAAGTGCCTGCTTATCCTCCTCTCTCTATTTCCATAATAGGACATATTATCCCTCCTGTATAATATGTCCTATTATGGGCCTTAATTGCATCACATATGAAAGAAAGTTCTATGAGAGAACAGAAAGCAGAGAATAGGCAACTGAGAAGGTCAAAAAATATTTTTGAAAATGTGATATATAACCTTTTATATTTATTAACCAACATATATGTACCATTTATTGTGCTAAATATGTCTTACTTATCCATTGCATTATTTAATTTTTAGCTGGGCATGGTGGCACATACCTGTAGTCTCAGCTACTTGGGAGGCTGAGGCAGGAAGATCACTGGACCCAGGAGTTCAAAGCTGCAGTAATCTATGATTGCACCACTGCACTCCAGCATGGGATACTGTCAGACCCTGTCTCAAAAAAATGATAAAAAATAAATAAATAAAAATAATTTTCACAAAAACTTTATGTGGCTGTATTTTCTATATATTAAAGAGGAAAAAATGATGTTCAGAAGCTGGTGAAATTGTTCAAGGACACATACTAGTACTTGACAGAATTGTTATTTGAGCCCAATGTGCCTGATTTGAAAACACATGTGTTAAAACATGACACAAACTATCTCCAATGTTGTAGGTCAAAGGCCATCTAGTGAGAAACAAGGCTTGAAAATATTTTAATTGACTTTTTTTTTTTTGGAGACAGAATCTAACTCTGTCATCCAGGCTAGAGTACAGTGGTGCGATTTCAGCTCACTGCAACCTCCACCTCCTGAGTTCAAGCGATTCTCCTGCCTTAGCCTCCTGAGTACCTGGGACTACAGGCATGCGCCACTACGCCTGGCTAATTTTTTGTATTTTTAGTAGAGACGGGGTTTCAACATGTTGGCCAGGCTGGTCTCGAACTCTGGACCTCAGGTGATCTGCCCACCTCAGCCTCCCAAAGTACTGGGATTAAAGGCGTGAGCCACTGCGCCCAGCCTTTAATTGACTTTAAAACAATATATTTAATGCACCTCAGAATATGTGCATAGCCTCCAATGATGATTTCTTCAAAGGAGAAAGCATTCATTTGGAAAGGTAAGCCTAGGATGCTTACTTGGGAAAAATAAGGGCCCTTATCCAGCCTAGACATGTACCTAGAAGAGGTATACATTTGGAAAGACTTACTAACTGAACAACTGGGAGAAGGCAGAAGGACAGGTGTCTCAGAAAACAGCATGTGTAAAGGTACAGAGATGTTGGCCTCCACAGACCATGCAAGGAACTGTGACGTTAGTACTAAGGAAACAGAAAATGAAGTAAGATAGATAAGCACAGGACAAAACATCTGATCTTTGCATAAAATGCTAGGATTTGAAAGATTCTGAGGAGACAATTAACCTGACCATATTTGTAGTTGAAAAAAAAAAAATTCTGGCAATTGCAAATTAAGAGGGCTGTGGCTAGACATTGGGCAGGGACCTGTTAGGCTGATGCAAGAGCCTAGAGAAGATATATGAAGATTTACAGCTAAGGTTACTTGGTAGCAATGGAGAGAATGGAACAAATTAAGAAACATTCAGGAAATTTTAGAATCTCTGAGTCAAGCTGGCCTCCTCCTGAGACAGCAGGGCTGCAACCTTTTCCTGAATAAGAGGAACTTCTGTGAGCAGCTTGGTGCCTGTGGAGAAGCACACTGAGGTGACCCCAGAGGTTTCTTTTTTCTCTGAGACTCAATTGCTTTGCTTTGAAGTTCCAAACCTCCTCCGAAGAGACTTTATTTAGAGCCTGTCTGAGCCTTTGCAGCCATCCTCAGCCTTTCTGGAGGAGATTATATATTCCAAATGAAGTCAGTGAGAGTTTTTTTATGTTGGAGCCACAGCAAAAATTTGGGGTAATGTTCTCATTCTCTCACTGGGTTGCACACAAGTCACACTGTGTTTCTTGCTTATTTATCCAGGGAGAAAAACTCCCTGGACTTCCCTGTTATAGGAAGGGTAGGAGAAGGCACATAAGAACCTACCTGAGTACATTTTCACATTTGCTTGCTAATTGCTTGACAGTACTTCAAAAATGGACAAAGATTTACTGGGAACTAAAAGACAAGCTTTACCCTCCTTCAGTTAAATAACAGTGAAGACCTATCACTGAAAACGTTCTCTGAGAATTGACTTATTTAATCATTGCCTAGTTGCACCATATGTATTTGTTGAATAACCTAATGAACAAACATGTTTTGCGTCCTTCTGTAAATCAAGCTTCAGTCTTCTAAAAATCAAGCTTCTATAAATCAAGCTACATGGCTACACTGCACATGTGACCCAACCTCTCCCATCCTCAGTTCTTTCTCCATAGAGCAGGAATAACATGAACTAATGTAGCAAACACAGTATCATGCAGAAATGGCTAACCAGTGATGCACCTAAAACTACAAACTGGGCAGGTCTTTGGAAATTTAGACGATAAATTTTTGATTTAAATATCATTGTATAGGGAGGGTCATGGCATCAATTTTCTGCTCAAACAGTTCATTTCTGTCTAAAAGAAAAATATGCCCCCTTTAGGCACAGAAGACAAAAGCAATTGATTGCAGCACAGCACATTCAAAGAAGAGATGAGGGGCTGAGGGACTTGGCAAATGGGGAAACTTTATCCCCAAGGTAATAAATAGTGTGAATCCTGAAAAAGACAATTTTTAAGATGGTTCCAGAGTGGCTGAAAGCATAAATTCAAAAATAGAGCCAAGCAGCCATTTGCTGACTAGAGGTCACACAAGTACTCTCTGTTCCCAGAAAACCTACATGCTCACATAACTTTGGGACTTTATAGCTATCTGTTCTTGTTCGTGCTGCTTGTATCAATGACTGCTGGAAAATCCCATTTTGCCTCCTGGATCTAACAAATAGACTGTGTGACCAATCAGATTTCAGCAAGCTTAACCAATCAAAACTAAACAAGTTTGCATTCCTCTTTTTCATAGCAGACCAGAGTAGAAAGCAGGGTGGGAACTTTCTCTATAAAAGACAACCTCTGTCTTTGTTTTCTGGGAGTGCATCTTTGTTTCATACCAAAGGCTATACCTTCCTGGTTTGCAAACTGTTTCCTGGCATGATCTCTTTCCTTTTTATTAAAAGAAAATCATTCTCAGTGAATTCGTTAACAACAGTTAGAGACAAACATTTATAATTATTTTTGAAAAGAACAAAAATAACATGGAGCCAGGCACAGTGGATTACATCTATAATCCCAGCACTTTGCGAGGCCAAGGCCAGGAGTTTGAGACCAGCTTGGGCAACATAGCAGCCCCCGTCTCTACAAAAAGAAATTAAAAATTAATCAGCCATGGTGGCAGGTGCCTTTAGTCACAGCTACTCAGGAGGCTAAGGCAGGAGGATCCTTTGAGCCAGAGGCTGCAGTGAGCTATGATTGCACCACCATATGCTAGTCTGGGTGACTGAGTGAGGCCTTGCCTTTAAAAAATAAAATTAAATTAAAAAAAAAACATGGATAGCTGCTTGCATATTTTGACAGTTTTCTATATGGCAACTGCCATGCTAAATTCTTCTCCTAAAATGACCTCATTTTTCATACTCACAACAACATTTAAAGTGATTATTATTTATTTCCCCATTTTGTGGATGAGAAAACTGAAGCTAAGAGAGGTTGAATACTTGTTCAATGTTGCACAGCTAGTATGCTAGTAAGAGTCAAGTTGCTGCTCAGCTGTCCAACTCTAGAGTCCAATGCTCAACCATAGTCTGCACTGTGAAACTTTATGTCATTGGAGTAAGTAAAGTAAGCTAAAAAGATTAAATATTTTCTTCAAATGACCCAAAAAAGTGAAAATAAGTATGCATAGGCTAATTTAGAGTAGGAACAATAAAAATCACATATAAAAGAATCAGGCCATGTGTGGTGGCTCACGCCTGTAATCCCAGCACTTTGGGCGGCTGAGGCGGGTGGATCACTTGAGGTCAAGAGTACGAGACCAGTCTGGCCAACATGGTGAAACCCCGTCTCTACTAAAAATACAAAAATTAGCTGGGTGTGGTGTCCTGTGCCTGTAATCCCAGCTACTCTGGAGGCCGAGGCAAGAGAATCACTTGAACAGGGAAGGCAGAGGTTGTAGTGAGCCGAGATCACACCACTGCACTCCAGCCTGGGAGACAGAGAAAGACTCCATCTAAAAAAAAAAAAAAAAAAAAAAAAAAAGAATCAATAAAACTGAACAAATACCAAAAATGAGGTAGAAAATAATTTTTGTAGCGTTTTCATTTATTCCTTAATGAGGAGCTGTTTGGAAATTGATAACCAGGTATAACCTTGTAATACAATTTGTGTATCTTTGTAGTATGTGACTGTGCAGCACGATCATTTTTTTAAAATAGATACATGAAACCAGATCTGACTGTAGAAGCTTAACAGTTTGAATATTTTGGAGGTGAGTGTATGGACAGTAAAGAAAGGGAATGGGCCATTTCATAGCTTTACATTGCTAAAGACTTTTGGGGGAAGATGACTAAATTTCCTAAGTATTTGCAAGCAGGTTTACCAGGCTACAAAGAGATGAAAAGAGGAAATGGTCCTCTGTTTTGCAGAGCAC
Source organism: Homo sapiens (assembly GCF_000001405.40). Taxonomy (NCBI): domain Eukaryota; kingdom Metazoa; phylum Chordata; class Mammalia; order Primates; family Hominidae; genus Homo; species Homo sapiens. The sequence continues at coordinate 14,517,100 of NC_000002.12, forward strand.
ATTGATGAGTCATTTTGAGAGTTGGAACACTAGATAAGTCTACATTTAAAAAATAAAAAAGAGTGGAACTGAGCTGCAAGCCAGTTCTGAGCTGAAGAGCCTGACATGGCTGGATGCTGATGCTGATGCTGCTGAGGAAATCAGTAGTGGGAAGGAAGGGTTTTCAAGTGGTAAGATGCCAGAAAGACAGGCATCTTGCATATGACACATTAAGGATAGAATAAATGATCTACAGTAAAAGCAACTTTCTTTTTTTTTTTTGAGACAGAGTCTCACTCTGTCACTCAGGCTGGAGTGCAGTGGCGCGATCTTGGCTCACTGCAACCTCCGCCTCCCCAGTTCACGCCATTCTCCTGCCTCAGCCTCCCGAGTAGCTGGGACTACAGGTGCCTGCCACCACGCCTGGCTAATTCTTTGTATTTTCAGTAGAGACGGGGTTTCACTGTTAGCCAGGATGGTCTTGATCTCCTGACCTCATGATCCGCCTGCCTCGGCCTCCCAAAGTGCTGGGATTACAGGCATGAGCCACTACACCCTGCCAGCAACTTTTATTTTCATTCTATTTTAGTATTGTTTACAAGGAATTCTGGCTACTGTATTAATCCTGTAATTGAATTTATATATTCACTTTTGATGGTGCACCTAGTATTTAATTTTACATTGTTCGCACAGCTACTAAATAAAACCCAATCACTGCCCCAAATATTTATTAAGGTCTGTTTTGTACATATAAATGCCTTTAAAAAATTATAGAGCAGGGATTGCATTCCATTTCTGGGTGTGTAAGGGAAGAACAAACAACAGACAAGAGAGTTTAGTCCAAACTGGTCCAACCCACAGCTGTGGACCGCATGTGGCCCAGGGCTGCTTTGAATGCAGCCCAATACAACTTCATAAAGTTTCTCAAAACATTATGAGATTTACGCATGGACCTTTCTTTTAGCTCATCAGCTATCATCAGTGTTAGTCTGTTTATTATTATTATTATTATTATTATTATACTTTAAGTTCTGGGATACATGTGCAAAACGTGCAGGTTTGTTACATAGGTATACATGTGCCTTGGTGGTTTGCTGTATCCATCAACCCAACATCTACATTAGGTATTTCTTCTAATGCTATCCCTCCTCTAGCCCCCGACCCCCTGACAGGCCCCCATGTGTGATGTTCCCCTCCCTGTGTCCATGTGTTCTCATTGTTCAACTCCCACTTATGAGTGAGAACATGCGGTGTTTGGTTTTCTGTTCCTGTGTTAGTCTGCTTTATGTTATGCCCAAGACAGTACTTCTTCTTCCAATGTAGCCCACGGAAGCCAAAAGATTGGATATTACTGCATCAGTGCAAGCAAAAACCTAGTCAATTTTATATTAATCTCAAAGGGCAAAGGATGGAAGCTTAGATATGCCCTCCATTCATTATAATTAAAATAACTAAATTATATGACAAAACTTTATAAGCACCAAGCAATCCCTTTGTCATATTCTTAAAGGCCTAAGCAGAAGGAAACTTCTAGAAATTATTTTAGGCAGATATCTGGAAGGGAACTTACTTAGGACAGTGAATAAGAAAAGCATTTTGAAGTCAGACAGTTGAGGATTGGGAGCTGAGCTCTTCCGCTGGGTAGCCGTGTAACCTGGGGCATGTTATGGAGTTTCTCTAAATGTCAGTTCCTCATTGGGAAAATTAGATTAACAGTACTTCTCTTCCAAGGTGGTCGTGAGTTAAATGACACAGGGATGTGAATTGCTGATTTTAGAAACAAATATATTAAAGGTACTCACCCTAGAGAAGGACAGGAGGGGAAAGTCTAAGAAAAAGATTTGGAAAAAACGGAACGGAACAGAATGTACTCCAAGCTAATTGGTGTGCCCAAGTAACCAACATCCAAAAGGGCTCAAAGGACCTTATGCATGAGTGTTTTGCCCATTCTAAAACATTTTTTTTATTTTTTAGATGGAGTCTCGCTCTGTCACCCAGCCTGGAGTGCAGTGGCACAATCTTGGCTCACTGCAGCCTCCACCTCCTGGGTTCAAGCGATTCTTCTGCCTCAGCCTGCTGAGTAGCTGGGGTTACAGGCACCCGCCACTACGCTCAGCTAATTTTTTGTAAAAGACTGCTTTTTTAAACATTGCTCTTTTACCAACAATACTGAGCTAGACCATCAATTCTTTGAGCTCTAAAGTCATATCTGCTGTTTACCATGAAATATATAACCAGAGTTATTAACTGCCTAGGGAGTATGATTTTCAATTGAATAAAGCTAAAAAACAAATATCTTCAATGGACAATGGTGGCTGATTTTAAAGTCTCTTCCTGAAACTCTAAAAGACCTGAATAGAAAACAATAACAACAACAACAGCAACAGCAAAACATGTATAAGGCGTTTAGAACACCATCAGCCTTACAGAAAAGAAAAAAATATGACGATGGGTTTTGTGGAGGAATTGCCCTTCTTTGTAGAGGACAATGAATGAAAAGACTTTGGGCAGATCAGATAACCTGAGCCAAAGGGAGCGGAACAATACAGCAGTGTGAGGGTTCATTAATGAGCCTGTGGTCTCATTGGCACAGCATCACACATCATAGGGGATATCATGGGTCATGAAATACAGGCACTTGCAGTTCCCACTGGGGTTGCATTTTTCTTGAATTATTTACCACCAGAATTTCCTGACAGTGGGAAAAGACCAGTAGTGTGTGTTTTGTATGGGGGTAGGGGTCCTTGAATTGTAATTAATCTGTCTCTAGGAGATCAATGTATCTGACAGAGCCAGGGTCCATAAATTAGTACAATCAGTGTCTTTATGGCATCATGCAAGTTTCATGGCATGAGAAACCACATTTCCAGAAAGAGCAGTGAGTGGAAAACACTTTGGAATACATTGCCTCTGATTCCTGTAAGGTGACATTTTCTTCAGGCTACATTAGGTCTAATCATTAGGGTGAATACTACCCATTGGGAAAATGCATGTCAGAATCTTAAAGTAGGCAGAAATGTGATGGTTTTTCAACAAAAAGTATGTTCTGTCTCCAAAAACCATACATAGAGAGAACAGTTACGTAAGAAATAATTACAATTTGACTGTATAAGCTCAGTACAATGAGACCTTTCCTAAGGTTCTCTGTCACCTTTGGGATGAGGCCAAACCTCTCAGCAAATGAGGAATGCAGGCCCCTCAGTAAGCTGCCTTCTGCCACCTTTTCTAGCTCAACACTCAGGTTCCCGATTTAGATCTTATGCCCTGGGTTGTGCTGAACTATTTGTATTTCCCAAAACATACCATGTTTTACATTTGGCGCTGCTTCTCTTCCTGTCTTCTCTGCCGGGAATTTTTTTTTTTTTTTTTTTTTTGAGATGGAGTCTTGCTCTGTCATCCAGGCTGGAGTGCAGTGGCGTGATCTCGGCTCTTTGCAAGCTCCGCTTCCCGGGTTCACACCATTCTCCTGCCTCAGCCTCCTGAGTAGCTGGGATTACAGGTACATGCCACCACCCCCCTGCCGGGAATTCTTTCTTCTCTTTCTGTCTGGCAAAGCTCCATCCTTAATGATTCAGTCAGAATATCACCTCCTCTGCACAGTTGCTTACTCCCTCCTATGTGCCACTAGTTTTCTCTTAACTTGCCGTTCTTTTAATCCCCCAGTTCTCAGCACTGCCGCTGTGACTAGGCCATGAGCTCCTTTAAGGCAAAGATAATGTCCTGTTCCTCCCTTTTCTCCAAAGCCAGCCAGAGGGACAAGAACATAGCAGGTGCTCTGACAAAGTGATTTTGATGAAGACAGAGGATGCCATAAATCCCAGCAACTCTCAAAATAACACATATTGTATGAAACGGATATGAATTCCAGAGTAGAAGTAAAAACATAAGGATGATTTTGCCATAAGACAAAATGGCATAAGGCACCATAGAACGGTAATCTTGTCCTATAAGGTTTGAATGGGCCACTATAATTGAGTCACGTGTAAGATATTATATGTAAAGCCAGTTATATGTTGATGAGTAACTTGTTCCTTCTACCTGAAATTTTCTTATTTTTCATGTCCAAATTTCATCCTTAAGTGAAGGCCCAGTTCATTCACCAGCTCTCCGACAGGGTTTTCAATGTTAGCTTCAGGGGTACTTCATTCCATCTTTCTCTGAGTTTATATGGTGCTTTAATTACTTTTCTCTTGTGATATTTATAAGTCTCTCTCTCTTACATTGTGATCTATATATAATTTATTATGAAATTTATGTAAATTATTAAGGCTCATATCTCCCATGAAATTAGAATATACTTCAGGTCTGTTCTAGTTATCAATTGTTGTGTAACAAATAATCTAAAAATAGTTATTTAAAATACAACAACCATTTATCTCTCATGATTTCTAGGGGTCAGAAATTTGAGAATCATCTAGTTGGGCAATTCTGGCTTGGAGTTTCTTCTGTAGTCATAGATGGTTCAGTCTTGGGCATATCTGCATAGATCTGCAGTCTTCTGCAGTCGGCAGATAGTGACTAGAGCCGGAACAGTGGAAGGCAGCTAAGGGCTGACTGGACATCTCTCTTCTCCATGTGTTTGCTCCGCGTGAGTTAGTTTGGGCTTCCGCACAAGATGGCAACCTCAAACTTCTCAAATGGCAGCTCAAGGCCCTCAAAGCAAGTATCCCAAGAAAACCAGAAGTTGCATTACCTTTTATGACCTGGCCTCAGAAGTCAGGGTTGCTGTACAGTCAAGTCAGTTACAAAAGCCTGACCAAGTTCAAGAGGAGAGGGCATAGACTTCATAAAAAGTTCTGGAAGAGCATGTGGGACAGGAAATATTTCTGCTATTGTTTTTGGAATATGGATTTTGTCTTGCGTGTGTTTTTTATCTTTACTCCCAGCATTGGTTCTATGTGCTTGGCCTTGAGCTCAGTAAATATTTTTTGAATGGATAAATTAATGACTGCCGAGTTATAGTAACAACATTGTCTGGTACTAATATTCGAACCACCATACTTCCCTTGATATGGTTTGACTGTGTCCCCACCCAGATTTCATCTTAATTGTAGCTCCCATAATTCCCACATGTCGGGGGAAGGACCCTGGTGGGGGGTAGTTGAAACATGGGGATGGGTCTTTCCCAGGCTGTTCTCATGATAGTGAGTAAGTCTCACAAGATCTGATGGTATTATAAAGGGGAGTTCTCCTATACACACTCTCTAGCCTACCTCCATGTAAGACATGACTTGGCTCTTCCTTTGCCTTCCACCATGATGGTAGGGTCTCCCCAGCCATGTGAAACTGTGAGTCAATTAAACCTCTTTCCTTTATAAACTACCAGCATTGGGTATGTCTTTATTAGCAGCATGAGAACAGACTAATACATTCCTTATCCAGTCCTCAGCTACCGTCAGCTTTTTGTCCAAAAGAGGAATGAACAGAAGATACATTTTTTCTTGACACTAATTATTAGGAAGAATTGAATACATACTATTACTCCTCCCAAACAAATTCAAAGTCAGGACAAGAAAATGTTACCTTTAATTATTCTTGTAATTATTTGAGTAGCCATTCAAAGTATCAGAATATTTTTCCTCTGACTTTTCAAAAAAAAGTATTTTAATTTATGGATCTAGTATCTATCCACTTGAGAGAAGTTTCTAGGCTTTTTAGCAATATTTTATCTAATGTGAGAATTTTTATACCCTAAATATTAACATATGTATGTATGTATGTATGTGTATATATTATGAAATACTAGCCATATGTGTAAATACATACATACATATAGTGTATGTATGTAGGATAATATATATTCATGGATAACACTGTTCATTTTTCTCTTTTAGCAAGGGTGGAGTTCATTGAGTTCAAGAATGTTCTTCACAGCTGTTCTGTGTTTGGAACATATCATCATGCTGTAGTGTGCCTGTGTGTTTGTATTTGTGCATAATTTGGGGCATAAAGAAATATTTTAAAACAAGACATACCTATATGAGCAGAAAATCAGAAGTAGTAAGCTCTTGTGTTATTCGTTTACAATTTCTCTGTTCAAGACTAGTAGTTTGAGTCACTTATTACACTTTACTGTATGTTACACTAAAATTTTGTCTCCTTTTATAAATTACCAGTCTCTTGAGTCCAGGAATGATATTTGCAGCTTTACTGCAATCCAAGCAGATCCAACATGCCAACTAAGTGACCAGCTGACCTAAGGAGTATGAATGAAGGCATCGGTGGCAAAGCCCCACTCGGTGCCTGAAAGCACAAGATTCACACAATCCAGTTGTGGGTTTCTCATGGCTAAAACAGACAGTCTTAACTGACAGTTAACTTTAGGGGAGAAGCTATAAGCAAACACGGTATTATATTGTCTGAGTGTTTATCTCTTATGATAGGTTTTTTTTTCCTGCAGTAGACGTCTTGAAAAAGGTATGTAAAATGTAGGCAGCAAATATTCAAAACTGCACAGCCTGTTCCACAAGATTCCAGTTCTAAGAGTAAGTAAAAGAGAGGCAGGCCGGGCACGGGAGTTCATGCCTATAATCCCAGCACTTTGGGAGGCTGAGGCGGGCAGATCACATGAGGTCAGGAGTTCGAGACCAGCGAGGCCAACATGGTGAAACCCCGTCTCTACTAAAAATACAAAATTAGTCGGGTGTGGTGGTGCGCACCTGTAATCCCAGCTACTCTGGAGGCTAAGGAAGGAGAATCACTAGAACCCGGGAGGCAGAAGTTGCAGTGAGCTGAGATTGTGCCACTGCACTCCAGCCTGCGCAAAAAGAGAGAAACTCCATCAAAAAAAAAAAAAAAAAGAAAGAAAGAAAGGCAAACCCTTTTCTAAACCCATATTCACTTCTTCCCCTCATCTCCATCTCCTAGATTTCACTGTCTAGGATTTTCTCTCATTTTTGCTACACTGATGGGATTTGATTATACCAATTTGTTAAGCCTCAAATTCAGTTTCATTTCCTCCAATGTATCCTTCTTTTTTATGGGATGTGTTGTATAAATAAATGTTGTAGTATAAATAACAAAGTACCAGAATATGTGGGGTTAATTTCAATGAAGTAAATTACTAGTTTAGAGTTCTTGGTCTGAACACTTGGCCTCCCTCATAAAAAATCTGGTTAAGTATATTCCTCCCCTGGATGTGATCAAACAAGAGTGGTCAATGAGTTAGTCATTCAACCACAGAAACTGTACCAGAATCTGCAGGAAGTAAACAAATATTACAAAGCTGATGACCTCAAAGAGATCTGAGTTTTATAGGAGAGAGACAGAGATGATTAAACTGACAATAATACCATTACGTACTGGATACAGCAGGCTCTAAGAGTATAGAATGGACTGCTAGATATATTTAACAAAAATATTTATATTAATTATAATTGACACCTGTCAGTAAGAATGTTTGGATATATGTGGAAAGTCTGAATACACTTGCCGTAGGTTAAATACCTGCAGTAAGAGAAATGCAAAGGTGTGTGAATAGCTCCTTCAACTCACATAGCAGGTTTGTATGCTCTACTCCCCCACACCATTCTTCCAGAGGTGGCGTGCTGTGGATTCTGAAGGGAGAAGTGGAGGGTTATCAGATGACTTGTTGTTTGGGCGATGGAGACAGTAATCACGTCCATGTCACTTTTGGAGAAAGTGAAAGAAGAGCGAGCAATTTACCCTATTTTAATGAAAGCAGATGGAGAGGTCATGGGAACTTGTTTAAGGCATTAGCGAACTGCCTCTTCAAATTAAGGACTTTTGAGAATTGAAAGAGTTCTGAGAAACCCTGATGGCTCACAAGATTGTGTGTTCTTACTCAGTGATCAGCCATCTAAGTCTCCTAAACATTAAACCACAGGAATATGCAAGGGCATGGTTTATTGCTTTAATGAAATGTAGGTAGGCAGATTCAAGGTAAGGTGGTGGAACAATCAGAGACAGTCAGAGTTTCCCATTGAGCTGCCCCCCATTTAATGGAATCACAGGCTTTAATGAATCACAGAGCCATCTGGTAGAAATAAAGTAACAATGTCTGAGAAGATTTTTAAATGTGCACGCATTTGAATAATGTTTCCAAGTTTTGGGAGTCTGTATCTGAAAGTGCAAATATCCTTATATATTGGAATGATTAAGCATCTCCCCTAAAAGTGCAACTTAGTTTTAAAAGAAATTAATCCATCTAAAATCTTGTGAGGTTGTACCAATATAGACATTTTAATCACACAAGACGCTATCAAACAAAGTAAGGTAAAAGAAAGAAGAAAAGGGAAAGGAAGGAAAGAGGAAGGAAGAGGAGAAGGAGGGAGGGTGGGAGCAAGGAAGGAAGGGAGGAAAATGGAAGAAAGGAAGAAATAAAGAAAGAAAACTATGCTTTTGTTTGGACTAGAGAAGCCAGTATTCACCTAGTGAGGGAAATATATTTATCTTGTGGTCCTTTTTAGTAACGTAAAAAAATACAAGATATCTGAGATTTTTATACTAAATAATTGAGTTTTACTTACATGTTTTATGTAAGGTTGGTGATTTGGGACTAACATGAAAAAGATGTTAGACCTGAAATAGCCATTGGCCATCATTGAGTTAAAATTTAGTTTGTTACTGTCGAGTAAAATGAGGTTGATAAAGGAAGCAATTCTCTTTTAGGCTATGCAACAATGGCTTATATAAAAATATACCAGAACTCAGCAATAAAGAAACAAGTCAAGGTCTTATATTATCTAACTCAAATTACATAGCTTTTGGAACCTTGAATTTCCATATAGGTTAGGCATTTTCTATGTCACACATCTAATAATACATACACTAATTTAAATTTAAAAACACATGGTGACTAACAAAGATAGAAAAGAGAAGAGAAATATATACTCAACTGGATTTCTTTACTGAACACAGCAAACCAAAAATTGGTTTAAATTATTCATAAGCAAAAATAATCTTCTATATGAATGACATCAGAATTAAATTCTGGTCTAGTTCAAATGATTATTATCCAATCTTACCATGTGGAAAAACATGTCCTTTAAAAAGAAAAATTTAGCATGAAATTGAGAGTTCTATAGAAAACAATCGTTAACCCTTAAATCTAAAGGTTGAGATCAATAGCATGATTTTATAGTATTTTCACAGAAAAAAAAATCCTCAATCTTAAAATAATTAAACTTATTGAATCAGTTAAAATTTCGCAGAGTTGAAGACTAATCAATAAAAGAAAATGGGTATTCTCAGTTCCTCACCAAGCTTCCTTGATAAGGATACAGAACCCCTGAAGGAGAAGGAGAACATATTATACTTTACAAGGGTATGGGCCTCAGCAGCCAAGGCTTGGGTGGAAGGACGCAGAAACCAGAGGCAAGAGCAGCCCTCCATTGACAGGACAAAAGAAGAGTATGCATAGTACATGCAAACTTTAAGCACACATTCAGGGGATGTTCAAGGGTGATGTCAGGTAGAGCCTGGCAGACACAAGAACCTTAGTGCCAAGAGAGAATGGGCTCAAAGCTGTAAAGAAAAGAGGCTCCAGCTCTGTGAAGTTACCATATTCTTGGGAGAAAGAGCAAACAATAGAGTATGAAATAAAGCCAGACGAAGAATACAAGAACGTAGAGAAATGCAGGAAAGAATAAAGATATTAGAAGGGAAGCTAGGGGAAAGGAATAGTTTCCTCTGTCCCTCAGGTCCAGTGGTAGATGGGGATCTGGATCCAGTGTCTTGCGAGATGAAGTCTGCATGAACTCAGAAGGGTGTTTGGCTCCAGCCAAGCAGCACAGGGACCAGAGTAGAACACTCATCTTAATCAGGATAAGGAAAGGCTTCCCTTGGGAAAAATAAAGTGGAGCTCAAGAATTATAGATATATTTCGAAGAAGAAAAGAGGCTCCAGCTCTGTGAAGTTACCAGATTCTTGAGAGAAAGAGAAAAAAGGGAAGAGAAGATAAAGAAAGTCCGAGAAGGAATACAAGAAAGTGGAGAAAGGCAGGTGTGAAAGAAGATATTAGAGGGGAAGATAGAGGAAAGGACAAATCTCAGATATTCTAGAGTTAAGTGCTCCTGTCACCGCCACTAAAGGATTATGAGACTTCCTGGTTCTATAAGATTCACAGTTCCCACTCCATATGTGAGCCCGGTCCAGTGGAGATACCCAGAATTTGTCATGGGAGACAGAGTCCTTGCTCAGACACCTACTATACAATATGGATACCATCAAATGAATCACCTTATCTCTTTATGCATCAATTTCCTCTTCTGCAAAACTAGAATAAAAATATTTTATCCACACAGGCTTATTGTGAACACTAATACACAATGTGTGTGTATGTGTGCATATGTTTTTTTTTTTCTTTTTGAGACTGAGTCCTGCTCCGTCACCCAGGCTGGAATGCAGTGGCACGATCTCTGCTCACTGCAAATTCTGCCTCCCAGGTTCACGAGATTCTGGTGCCTTAGCCCCCGAGTAGTTGGGATTACAGATGCCCCACCACCACGCCCAGGTAATTTTTGTATTTTTAGTAGAGACAGGGTTTCACCATGTTGGCCAGGCTGTTCTCGAACTTCTGAGCTCAAGTGATCTGCCTGCCTCAACCTCCCGAAGTGTTGGGATTATAGGCGTGAGCCACCACACCTGGCCCACAATACATTTTTAATTTAAAAATTTAAGATAAAATTTAGCACTTGCTGTGTGCTGGGGAATGTGTCAATAAATTTCCCTGAGTTAGTCCATTTAGCTCCCCTCTGCAGCCTTATGAAGTAAATGCTACTTCCTAAAATTTTAATGACTTATATGAAAGTATTCTGTATGCTATGAATTGCTATGCACATGGTCATTATTGTGCTACTTGTACATCTCACGATGGTCACTGATGTTTTCCTTCAGTGTACTTTCTAAAGCCTAGTTACTAGGAGGTGGTTGTGAATGGACAGCCAAGGAACTGGGGTGAATCCTTATGAATTTGGGCCTGGTACTGAGATTCAACACCAATGTAGGTATGAACTTCAATCTGTCCTCCCCCTAAAACTTTCTGCCCATAGAATACATGCAGACCTTCCTGTCAGGGGCATATCTAATATAAGAGTCACCTTATACATCCCAGGAGCCAGGGCTGCTATAGAAGACATTCTCAGATCTTTGTTTTTCTTGGTTAAGTGGTAGAAAGAAAGTAGCCAATGGAAAATCATGGTAATATACACACTTTCCAACTTCTAGCTGCTGTGCATTTAACATTCTGTGTTTTGTGTCTCCAAATATCAACTATTGTGGGATGTTTATAAAATATCAACAAGTAAAAAAGTAAAAAGGAGGATTACTTTTTTTTTCATGCTTGCTTATCTTTAGATGAACAGTTTAAAAATAACTGCTTCATTGATTTGACTTTTTTTTCCAAAGCAGCTTAGAGACAGAGTTATAACCAAGGGGACTTTTTTTTCCCCTCTTCTCTGAGCTGGTAGACCATAAAATTTTAAATCTGTGAAGTTTAGTTGGAATCTGGCCCGTATTCTAGATAAATGGGAAACTGAGTAGGAAAGTGTCTTGCCCCAACATCAATTATCAACAGTCAGACTGGGACTGAGGATCTGAATTTCCAGTATGCATGACACCAGACTACCCCTACTATGAGCTCTTCTAGAGAAGGAATTGATTCTCGGCCTTGGGTGTACAGTAGAACCATCTGGGAACTTTCTAAAATCCCCATGTCCCAGCCACGCCATGTACCAAGTACACCAGAATCTCTGGGGTGGGATCAAGGTGTTACTACTTTTTTTTTTTTTTTTTTTTTTTTGAGACAGAGTCTCGCTCTGTCACCCAGGTTGGAGTGCAGTGGCACCATCTCGGCTCACTGCAATCTCCGCTTCCCGGGTTCACGCCATTCTCCTGCCTCAGCCTCCAGAGTAGCTGGGACTACAGTCACCTGCCACCACATCCAGCTAATTTTTTAAATATATTTTTAGTAGAGACAGGGTTTCTCCGTGTTAGCCAGGATGGTCTTGATCTCCTGACCTCATGATCCGCCCACCTCAGCCTCCTAAAATGCTGGGATTACAGGTGTGAGTCACCGCATCTGGCCTGTTACTATTTCTTATAGCTCTTCAACACACAAGGTTGAGAACCACTATTCTAGAGCCATCCTTCCCCATGCTTACATGAAAATACTGAATTTTTTATTAATGTAAATAATAATGGTTCCATTTATTAAGCGCTTGCTCTGTGCTGGGTAGGTGTTAAGAACTTTCCCTGCTTTAGTCCATTTAGTTGCTCCCTGCAGCCTTATAAGGGAAGTGCTTCTACTATTCCCATTTGATAGCAGAAAAACCTGACGCTTATACAGTCTCCACTCCTTGCTCAAGGTCATCCTCGTGGTCATCCTAGTCTAAAGTGGCAGGGTCCAAGGTGGAATTCAGAGCTCTTATGGCCTAAGCCATATGATATCCCTAATCTGACAGCATCCTGACGCACTAGCAGGCTTCTGCAGCTCAGGCAGGAGTCATCAAAGTTTGCCGAGTGCCTATTTTTTAAGCTCTAACCATGCCCTGATAACAGCTCATCGTATATCAAGACTGCTCACCTTAAGGTGTGAATCTTCCACCAATACATGAGAATGTTGAACTTATAAATGATTCCAGATGTTAACCTATGAGGGAGCATTGGCTCACACATAGAATCCCAAAGGGTGATTTTCAGGGAGATCCCTTCATAATAGAGCCATTAGGAAGGACCCACACTCTACATATAGTTTTGTTTTCTCATTTGCTCCACTTGATTCTGTTGATGACTCAGATGCCAAGACTCCAAGTCATCTTGATCTATCTCCTTCCAGGACTATCTTTGTTTTTTCTTCTTCTTGTTGTTTTGTTTTGTTTTGATGGAGTTTATTTTATTACTTATTTCTTTTTATTATTTTTTTTGAGGCAGAGTTTCACTCCTGTTGCCCAGGCTGGAGTGCAATGGCATGATCTCGGCTGACTGCAACCTCCAGCTCCGGGTTCAAGCGATTCTCCTGCCTCAGCCTTCCAAGTAGCTGGGATTACAGGCATGTGCCACCACGCCCAGCTAATTTTTTTTTTTTTGTATTTTTAGTAGAGACGGGGTTTCACCATGTTGGCCAAGCTAGTCTCAAACTCCTGGCCTCAAGTGATCCACCCACCTTAGCCTCCCAAAGTTCTGGGATTACAGGCATGAGCCACCGTACCTAGTCAGGACTACCTTATGTCCAGCCTTCAGATGTTATTTGCTGCCCCACCCAAAGTTAAACTGAAGGAGGATAGAAAGGATATAAAGTGAGAAATAACTTCCTATCAGAGTTATTTTAGGACTGTTTTTATAAACAGAAGTTCAAGGACAAGTTTTTAGAGGTCTTTTCATTTTCTATCAGACTTTTTAAATTTGTTAACATCAATGCTAAAGATTTAAAAAATTAAAAATAGCATACTCTGAATTGATGGTATGACTGCTTTAGTTCCAAACCCTTTCTCACAGTTCCAGTGTCCAAATTTGTAATTACACTCATAAATGAGTTGTCACCAATCAAATAGTACTACTTTAATTGTTCCAGGCTAATGAGAAAAGAACAGAGACAGATTTAGTTAGCAAATGATGCATTCCTTCCACGTGAACTCCAAATGACATCACTGTGAACTGCAGGGATGACGGTTCTAAGGGAGTATAAAAGTGGTGAGAAAATTGACTTCAGTCCAACAAAGTTGAATAAGCATTTTAAAATTAAAGGAATAATCCATGACACAGCCCAAGTGCAAGCAGAAATTTAGTTTCAGCAAAATGAATTACGCTTGGCAATTTAAATTATTTATGTTTTGTAATTTGTTTGGTTTTAGTTTGTAAATTTGTTTTAACTTCAGAGTGATATGAATTAAAAGTATAAAGAGGCCAGGTGCGGTGGCTCATGCCTGTAATCCCAGCACTTTGGGAGGCCGAGGCAGGCGGATCACCTAAGGACAGGAGTTCGAGACCAGCCTGGCCAACATGATGAAACCTTGTCTCTACTAAAAATACAAAAATTAGCTGGGCATGGTGGTGGGCACCTCTAATCCCAGCTAATCAGGAGGCTGAGGCAGGAGACTAGCTTGAGCCCCTGAGGTGGAGGTTGCAGTGAGCCGAGATCATGCTTGCTGCACTCCAGCCTGGGCTACAGAGTGAGAGTCTGTCTCAAAATAAAAGTAAAAAATAAAAGCACAAAGAGTTTATATCCAATTTTATATTTATGCATATTTAAGTAATATGAGGATAAAGATACTCTAATTCCATATTGGAGGGTCCATGAAAACATTTATTTTTGAAAAATGTACACACAATGGAGTTTGTTCCCGATCAGCATGGGAGCTTGATTCCTATGGTTCTGGGTTAGGTCTCCAGTGGTACTGCGGACTGCCAGAATCAGCTCCCCATGGACCAAAGATGGCAAATACATGACATGCAGGATGATACCAACACATTGCACTTAATATTTTTTTTGAGTTTTTAATTTTTTTCTATTCTCAACTCAAGTTAATGTTTCAATTACATTGAAAATGAGGAAATGAAAAAAAGGATGGGTTTTTAATCAATTGAATTTCCATTTGGGTTTCATTAAAATTGCAATGGATGTTATTATGGAAAAGTGTGTCTCAAAAAATAATGATAATATCAGTTGTTTCTATTCTTGTGATAGTGATAAGGCAACATTAGGTGAGATGCTGGGAAGCACAGTGTTCCCCAATGTTAGGCAACTTAAAACTGTTCAAGTTAAGCGTGGTGGCAAGAAGTATATTAAGATATTCCTTTGCTGAAAAGGCCGGTGTGAGCAGTGCTGTCATCTTTAAAAGTTCTATCGTATTAACTTGTTACAAATACCACTTATAAACTAACCCAAGTAATCTCATCAAGTTTGGATATTATTGGCCAGGCATGGTGACTCACACCTGTAATCTCCGCATTTTGGAAGGCCAAGGCAGGCAGATCACCTGAGGTTAGGAGTTCGAGACCAGCCTGGCCAACATGGTGAGGCCCTATGTCTACTAAAAGTACAAAAATTTGCCAGGTGTGGTGGCACACACGTGTAGTCCCAGCTACTCAGGAGGGTGAGGCAGGAGAATGGCCTGAGATTGCAGTGAGCCGAGATGGTGCCACTGCACTACAGCATGGACGACAGAGAGAGACTCCATCTCAAGAAAAAAAAAAAAAAAGAAAAAGGTTGGATATTATAACTGAATTTTGTATTTAGCATGTCAATGGTTTTTAAATCTTGACTTTTCTGGTGACTTTACCATGAATTCAAATGTCTATTAAATAAGCCTCAATTCAACTTAGTTTGATCTTAAAATAAGACTTAATTATATTAAACTTCAAAACATAATCCAGCTAAATTAAAAAAAAAAAACAAAATTGCACCATCATGGATTACAAGTGAGTTTTATCTAAAAGTTGTATTTTTATAACTGCAGAGAATTATTTGTAAAATGTTTGTAAATGGTATTTTAAATAATCCCAAATCAATAGCTTTAAATAACGCTCACAAGGAGGAACTAGTTTTCAGTATTTGACCATTCTTTTTCTTACTAAAATGTGTTACAATATATTCATTTTGTAATTTTCTCATTCAGATAAACAACACAATTACATTTAACAAGTCATGTTGGAAGTTGTTTTTATGTAAAGATTTTGAAAACAAACAACATATTTTCTTAGATACACTGATTGCTTCCGAATAGAAATATGAGTAAATACTCTTTTACATCATTGAATCATCTTCAAAATTAGTAATTATATGCCGCTGTGGAAATAAATAGTGAACAAGGCACTTTTTAAATATTCATATGCCAGGAAAACTATTTGGTAGTTAGTTGTTAATAAATTAATGCAGAATTTTGAAATATATTCTTTCCATAAAAAATTGTTTATGAAGATTATATAATTAGGTATTTAAGCTAAAACCTGACTGTTGTCCTTGCATCTGATTGTGAGCTTCCTGAGGACAGGACAGGAACAATCTAATTAATCTCCATGTTCCTAGAGGCTAAACTAAAGCCTCCTACAGGGAAGCCTTGTTAACTGAACTGAACTGAATTGAATGAAAGTGAATTTAATGAAATTGAAATGGATTAAATTACAATAAAATGTATGCCTTTAAATTATTGGTGCAAGATTGTGAATCAGCCTTATATAATCACATCACAGGGACACTGTCAAATTTGCCTTCCCTCTGCTAGTAGGCCTACTTCCTTTACTCCTCCTATCAAACATCCTGGTTACCCAGAGACAACTGATACAACAATGAGAAGAGGCTTTGGCTGGATTTAAAAATAAAAACAGAAACAGTGCAGTCAGATGTGCCAAAGTTTCCACTGTGGCTTAGGGATAAGAGCAGAGAACAAAAATCACAAAGACTTGGATTCCAATCCAAGGTCTGTATTTAGGAGTTTTGCAACTTGGGCAAGGCATTGAATCTCCTTAGCTCCAGGTTCTTCTTTCATAAGATGAGGATAACTTACCCTCTGGGTGCTGGCATGGTTAAATTTGGCCATGCATGCAAAGTTGTAAGCCCATAATAGGTTCTCTCTAAAGGTTGGTTCCTGTCTCCCTCCCTGTATCATTCACCAGCCCAAAAGTAAGTCATGCAGATGTGTCGGGCTACCTGGAACTCCAAGGAGGCCAGGACTGTGGCAAGCACTCTGTGGCCCTCAACTCTCTAGACTTTGTTGCCACTGCTGTGATAATCCCTTCTGTGACTTGATATTTGTTCCTTAACTGGAACAACAAAAAAAGAAAGTTCGCTTTCTTCTTGAGGAGTCTTTTGCTAAAGCCATCAACTCAGAAATACAAGTGAAAATGTGAGATGTTTTACGAAGCATACATGTATAACCTGCCTGTTTGGACTCTCATGATTTGCTTTACACGCTACAGCTCAGTGATATTAAAAACAAACAAACAATTATACACTTTGAATTTACCATAGTAAATTTACTGTAGCTTATCTGAACTTCTCACTTTTCAAGGTGGCATAAGATGATAGGAAATAATATTTGTTAATTAAAGCTGTCTTCAACTTTCACATTTAAGAAAGGATCTTTAGGACAGTCAATCAATTCAAAGTTAATTCTCTCCCCTGAATTCCAAGGTGTTCGGTTCAAGAGGGACACAAAGCGGTTGAGTGTCTGACCCTCATGTGGTCTTGGGCTGTTCAAGTCCTGATGGCTCCCATAGCCCATGGCGCCGTCCTAACTCCTCCTGGCCCCTGAATGGTCTACTGGCTTCTACTGCTTGTTCTATGGCTGGACAGCCTCACCACCTGACTCCCCAATATTATTAAACCGCTGACCAGCTCTTCCCTGCTTTCACTGGTGCTATGGACCCACTGAGCCCCTGCCACATCCTCATTTAGGTCCCAGCAGAGAAGGTGAACACAGCAGCCTTGCCCCTCTCCACTCAGGCCAGACCTCTGGCTCTCAACTCAGCATCCTCTGCTCCCCAGTGGGATGGAGCAAGAACTCCTGCAGCAGCCTCATGTCACCCCGGAGCAGAGAGGCAGGGGCACTATCACTGTCCTCTCCCTGGCTGACCACTTTTCTAGCATTTGTGTTTTGCTAAGGGACAGCCTGGGAGGGATCCACCACTCAGAGTCCCATATGGTAAAGTGGGGCGAAAGCCCCTTTGTTTTCACCTTTCTCTTGTAGCTGCCTGAGGTTAGTAATTTTTGTATTCATTGCCCCACGAAGGAGACAGGACTCCAGAATTTCACCTTTTGTCTTAATCTTCCTTTCTCTTTTTCCTTAAAATAAAGGGGTTTTTATTTCTGTTTTCTGTCTAGTAGGGACTTCTACTCCACCATATCTTGCTTCTCCTCCAGTGACCTGGGTTCTCAGCTGTCTACCCCTTCCTTCCCTAGGACATTACCCTTCCTGACTCAATAAAAATGGGGGTTAGTGAGTGAGGTCACATCATCAATATCTAGTAAGAGATGTTGCAAAATATATATTTTTAAATTTAAAACCATTATTCTACACATTCAGTCCTATTTTGTCATAAAATATTTGACAGAATCTGTAGTTAGAGCAATGACCTGGTTTCTGTGGGGTTAAAATCAGCGTAGGGTCCTCGTGTAGACAGAATAGGCAGCAGCAGCAGTCCCAGGGAGCAGGAGTCCCTGGGAGCAGTCCCAGGGCAGGAGAATCACTCCTCCATTAATTCTTCACACCCCAAACAGGCCTGGACACGTGAGTGCTCATTAGTGCATTGCCTTGCCTTGCTTGGCAGGCTGCCCCTCCGGTGCTCGCAGAATCCTCCAACAGGCTGGGCCCTGACCCTACATTGAGGATCCTGTGAAGCAACCTTAAGCCAGAAATCCAGGAGCTCAGCCTAGATGCATGCCTAGAGGCACATTCCATTCTCTGCTTCGGTAACCTGTCTCCCCATTTCTGAGTCTCCAGTTCAGGGCCAGTTCAATTGGATTGCTGTCACTCACAGAGGAGGTGGAAGACAGGGAGAATGAGATTGTGGGCTAAGCAGACACACAGTGCACTGCTCTAATGGGGAGACAGCCATTGTGCTACTTTACACTTGTCTGGTCTTGGCCAAGTTATTCTCCACTCTATGGTTTAGCTTTTCATCTGTAAAATGGATACAATTTATACGATGGTATGAGGAATAAAAGTTAATTAGTATAAAGTACTTAGAACAATGCCTGACTCACAGTGAGCATTCAATAAAGCTGGTTCCATTGTTTTTTCTAGGTTTCTCATACTCCCATACCCATGCCAAATATCCCTGGTGCTGGTACCCTGCCATTCTGGTAGGCTCTCTAGCCATTCTTGTTTTCCAACGTTCTCCCACTTCCTTTGTCAACCCCCATATGCTTCCTTACCTGAGTGCCCCAATATCATCAACTGCATCATCAAACAATGCCTAATTACTACTTCATAGTCTCTAATTACTGCATGGCCCTAGCTTGCCCTG
Organism: Homo sapiens; assembly: GCF_000001405.40. Lineage (NCBI taxonomy): Eukaryota > Metazoa > Chordata > Mammalia > Primates > Hominidae > Homo > Homo sapiens. The sequence goes on from NC_000002.12 coordinate 14,536,003, forward strand.
ATCCTCACATTCAAAAACTTCATCCTGACATTTACATGCTCAGGTGTTGAAGTTAGAGCTTCCTTACAATAGACTGCACTTCTACTTGTTGTAGGCCAAATCCACTGGGCCCTAAGTATGCACATCCCCTCGTCATTCTGAACAAGATCCCCTGGGAGTGGGGATTCAGCAACAGATACTACGTGCCTTCCTGTGAGACCAGGGCATCAGGTAGGAGAACAGACAGTGGAGCTTTGGGGCACAAGACAAGAGCAGCATCAAGAGACAGCAAAGGAAGCTGCCTAACATCAACATAGAAGCAGTTTTACAAAGTTTCACCTCTGGCATGTTTACAGAGCTTTTCATTTTACAAGTACGAGACACTCTCATTTTACCTCCCAGAGACACAAGGAAATGACAGAATGTATTTGAATGATGAGGGCAGTGCTTAGCACAATTTTTCCAGACGAAACCTTTCAAAGCGGCTGATGAGCCCACAAAGGGAGGATGACGGGCAGCGTCCACAGCTACTGGAGCCTTCTGCACTTTTGCACACAAGTCTCACCACTGTGCCCTTGCTGACCACTTTAGTACTCTTAATCCTCCCCACTGATGATTTTTGACCACAGAATTCAGTTCCTGCTTTTCTGCCTGATACTTTCAGTTCAGCAGCCTCCATTCTGGAACCTTCCCAGAGTTGACATTGGCTTTCATAGGACTTCATTTCTACAATACCCCCCTTGACTCCGTACATCACAGCTTGAGATTCTCCTCTTGCTCCCCGTAATGGGGTTTTCATTTACACCTCTGGTGAATGGACCCTAAGGTCACCCCTATAATAGCCACCCCTTGGTGTTCACACCCTTTATCACGCCTGCCTTCCACTGTGTGAGGAAGCTGTGACTTGCTTCTAGCCATCAGAATATGGCCAAGGTGAAGATATTTTGCCAGTGTAATTAAGGTCTCAAATTAGTTGATGTTGAGTTAATACAAAGTGAATGATCCTGAGTCAGCCTGACTTAGGTGAAGACCTTAAAAGAGAGGCCAGGCCCTCTGTGAGGTAAGAGCCTGTCCTTGTCGTCCTTGCTGGTTGAACAATAAGAGTGGCCATTTGGAGGTAACCCAAGTGTCAAGGAACTGTGGGCGGCCTCTAGGATCTGAGGTTGGCCTCCGGCAGGAAAACACTGGGGCCCTTACTCATACAAGGAAGTTCATTCTGCCAGCAACCCCAATGAGCCTGGAAATGATGAGCCCTCAGATGAGAACACACTCTTGCCAAGACCTCGATTGCCACCTTGTAAGAACCAAGTGGAAGATCCAACTGGGTCATGTCTGGACTCCTGACCCACAAGAGCTTTAATATCAACTGACCAATCATACTACACCTACTGAGAAAAACTACAAAAGTATTCCAAATTGAAACAATCAAGCTGATGACCTTGGGTGGGGGGTAAAAATAAAAACACATAATACAAAACAGCAAAATGAAACCAAAATCCAAACCGAATATAGAATGGTCAGGTTGGTAAAATCATATTGAATTTAACTTGAGGTTTGGAACATTGGCTCTTTTGAGTTAGTCCCAGATTCCTTTCCAAAATGCATTACCATATGCAGCCTTTTAAAGAAACAAGTTGGCGTAGCCCTGCACTGACAGGCGGACATTATTTAATTCTAATAGGATACCAGTGGACACTTTAGAAGCCAATTGGATGCATAAGTGCACAAAGAATAAATGGGTACAATCTCATGGAGGTGATCAGTTTAGTCAGCAACTCTACATCCCAGGTGAGGGCAAGAAGGGGAATATTTATAGAAAGACAAAGACAATGGAAAAATATCATCGAAAGGCAGTCTTTGCCTTTGCACACACTGAAATGATATGCATACACATCATAACAACTATAAGTTTCCTTTTGGTTCCCTTACAAAGATGTCTCATATCACAGAAAAGATGCCTGAAAGTAAGAAAATGTATGCTGTTTCATTAGAAACTCTGATTTGAGGGGTTATTGCTTTTTGAAAGTTGGAGCTGAAAATAGTTTAAAGACAAATCCATTTTAGGGATCCCCATCACTGGCCACTCTGACACTCCCCTCCGTGCCTCCAGGACAGATAGTGGGATGTGGCAAGATAGAAGAGAAGAGCTGGACAACAGGTATCTGTCACAGAAGAGTGATGTGTGTACAATGGCCACAGACACAGAACGTGGTGCAGGGTGGAATAGCGTGTTCTCTATTATAATTTTTAAGATGGGACAAGGAAATTGACCTTGAAGGATTTCAAAAGCAATCTCTTCCACTGTTGATCTTGTTTTTAGAATGTCCCTCCCTCTATTTGCTTATTTAATCACTCTCATCCTAGATCTCTCTTCTGGAATAATTTTGAATAATTCTTATGACTGACACATAGCAGCCCTTCCTATATAGGAAGACGGCTGTCATTGTCCCTGAGTGTTCTTGTCTCCTCTTGTGAGGTTAGAGCAGGGAAGAGCAAAGTGGAAACACCATTGCCTGAGATCAGAACCCTGGGATTAGGCTCATTGCTTCTCAAGTTTCTCCCTTGTCCTCATCCTGAGACTGATCCTGGTGCTGACCACTGTCTTAACGCTGCTCTTAGTAGATCAGTCAACACAGAGTAATTCATGAGGGAGGCCCCTGATACTCAAACTATGCTCTGAAGGAACAGAGATGACGTGGGCAGAATTTCTGTTCAGAATTCAAAAGAGAAACTCCGCTTTTATGTGTTTACATCTTTAGCTTCAATGCAAAATTTTATTTGAAGAAAATATTCTCCTATTTAAATAAAAATTGGAGAATAACCACCCTGCTCATTGCAATTTTTCACTTTATTACTGATCTAATTTGTATCAACTTTTTGCAACTTTAACTCAGGACTTTATTTCCAGGAAATCTGCATACCTGAGAAGAAGGTGAAGATTTTGATGTGCTATATATGCAGTATAAAGTAGTCACACCTAAAATTAAGTGACAGAAATCTTAAAATGAAAACCATAAGCAGAGGCAAGGAAAGCAGGGATCATAACATTGGCAATAAAAAATATGTAAGTTTGATTATAAAGAACTACTTGCTAGAACTTCATTCACTAAAACTAAAACATATCTGGTATTTTATTGTCCATGAGATTATTTACATAATATTCTTGAAAAAGCAAAAATTTAGCGAGAGAAATAGAACAGTAGTAGTCCAGAAAAATTTGAGGGATGATAGACTTGTTCTACATCTTGATTATTGTGGTGGATACATGACAATAATGTATTTATAAAACTTTACATTTAAAAAGCAAATGATACTGCATGAAAATTATACTTGGAAGATAATATAATCTTGCATATAAAAAGTATACACTTTTGGCCAGGTGCAGTGGCTCATGCCTGTAATCCCAACACTTTGGGAGGCCAAGGCAGGCAGATCACCTGAGGTCAGGAGTTTGAGACCAGCCTGACGAACATGGTGAAACCCCATCACTACTAAAAATACAAAATTAGCCGGGAGTGGTGGTGCATGCCTATAGTCCCAGCTACTTAGGAGGCTGAGGCAGCAGAATCGCTTGAAGCCAGGAGGCAGAGGTTGCAGTGAGCTAAGATCGCACCATTGCACTCCAGCCTAGTCAACAAGAGCAAAACTCCATCTCTCTCTCTCTAGCTCTCTCTCTCTCTCTCTAGCTCTCTCTCTCTCTCTCTCTCTCTCTCTCTCTATATATATATATATATATATATATAACTTCATCAAAATTAAAAACTTTTGGGGTGCAAATGACACCATCCAGAATTTGAAAAGACACCACAAAATGAGAGAAAATATTTACAAAGTATTTATCTGATAATGGACTCTATCTTGAATACATAAAGAATGCTTACAACTCAATGGTAGTAAGATAAACAACCAAATTAAAAATTGAAAGATTATATTACATAAACATTTCTCTAAGAATACACAAATAGATAATAATCTCATAAAAAGATGATTATCATCACTAGACATTAGGAAAATGGAAACAAAAACCACAATGAGATAATACTTTATAACCACTAGGATGGTTACATTAAAATAAAACAAAACAAGACAGAAAATAACATATGTTGTTGAGAATTTGAAGAAATTGAACCCTTATACATTGCTGGTCAGAATGTAAAATGGTACAGCCGCTACTTTCAAAAACAGTTTGGCAATTCCTCAAAATGCTAAACATAGAGTTTCCATATGACTCAGCAGTTCTACTCTTGGTTATTTACCCAAGTAAATGGAAATATATGTACACACAGAGACTTGTACATGAATATTCATAAAGCATTATTCATATTATCCCAAAAGTGGAAACAACCCAAATGTCCATCAACTGATAAATGAATAAATAAAATGCAGCATATTCATCCAATGAGATATTATTCAACAATAAAAAAGAATAAAATACTGACACAGGCTATGACATGGATAAACCATGAAAATATATGCTAAGTTAAAGTAGCAAGTCACAAAAGACCATATATTGTATGATTCTATTCAGATGAAAGAGTTAGAGTAGGCATAGAGATAGAAAGCAGATTAATGCTTGTCAGGAACTAGTGGAGGGGAGAGTAATAAGAAGTGACTGCTAATGGGCAAAGAGTTTCTTTTTGGAGTGATGAAAATATCCTAACATTAGACTGTGATGATGATTGCACACATCTATGAATAAAGTAAATGATGAATTGTATGGTCTGTAAATTATATAACAATAAAGCTGGTAAACTAATTACACCTCAATAAACCTGTCTCAAAAAAAAGAAAAAAAATTGTAAACGTGCGTACAGTCCAAAGAAAAGAGGACAAAACAGAAAATTTATTTAAAAAGGATATCAATTGGCAATAAAAATAAAAAAGGATGTTCAATTTATCAATTCTCAAAATAATGCAAATTTTTAAAATGAGATATATTTTTCCCCATAAGATTTACAAAAATTAAAGATGGCCAATACCTAGTGTTGATGAAATTACAATTAAATAATATTCCCCTACTTGTGATTTATAAATGTTCAACTGAGACCAATTTTCTAGAGTAAAGTTTGACAATATGCATCAAAATGAGTAATATGCACAACTTATCTAATTTTAAGGCACATGGAACAGAGGTTTTATATTCAGACATTCAAAAAGTGTTATAGCAGAGCACGGAATGGAAGTGACCTGCCACAGAATTCCAGAGGGACTCTGCTGAGCCAGGCATTGACCTTTAGCTCGAGGCTGGGATAGTTTGAGGGGTCCTGGGAAAGAGTCTTGGGTAGCCAAGGAAGCTGAGACCTGAGGCATTTAGTGGTCCCTACTAACCAGTACAAAGTGGTCAATTGTGGACAATTCTGTGTAACGTTTCTACAATAATTTCCCTGGCCTTACTGTGCATACTGATGAAAAGCTGCTCCTATAAAAATACAAGAGCTGAAAATGCATGCAGTGGACTTGACCACAGTGGGTTTGTAAAACCAGAAAACTAAATGCTCATCTAAATGCTCATCATGGTTAAGAAAATCATGGTATATCCATAAAATAGTCTATGGGCATTACATCACTCATTGGGATGGCCATCACCAGTGGATGACCAGAGAGTGATCTCTAAAGACCCCAGGGAAGAGGCCTCTTATGCCAGGGTCAATGGAGGAAAAAGCTGGAATTACAGAGATAAACACAACGCTATTGCCACCTCTTTCCACCAAATATCACTGAGAACTTTTTTTCTGGAATACTTTCCCTACATTTCTAATTTATATCCCTGTACTGCCACACGTACTCTTCTCTCTACTTGTAGCCACCTTTTCTCCTCCTTGAAGCAGATCAGCTGGGCAGCTCCAGCTTTGAAGGCATGCTAACTGAGCCCAAGCCCTTTCTATCATGTAACTAGTATCCCAGTGTTGTGGGAAAGGGAAGGGGGAGGAGTGAGTTTTGTGTAAATATTAAGCAATAATAAAATATGATACATTCAGAAAATTAAGAAAAAACAATTCACAAAAGTGCAATATAAGAGAGGGTTATGGGGGAGGGATATTTAGAGCAAAGATGGTCAGAGGAGAACTATCTGAGGAACTGACATTTATACTTGGGTCATGATGATAAGAGAGCAAGATGTGAAGTTCCAGAGCAAAGAGTCCCTGCAGAAGGAATAATAACTGCACAAAGTTGCAGAGATGGGGAAGTGCTTGGTGCGGTCAAGCAGCAGAATAAAAGCCAGGGCAGCAGAAGTGCAATGAGCCAGGGAGAACTGGCAGGAGAGACAGTGATTATGATTATGGATTGGAAAAAATATAGTGTTTAAATGTTTATACTACTCAAAGCAATATATGGGTTTGATGCAATCTCTATCAAAATTCCAATGTCATTCTTCAGAGAAATATTTTTTTAAAAAAATTAAATATTATTTTTAAAAAACCTAAAATTTGTATGGAGCCAAAAAAGACCCCATGTAGCCAACACAACCTTGAGAAAGAAAAACAAAGTTGGAAGCATCTTTCTTTCTGATCTCAACTTATATTAAAAAGCTATGGTAATCAAAACAGAATGGTACTGAAATCAAAACTGACACAAAGAACAATGGGACAAAATAGAGAGCCCAGAAATAAACCCAAGCACATATGATCAACTGATTTTTGACAAGAGCATCAAGAAGACACAATGGGGAAAATAATCTCTTCAGATTTACTTTTAGAAAAGACTACCGGGCTGCTGGTTAGTGAATTTACTGTAGGGAGGGGTGGGGCAGAGTGGAAGCAAGGAGAACAGTTAAGTGTCACTACAGCAACACAGGTGAAAGAGAATGCTGATGTGCATGAGGAGGGTAGCTGCAGATATTAGGTCATGAGAAAGGTTGAGATTTGGGTATATATTATAAATGATACTGGATTGCTGATGAATTAGATAAAAAGGTGAAAGGAAGAGAAAAATGAAGGCTTTCTCTTAGACATTTGGCTTGAACAACTGAGTGAATATTGATGGCTCTCAATATTGACCTGCTTCCTAAGGAGGAAACAGATTAGGGAATTTGAGAGAATCCAGTAATTATTTTTGGAAACATTAAATTTGGGATACCTATTAATTTTCTAAGTGGAGATGTTCACAAGGCTGTTTGGTAAGTGTGTCTGGAACTCATGGGGGCGGGATAAGAATTGTTTATACAAATGCTAGTGTCATCAGCAGAGAGGTAGTAAAAGTCAGGGGACTAGCTAAGATTGCTTATAGAATGTGGCTAGAAGAGAGATGAGGTTCTCTAATACCAGGAGGAGAATCCAGCAAAGTAGGTAGACCAGGCTTTGGGAAACTTTTTCTATAAAAGGCCAGGCAAAAGATATTTTCAGCTCTAAAGGCCACACTGTCTCTCCTGCTGCTACTCAACTCAGCCATTATATCATGAAAGCATATATGGGTAATCTATAAACAAATGGACATGGCTGTGTTCCAAGAAAAAAACTTATTTACAAAAGCAGCTGCGAGCAGGGTTTGGCCAGCAACTGTGGCTTGCTGCCTCCTGGACAAGGCTGAAAAATAGTAGTGAGGGCAGTTGAAAGAAAACAAATAGGTCATGGTGTCATGGAAACCTGGAGACGGTGCTATCAGATTGAAAGAATAGTTGACCAGGTCACATTGAGTAAAATGAAGCCTGAGAGCGAAAGCTTTCCAGCTTGCACGCATCTGTGTGGTTTACTGAATGCACTATTGTTTTCCATAGGATGCAGGGGCTGGAGGTCCTTCTATCTGGAGGGTCCTCCACCAAAAATTCCCCTGCATCTGATGAATTTCCTTCAGTATCTAATCCCAGAAGCCTCCTGTGATGGACAGAATAACATCCCGCTAAAGATGTCCTTGTCCCAATCCATGGAACCTGTGCATATATCACCTTGCTGATGTGGCTAAAGTAAGGATCTTGTGAGAGGGAGACTATCTTGAATTATCTGGGCAGGCCTAATATAATCACAAGGGTCCTGTTAGAGTTGAATTGTGTCCTCCCAAAATTTTCTGCTGAAATCCAAACCCCCAGTTACCTCAGAATGGAATGTTATTTGGAAATAGAGGGATTGCCGATATAATTTGTTAAGATCAGATCATATTGGAGTAGGATGGACCCCTACTTTAATATGATGGGTATCTGTATAAAAAGGGGAAATTAGCACCCAGACACATACACAAGGAGAACGCCATATGAAGATGAAGGCAGAAAGCATGGTGATGCTTCTTCAAGCCAAGAGTGCCAAAGATTGCAAGAAAACCACCAGAAGAGAGGAAACAGATTCTCCTTCACAGCCGTCAGAAGAAACCAGTCCCTCCAACACCTTCATCTCAGGCTTCTGCCTCCAACTGGGAGACGGTAAATTTCCGTTGTACAAACCACTCCATTTGGGGCTTTGTATCTTGTGAAAGTAGACCCAGAAAACTAGTGCAGATACCAAAATTGAAAGAGAGAAGCAGGAGAGGAAGTGAGAGTCACCCAGTGTGAGAACGACTAAATCTGAACTTTGAAGATGGAGGGAGGGGCCATAAGCCATGGAATGTGGGTGTCTCTAGAAGCTGGAAAAAGGCAAAGAGAAGAATCATCCCCTTAAAGCAGCAGTCACCCACCTTGTCAGCACCAGGGGCCAGTTTCATGGAAGACAATTTTTTCTATGGACTGGGGGCCAGGGGATGGTTTCAGGATGATTCAAGTGCATTCCATGTATTGCACACTTTATTTCTATTATTATTGTGTTGTAATATATAATGAAATAATTATACAACCCACAATAATGTAGAATTAGTGGGAGGCCTAAGCTTGTTTTCCTGAAACTAGATGGTCCCTTCTGGGGGTGATGGGAAACAGTGACAGATCATCAGGCATTAGATTCTCATAAGGAGCTCGCAACCTAGATCCCTCGCATGTGCAGTTCACAATAGGATTTGTGCTCTTATGACAATCTAATGCCACTGCTGATCTGACAGAAGGAGGAGCTCAGGAGGTAATGTGAGTGATGGGAAGCAGCTGTAAATACAGATGAAGCTTTGCTTGCTCCCCTGATGCTTACCTCCTTCTATGCTGCCCTGTTTCTAACAGGTCACAGACCAGTACTGGCCATGGACCAGGGGTTGGGGACCCCTGCCTTAGAGCCTCCAGAAGGGATGCAGCCCTGCTGACACTTGATTTCAGCCCAGGGAGACTCTGACCTACAGCACTACATGATAATAAACGTGTGGTTTTAAGCCACTAAGTTAGTGGTACTTTGTTACAGTAGCCACAGGAAACAAATACATCTCCCCAGCATCAAATTCTTCATATACTTCATACACTTCCCACCACAATGCTAATTCCCATCACTCTCTCAAGAGGGATATGTTGAAGGTAAGTTTAGCTAGTATTCTAATTTCTAACAAACAGTAGGTGGCCAATAAATACATGTAGCATAGTGTCTGTGGAATACACATACTTTTGCCATGCTCTCCACTGCTTTTTCTACCTGGCTATAAGCACACTAAAGTTTTAATTTTCTGGCCCTGAAGCTCATTTTTTTTACATTTCTTAATCAATTTTATTATGTTATGTTTGCCTCCTTTAAAGTGTCCTAGGCCCTTCTGAAATTCAAGAACAAAAGCAAAAGAAGACTTTGAAACCCCAGCAAGAAACGGGACCCATTAGGAAAGTGTCTTTAGAAAAGGTTGTAATGTGAAGTCACTTGAGCTAATTTGCTACAAATCACTCCTTAATACATTGCAGTGGGCAGCTCTGAATGGGCAATTTCACAGAATGAGATGAGCTAAGCTGATCCTTATCCATCTGCAAATCTATTGAGTCTTATAGGTAAAATAACAATAAATTTCCTTGCAGTTTATTGGAAACATCGCAATGATTATAGATCTGTTTATGAAGGCATTTACCCTGTTATTTTAATCTTGGAACTGCAAATATAGCTGTATATGTCATTGTGCTAAATATTTCAAGGTATGAATGAGATTCTACAGAACGCAGAGTTAGTTATGGACCTTCCAGGATGCCCTTGCTTTCAAGCACAGCAGTAGCCTTCCCACTGAGTTAAGCTTGTTCTAATCTATCTCTGTAACAAAAGAACTCCTCATTTTGGACAAAAAAGGGTCTGGTGATAGTTACATTTATGTCAAATTCAACCAGATAAATCCTCACTTGTAACAACAAAAGCTGAATATCCCCTTTGTGTGGCTGCAACTCAACATTTTTGGAAGTTATCGTGTGCGCTGCACTGTTACACTTTATCTCTTTTAATCCTCCCTACAGTTATATGAGTTATACATCCTCCGTAATTTGTAGATGAGGAAACCAAGGTTAAGACTGTCGAAGAGGCTTGTCCAAGGTCATGCAGAAAGGTAATAGCAGAGCTGAAATCTGTACACAAGCCTATGACTTTAGGTTAAATGTTCTTTCCACTGTGCCATTTGCTGCTTATTCAGTGTAAAGCACAGACTCCAAGAGAAATAGGGAATTCACTCTCATACTGAGAAGACGGCAATGTATCAAAAACTTAGGCTTTTGCTTTTGAGATTTGGAAGGGATGTTTGATACAACCTCCCATCTCTTGGTGGATGAGTTACCTTATGGAGGAGGAAACTAGAACTTGTCATAGATTAGTAAGTGGGGAGCTGGAACCAGAATCCAGTTTTCTGTTGCGTCACTTTACCTTCTTGGTAGCATACACAGATGAGTCTGCAAAGATATACAGTAAATGCATCCAGCCAGTACAGAATAGTGAAGAAAACTCAGTACAAAGGTGTGGTTAGAGCTGGCTGGGGTGGATTCAGGAAGGATTCCTGGGAATAGTAGGGTAAGACACAACCCAAAGATGGAAAGAAAGCCACAAGAGTAAAGAATGGCATGTAATTAAGATATTATATAAAATTATCACCAAAATATCATGCAGGCTAGAAATGCACATTAGCTTGGCTTTAGTACAAGGTAATAACAGAAGAATGGCGGGAGTTGGAATTCATGAAAGAGGAGAAGGCAAATGTCAGCTCCAAATTTAAAACTAACCCCAAATCCCCTGCTGTACTTATACATTCTTCCCTTGGAGCCCCTTCTTTTTTACACCACTAGCTTCTGGTGCCAATGCAACCCAACATTTTCCACCTATGGATTGGGGAGGGGTTAGATATAAAAACTTTTGACCAACTCACTCAAAAATAGTGAACACTTAAAATGACTCCCCATTTGGGCTCATTCTAATTTCAGAGATATAATGAGGGGCAGGAAATGATCTATGCAAATGAATTCACCACTAATGGTGACATGCCCATTGTTATTGAGGTGGTTTCTTGGAGCCTCTCAGGTGACAGAGAAAACAGTGTCTGTATAATTCATAGTGAATAAAGGGACAGAAGGACATGGAGATCCGCTAGGAGGCACGGGCTCATGCGTAGTTCAATGATTCCTGTAGTACGCATTGCAGAACCCAGAGCCGGAGGACTGATCTCTAGTCCCAGCTCTGCTAACTTACAGGGGTATTATGGATGGAGCACCTCCCCTTTCCATTTTCTTCCCCACCTAATGAGAATGTAATACATAGCCTTGATGGCCTCTTGCAGCCTAACTATATGATTCTAACACTGTTCCTTCACTCTTCCCTTATTTGTAGTGTTAAACTAATAATAGTACCATGATGATAGCCTCCTTGTAAGAATTAAATAAAATAATGTCTGTATAGGGGGCTTAGATGAGTTTCTAACATACAGTGAGCACCAATGGATGTTAAATTTGCATCATGCGGGCTTTTCAATGCCCCTGATTTTGTCTATGGGGCATGAATCTCAGGCTCAGTATTTTCAAAGTGCACATCTATTTAAATCAATGTAGAGATGTTGGGTAGAACAAGTCCCTTAAAACAAAGTGATCTTATACAGCACCCAACTCCCATCATGCTAATGTCTTTAGGTGGCTCTCCATTGCCCAGAGATAAAGTTTACTCTCCTTGGTTGTCTTATGATCTACTGCCTTTCTTCATGAACAATACTATCCAGATACAGTAGCTGACTCACAGCTCTTGAAACACACCATGCACTGGTACATACGCATATATTTGTATGAGTCTCCTTCTGCATTGGAGGGATTTTCCAAGCCCATCCCCTCTGTCTACTGCAATGTCATTTATCCTTCAAGTCCCAAACTAAAGATCACTTTTTTCCTGAGGCTCTATTACTTTCCTCAGCAAAAAGAAGTTATCCTCTGAACTCACAAGCCACCTTATTTGCATGCATCTTGGTTGACTTGAATCAATGTGTTGGGCAGGTGCTATTTTCCATGGTCATTTTTGTCACTTGACTTCATAAATATTTACTTGCTTATTAATTACTTTTGGCCTCTCTCATGTAAGTTTCCTACGAGCAAGGACTTCGTCTGTTTCATTCTCTGATGTATCCAAATACCTATAGCAATGCTTGGGTCACAGTAGACACTAAATCAATAAAAGTTGAATAAAGATACCAGAATGCTCTAATATTTTTAGCTACAAAAAGTCAATTGTACAGAAAACTTATGCTTCCTAGCTCCACTTACATCCATTTATTTAACACCAGTCTGAACCTAGATGAAATTCATGGCCTACTTGAATACTTTGCATGTTCAAACGCTGACATTTCAACCCCTCAGTCACTCCAAATGCCCCAATTCTAACAGAATCATAGATTTTGCCTCCCCTCTGTATTAATAAGTCACAGCATACACTGCTTCTGGGCCCACTAAAGTTATCAAAAAATTCGGGTCAGCTGCTCAATATTTTTTTTCCCAAAGAGATTGCAAAACTAAAGCAGACAGCACCAGCTGGAAACCTCTCAGAGCATTTCTGCAACCTTTCCAGCTCATTTTTTGAATGGAAGCTGATAGAGATTGACTACCTTATGTGGTAGCAATTCATCATACTTAGAGTCTCTCTTTTGACCATAGGTCTTATAAATTCAAGGAGACCAATAGCATAAATATATTATTCATAAACTAGAGTGAATCCCCACTCACCAACATAACCATTTTGACAATAAATCATAACCTATAAATGGTTTTTCTTCCTTGTATTTTTCCTTATTTGGAGACTTAACGTATTTGGAGACTTAACAAAATACACCTATAAGTAGAACAAAGAGCAGCAGAGAGAATTCTCCAAGCAAGAGCAGAAACTCATAAAAAGAAAGCTGGATTAAATGGATTAAACATGAGGGAACATAATTGAGCTGAGATGATTTTTCTTTTCAGAGTTGCCAAACCACTATAGAATATCTTATTGTAACTTTTAGTTGTAACAAAAAATCCAGTTATTCTATGCCACTGAGCGTATAGACATAAGGTAAATGTCCACTAACTCTCAAACAGTTAGAAAGTAGATCTATTGATTTTAAAAAGTGGCCAAAGAAGTGATATCTAAAGTAGATATCATATATGTAGCATAAAGAAACTACTAGTCTTATATTTAGCAGAACTAAAGTCACATTTTTTCAAGTCTCTTTTTATTAGTAGTAATCACGATACTTTTTCTCATGTGTAAAATGAGAATCACACTATATTATTCCTGTATCACAAGTTATATAGGAGTTAAATTAATGTGCATCGACATTTTTATAAAGTAAAATACAAATATAATAGATAATTAATGTATATTGGTACAATACGGTACCAAATTAATACAGAAAATCTAACTTCATTAGTAACACATTTTGGGAAAGACTAAAAAGAAGCACAGCTAAATAAGAACTGAAGCTATAAGATGGACTAGTTCACTGCTAGAGACAAGGGGGAAAATGTGGATGAGCCCGGGATAGAACTAGCTAATTTTCAAGTTTAGTTTATTTTTGTAACTGGCTTTGGAATTAAGCAGCTGTCATGCAATCCAGATCACTAACTTCCCCAATACCCAGAGTTCATATGCACATTAGAATATCAAATTTAAGTAGCTGGACACTCTGTGTGGGGAAAAACTGGTCTACAGCACAGAAATCCACACATTTGAAGACTTCAGCTGTTGGCATCTGGGCTCAGGTGGAATGAATGGAACTCAATTTTAAGAATCTTTTAGATTTGTGAGATAATCTTTGTCTTGGTATGTCTTGATAGCACTTCCAAGAAGAATGAAGTAAATACAAATTGGAAAGCCCTTCTGAATTGTTGTCTAATTTCTGTCAGTTCTATTAAGTAATTCTCTCAGAAAGGATTATGAATCTATGGAAATACAGAATTAAGTAAAGAAACTATTAATATGGTTTCCAAAGTACTGAAACAAAGAGTTCAAAACACTGAATTGTAAATACATTACTTGCTATTTTATGAAGTTGGGCAGATATTTTAAAATCTCTGGGATTAAATTTCTTCAGCTGTAAAATGGGTGGGTAAAATTAAAATATGCCTCCAGGTATTGCTTACAGCTGATATGACAGTATATGAAAAGAGTTTGAATGCTGAAAAACATCATAAACACTACTTATATTAATAGTCATGGTCAGTGTTGATATAAACAAGCAGCAGGGTAGAGAAGGTAGGTTGCATTCAGAACACCTGATCGATATTTGGGCACTCTTGCCATATTAACAAGAAACCTGTAACTTAGTCACTTAAAATTCCTTGGCCTGAGATGTATCCTCAGCAAAAGCGGAAAACAACCCATGCCTGGCTGATTCACAGGACTGCTGGAAAGCTCACATGCTATCATGTTCAATATCATTTCTGAAAGTGCTTTGTTACTATGAGTTTGTCAGGGTGGTTAATATCCCAATATCTCCCCACAGACACTGCCTTAAGAAGTTGAATTTTCCAGATGTTTTACAGCAAAACATATCCACAGCTTTAAGCGTCCCTCCATGTATTACATATTCCCTCTTCCTCACTCTGTAGAATTAGTTGAAAGCAAGATAAGCCAGAGGTAGACCAGACAGAACACACAGTGCTGTCTGTGTCTTAGTCACAGAGAACATAATAATGTGAAGGAACGTAATTATGTGAAGGAACGTAATTATGTGAAGGAGAGGAGAAGAAGACAGAAAAAAATTTAACAATCTAGGTGCCATGTATCTTGCACAAGGTCAAAAATGAGTGTTGAAGCCAGGATTCAAGCCCAAATCTGTCTCCACAGAGCCCATGCTTTGGAAAAGATTGCGGGCCACCGCTCTGTAATTACCTTATTTTGCAGGTCAGAAAATTGAAGATCAGAGAGAGAAACTGACTTGCCCAAAGTTACATAGCTATGAGTAGCAGAGACTAAAATCCTAACATCCCTGACCCCAGCCAATGCTCCCTCCTCTGTCCCTCTCTAACTGTGGCTAAAGCCCCATTCCAGGCTGAAGGGCACAGAGCTGATAAGATACTCTTCTTACTAGCTGCCTTCCAGCGTTTCACAGTCTAGCAGCCTTCATTTGAAAATGTTTTATGTGTGTACCTAAGGAGGATCTCTTCCAACTATGTCTCTTTTTTATATCATTTTGTTGCTGTTGTTGTTGTTGTTGAGACAGAGTTTTACTCTTGTTGCTCAGGCTGGAGTGCAATGGCTTGATCTCAGTTCACTGCAACCTCCGCCTCCCAGGTTCAAGCAATTCTCCTGCCTCAGCCTTCTGAGTAGCTGGGATTACAGGCATGCACCACCACACCCGGCTAATTTTGTATTTTTAGTAGAGATGGGGTTTCACCATGTTGGTCAGGCTGGTCTCGAACTCTGGACCTCAGGTAATCCGCCTGCCTCTGCCTCCCAAAGTGCTGGGATTACAGGAGTGAACCACCACGCCCAGCCTTTCATATCAGTTTTATACACTTTTTTTTTTTTTTTTGGAGAAGGGAATGGGGGAGTGAGGGCAAAGGTAATGTGACCGAATAACTCCAATCTGAGGTAGAATCTAGGTATTTGTTACTTTTTAAAATTACCATAAGTGGCCAGGAGTGGTGGCTTATGCCTGTAACGCCAACACTCTGAGAGGCCTAGGCAGGAAGATCACTTAAGCCCAGGAGTTCCAGACCAGCCTGGGCAACATAGTAAAATCCTATCTTTACAAAACATTAAAAAATTAGCCAGGCATGGTGGCAGACACCTACAGTCCCAGCCACTCGGGAGGCCGAGGTGGGAGGACTGCTTGAGGCCAGGAATTTGAGATCATACTGGGCAATACAGCAAGACCATGTCTCTACAAAAGATACATTACCTGGGTGTGGTGGCATGTGCCCGTAGTCACAGTTAGGAGGCTGAGGCAGGAGGATCACTTGAGCCTGAAAGGTCAAGGCAGTGATCATGCCACTGCACTCCAGCCTGGGCAAAAGAGCAAGGCATTGTTAAAAAAATAAATAAATTCTGACACGCACTGTCATGGATAATAATCACAAATGTCATTCTTGTGAACACATGTTCCTGCTCCTCCTTAGTTATTTCTCATGAGTTAGTCTTCTCTTCTTAGTAAGACTCTGGATGAGGACTAGATACTATTGTCTTTTGTAGCAGATCAGGAGAAAAGTTACACAGTGTTTCAAGCTGCTTGCCAGGGATCACATGCACTGTGGGCTTGTGACAGAGCCAGAGTTAGGATACTTCTGAGTCGTGACCAGACCTCATTTCACTGCTTCCCACAAAGCCCCCCATGTTTCTTCCCACTCTTTCCCACACAAGTCCAGGTCTATAGTTCCTCAGAGAAAAAGTGGGCATAATGGTAAGAAATAATTTCTTGGTTTCCATACCTATAATAAATAGTTACCTCACTGATCCAAGGTCAGCTCCCAATTCTGTTCCCAAAGATTCAAAGAGATGATCAGTCTGTCAGGGTTGGACCCGCATCTTATCTTTTTTTAATTTACAGTGAAAAATACAACTGTCAAAGAGAACAGCTGTTCATATATTTTGAGCAATTTTTTTTCTTCCCATAAAAGAATTATACAGTAAATCAAAATTTAGTCAGGTGTGTGTGTGTGTGTGTGTGTGTATGAAGAATCAGAAAGAGAGGAGGCAATTGTACAAGTGTCAAATGGCATAAAGGTGTACCTGACTGTTACATGTAGGCCTACGTTAGATAAAGATGAATCACACAAGATGAATCCTTGACCTATTTCCTGGATGATGCTAAGATGGGCCCAGCAAATAAACAAAATTCCTTGAGGTGGAGGAACCTACTAAATAAAAATGAACAATGTCACAGGCATTGGCCCTCCCTGTTTAGAATCCACTGATACCACTCTCCTTCTTAATCACACACGCTGCTCCCCAATCTGCTTCTCCCACCTCTCTTCCCACCTCTTTCTCATCCTCTACTTGACTTCATTAATTCCAACCAAGAGCACTACCCCCTTAAATTAACAAGTAATTTTAGGTCCAACATCTCCTTTTTGATGTATAACATTCCCTCCACAACATACTAATGATATGCAAACTTCAGCTTTGCCTGAGGACACAGTTTTAGGAAAAACCCAATGGGGCCAGGCAGCCAGAGGAGGGGAATCATGCAGTCTTTGACGTGTTATAGCTATTTTATAAATTTTTGTTACATAAAATAATGCTGAGATGAGTTCATTCTGTTTTCTTTCTAGTGAAAAAAGCAGAAATTCTTAAATAAAATATATCTGGAAGTATTTTGTTAGTAAATGACAGATTACCCCTTTGTTTCTAGAGATCTATCAATGTAATTAAAATATGACATAGTTCTACTGTGCACAAGGAAATTAGGTAGCTACAAAGATGGTCTGAATATTTGTGTCTTCCCAAAATTCACTTGTTGACATTGAAATACTAACCCCCAATGTGATGGTATTAGGAGGTGGGCTTTTGGTGGTGGGGAGGTCATGAGGGCTCTGAGGTTAGTGCCCTTATCAATAGAAGCCTAAGAGAGCTTGTTTAGCCTTCCCTTGATGTGAAGCTATAACAAGAAGATGGCTATAGGCTGGGCATGGTGGCTCACACCTGTAATCCCAGCACTTTGGGAGGCCAAGGCAGGTGGATCACTTGAGGCCAGGAATTTGAGACCAGCCTGGCCAACACGGCAAAACCACATGTCTACTAAAAATACAAAAATTAGCTGGGCATGGTGGCACATGCCTGTAATCCCAGCTACTCAGGAGGCTGAGGCATGAGGATCACTGGATCCTGGGGGGCAGAGGTTGCAGTAACCCAACATTGTGCCATTGCACTCCAGCCTGGGCAACAGTGCAAAACCCTGTCTCATAAATAAGTAAATAAATAAATAAATAAATAAAGACTGTTGTCTATGAGCCAAGACGGGGACCCTCACCAGACATCAAATCTACTAGTGCTTTGCTCTTGGACTCACAGCCTCCAGAACAGAATTGAATTTCTGTTTTTGATAACTACCCAGTTCATAATATTTTGCTATAGTAACCCTAACAAACTAAGATTAGATAGATAGATAGATAGATAGATAGATAGATAGATAGATAGATTAAGGGTATTCAAATAAAAGTTTTGCAAGTGATCAAGATGTATGGAAATATAAGTTAATCATTTAAATGCAAGTTTCATTGAAGTATGTAAACTATATAGTTTTTTTTTCTTTTTTCTTTTTTCTTTTTTTTTGAGACGGAATCTCATACTGTCACCCCAGCTGGAGTGCAATGGCATGATCTCAGCTCACTGCAACCTCTGCCTCCAGGGTTCAAGCAATTATCCTGCCTCAGCCTCCTGAGGAGCTGGGATTACAGGCGCCCACCACCACACCTGGCTAATCCTTTGTATTTTCAGTAGAGACGGGGTTTCACTATGTTGGCCAGGCTGGTCTTGAACTCCTGACCTCATGATCCGCTCACCTCAGCCTCCCAAAGTTCTGGGATTACAGGCATGAGCCACCGCATCCAGCCTATAGTTTCTAAATTATATCTCAGAAGCTCTACTCTTGATTTAATGTATTTCTTAAGGAGATTGGTTAATATTTTAACATAAACTATAATTTCCAATTTACTTGCATCTCATATATGAGGACCTCAGTGGAAGTTAATAGAGGGCATAAGTAAATGAATAGGTGTATGAGGAATATGTTGTTCTTCACTGGCCTTTTAGGCAGGCTGTGAAACCGTTTCAATAAAAACACTTACGGCTTGGGAGTGACGGGGCAGCTTCCTGGGCGTGGAAAGACAAACTCTGCTGAGGAGGCAGACATCAGTGCATTTACAGAAAGTCTGGGGAAAAAATAAATAAATAAATAAAACAACTAACACGTATTTAGCCTCTGCTATGTGCCAAATGCCTCACACACATTATCTCTTTTGATCTCAAAACAACTCAATAAGTAGGTAACATGATGTCCCTTTTATAAATGGGACTTACGGTGGCAAAAAAAAAAAAAAATTGCCAGTTAACTTTACAGCAGTTGAATGGCTCATCTAAGATTTGAATCAACTTATCTGCCTGATTCTAAAGTTCATGCTTTTCAATACTATGCTGACTTCTGTTTTCTGCTCTCTGTGTATGGCCCAGGGACTAGGTAGGACCAGAATTACTTGATTTGCGGGAAGATTCCCAAAAGAGGAAAGTCAGAGCTCTTTCTCACACTTCTTATCTGGTTAATCCAGGAATGTAGAAACTGAAGTACTGGCTAAGGATCCTGGTTTATACTCATTCCCTTCTAGGCAGCAAGCTGTCAGCATTTATAATATGATTAGAGATTATAACTGTATTTACAAACCTGGGGTGACCTATCCAGGCAGATCAAAGGCAGCCTTTGTAATTTAATGGTATTCCAAAAGGGAAATGGAGTAGCCCCTAATTAAAGAGAGAAAGTCTAAGCACCCAAAGAGAAACGAACAATAATGAAAACTTTGAAGTTGACATTTTTTTATGCCTGATCTCATTGGTCATAAAAGGGTAAATCACCGCTGGTTGCAAGCCTACTGTGTTTCTAGCACCAATGGTGGGTACTTCATATGTGTGGTCTCATGGATGTACAGGAAGGGGAGCAGGTTGATGACAGCTTGTCTGACTTACCAATGATGATCCTGAGAATCAGAGAGAGAAAGTAAAGTAATGTACCTGTTCTTCTCCTGTGTTCATTGCCTGTTAACATACCAGCTACCTACTCTTCTCTATCCTTTCCTTTGTCATTTCTAA
Organism: Homo sapiens; assembly: GCF_000001405.40. NCBI lineage: Eukaryota > Metazoa > Chordata > Mammalia > Primates > Hominidae > Homo > Homo sapiens. The sequence goes on from NC_000002.12 coordinate 14,556,024, forward strand.
TTCTAGAACTGAATGATAAAATACCAGTTCTCAAAATCTAAAATCTGAGCTTATGTCTCACAAGTCTGTTTTGTTTCAACATGATGAGAATTAGTCTAAAACTGAGAAGCCACCTAGGAGCAGTTGGACACATTTCACAGGCAAGATTCCAGTGTGGAAATCACAGGAGAATGGCTGTCATGAATTTGGGAAGCTATGTACAATACAGAAGAAGCTGTGTTTCCATTCTAGGAGACCTAGGCCAGACATGTGAGTAGGAAGGAAGGGGATTAGCTACTCAAAATAGACAAAATGAAAAAAATAAGAATTGTGCAATATGTAGTGGCTATCAGAAATAAGATATGGAGTGGGGGATTATGGTACTGGGTTAATTTTAGGAATAAAAGGAATTTCCCTGCATTCCCCCGAAATGCCTCTCATCCCCAGATATAATCACAGGTGCTAGACATTGATTCAATAGGGAGAACACACAGATTGTTAAAAACAAAACCGAGCTTCAGTGGCAGAGACCAATATGTCAGTCTGAAATCTGTCTCTCAACTAGTTGTGTGGGTATCTGTGAAACAAGTAGCCTCATTTAGTCTTGGTTTTACCATCTGTGGCAATATTCCCTGAACTGCCTCTTCCATGAGGTTGCTGGGATGCTACAAAGAGAAAATACACAATCACAAATCACCAAAAGAGAAGCAAAATAAATGAGATTGTTTATTTTTACAAGTAGTTTGTCAAGTTCCTCAAATAAAGTCCAATTTTTAAAAGACTTGAACACGTGATGACGTGGTCACACCCAATAAAACAGGGTCAGGAAAGCTGAGAAGGAACCAAGGCTTGAGAACAATGTTTGTGACCTAAGAATAAAGAATTTAAGTTTTGGAATAAGATAAAGAAAAGCAAAGAAAGGATAGGCCGGCTTGGATAGAGAGTATTGTGTTAGGCTGGGCGCAGTGGCTCAAGCCTGTAATCCCAACACTTTGGGAGGCTGAGGCAGGTGGATCACGAGGTCAGTAGTTTGAGACCACCTGATCAACATGGTGAAATCCCATCTCTACTAAAAAATACAAAAATTAGCCAGGCGTGATGGCATGCACCTGTAATCTGAGCTACTCAGGAGGCTGAGGCAGGAGAATCCTGCTTGAACCCGGGAGGCAGAGGTTGCAGTGAGCTGAGATGGCACCACTGCACTCCAGCCTGGGTGACAGAGAAAGACTCCATCTCAAAAAAAAAAAAAAAAAGAGTATTGTGTTAAACATGACTAAGAGAAAAGAGAGCAAGTGAGGGCCTGTACTTGCTCCTCTGGCAGTTAGTTCTTCACCACTAGAATTGTTAAAGAAAAACTACATGTTTACCTATCAGAAATGTTATAAAGGGAATTCCCACATTGTGGAGATGTTAAGGCATATCACTCTTAAGTTTTCCTCTAGTTTCAAGATTTGATCAAAGGCCACAAAATATGGCAGGATCAATTTCAAAATGCATTATTAGTGACCCAGATAGAAATTTAAGATAAAACTCAAGCTCACATTAAATATATAGATGGATTGGTAATGTCTCTCATAATAATGAGAAATGGTCAATTGTATAGTATGTACTGCCACGCAGGAAAAAAAACAAGATATTCAGTCATTAACCTGTTGTAGGATCTTGGGCAAGCTACTTAACCTTATTGGGTCTTACTCCTAGGTTTACTCTGCTCTTAGGATCATGAAATCCTTCTCTTGGCTTGAGTTTATTTAAGATAGGGAATCCAGTCTCCTCATCTCTTAGCAGAGGGGGTTGGACTTCTTATCATTCTCTCTAAGGATACAATATATCTGACAACCTAAAATCCTATATTTCACAAAGGAGAGTTGTCCAGAAAATAGAACTGTTCCTTTGAAAGAAAATATTTTTCTCTGTGTTGAAGAAAGGTCACCTTACATTTGGGGCAACAAAAAGGTTATCAAATCTTTCTTTGAAAACAACAAGGAATTAGTTATGGAGTAAAAAAACTGAACTAAAAAGATAATCATTTACAGCTTTATTGCCTCATGGCAAAAGCAGTTCATGTTACCTTTAACGTTGTCTTCAAAATTACAAGACTCTAAATTATAGGGCGTGTTGTAACCATAACCACCTACAAATATTACAAGATTACTTTCTTAACCATTGCCCTTCATTCTAAGTTCCCCACCCACATTTACCTCAAAGTCTGACCTCTCTCTTTCATGTTCATTCCTTTCTTTCCAAAATGCCTTTTCATAAAAGTCTGAATCTATAATTTGTATTTTATTAAATCTACCTATATCACTTCTACTTCATCATGAGATGGACACTTTTTTTGATGCAAATCCCCCAAAATATGATTACATCTTTTTACACGGTCTTAGTGGAAATGGCCATTGATAGTCCCAAGTCCTTATTGTCTAGACCTGGAGTGACAACTCCTAGGCTTTCTCTGCTCTTAAGATCATGAAATCCTTCTCTTGGCTTGAGTTTATTTCAGATAGGGAATCCAGTGCAAGGGCAGAGCTCGACAGGACACTGAGTATAGCTAAGCAGGAAGTAAAGATCTATTGCTTAATTTCTTTATGGTGATAAAGGAGAATCAACAGAAGAGAGGGTAAAAAAGGAAGAAAGCTAGCTCTTGTTGAACACTTACTATATTCTAGGCACAGTGTTAAGCACATTAGTCATTGTCCCACTGAATCAGCATAATATCCCAGCAACTACTATGTCTAAACATGGGGTTAGGCACTTGAAGTCTTTATCCTTTGACGACTCATGATGCCCATTTCAATGGAGTGAAAACATGTAAGCCATTCTCTGATACCACACAGCTGATAACTGGCTAAAACAAGACTCACACTCATCTTTCACCCTCATGTCCAATTCTCTTTTCTTTCTATCCTAGCTGCCACCTGGTATGTAAGAGTTTTATGGTTGTAAAGGCAAATAAAATGTTTTATGGTTGCCCAATGGAGGATTTGATAAATTCTCCACCCCAAATTTTCTCTCACAGAGACTGATGATGATATACATGTACAAAGATGGTACAAAAACATTTATAACTCACATCATAGAACTTTCTGGGGGGAGCATGACCAGGCACCCAAGCTGCTGGGGAATCACTCTAGTGAAGGGATGGGCAAGTGGCTTTGGCTGTTATCATGGCTAGGGACTGGGGCCAGGGTGAAGGGCCCTATACCTCAGACCAGGGATTCCATGGTTAGAACTTCCTTCTGGTGCAAATGGAGGGTACACCTAGGCTTTCTAATCAGCTTACTCAGACATGGAGCAAGAGGGAAGGCAGAGAGATAGAGCATGAACACTGTGAGTGGTCACACATAAAAAAATGGAGTCACGGCCGGGTGCGGTGGCTCACACCTGTAATTCCAGCACTTAAGGAGGCGAGGAGGGCAGATCACGAGGCCCGGAGATCGAGACCATCCTGGCTAACATGGTGAAACACTGTCTCTACTAAAAATACAACAAAAATTAGCCAGGCATGGTGGCGGGCACCTGTAGTCCCAGCTACTGGGGAGGCTGAGGCAGGAGAATGGCGTGAACCCGGGAGGCGGAGCTTGTAGTGAGCCAAGATCGTGCCACTGCACTCCAGCCTGGGTGACAGAGAAAGACTCAGTCTCAAAAAAAAAAAAAAAAAGAAAAGAAAGAAAAAAGAAAAAATTGAGTCACATATCTATGCTGTATAATGACCCAGTCAGGGTAGTTAATGTATTCATCACTTCATGCATTGATTACTTTTTTGTGGTGAGAACTTTCAAAAGCCTCTTTTCTAGGTACTTTGTAATGCACAGTATTTGTTAACCATAATACAACATAGATACGTGTTAAAACATGAAATTGTACCTCAAAAATACGTACAATTACAATGTGTCATTTAAATGTGTCCCTGGTCTGTGGCATAGGGCCCTTCACCCTGGCCCCAGTCCCTAGCCATAATAACACCCAGAGCCACTTGCTCGTCCCTTCACTAGGATGATTCCCCAGCACCATGGGTGCCTGGCCATTCCCCCCCCTAGAAAGTTCCATAATGTGAGTTATACATCTTTTCATACCATCTTTGTACATGTGTATCATCATCAGTCTCCATGAGAGGAAATTTAGGGTGGAGAGTTTATTAGAAAGAATAAATAATAAATAAATAATTTTTTAAATAAATAAAGCCTAGCATATTAATTATTACAAAGATTAGATAAACAAGATAAAGTTATCCAGTATAACGACCTTTTGTGTATGTCAAAACATAAAGAACATATTTAAATATTCAAAGAATTAGCTCTAAATGTACACTTCTAATATATGGCCATAACAAAGCTCCTTTAGAATCATATATTTTAAAAATGGAGTTGCCCTCTTTGCTACAATAAATGAGCTGAATAGGTAGAAGGCGATGTGCTCTGAGTCAAGATTTAGAAACGTCACTCAGACAATGACATTTGCCTTAGAACATTCTTTCCCTTATACCCAAGCCCGAGAGAGAGAGTCAGGAAGCTCTGCCTGGTGATAACCTCAAAAGAACAGCACCTGTTTCTTTCTCTGTGCCTAATGAAGGCTACGCAGATGAAAGCACAACACTCAGTTGTAAACAATAATCAACCCCAGTCCATCAGAAGCCAAATTATATGTTTGTGTGGATGGAAAGGGCTGAAAATTCCCACCTGCTAGTGGCTGGGTAAAACATGCTCCAGTCCAGTGTTCATGAGAACATCTCAAGAGCTAGCTTCAAACTAAACACTTCACTAATATTTATTGTGACTACAGTGTATGCCAAGTATTTTAGATGCATTCTTTTCAATCCACCCCCATAACCAGCATGCATGGCAGTTGTTCAAATCAAATGTGTTATAGTATAGTGAAGCTCAGATGGGGCTGCAGCAGTGTACAACTCCAGAGGGAGTTGTTTTCATCGTCATCTATGTGGGTGGCATCTACTGAGGCTGTACGGTGAATGGCCTGTAGAGCTGTGCTGGGGGCCCTGCTCAGAAGTGTGAAGTAACTTGCTCTAGATAACACACCTAGGAAATGGCCGTTCTGTAATTTGAACCCAAGCCTTTAGAATGACAAAGTTCATATGTGAGTTCTTCTGTAAGATATGGGAAACTGATTTTTAAAATGGCTGAAAGGAAGTTAGGGGTGGCAGTGGTAATATATTTTTGTAATTGCTTTTCCTTAAGGTCTGTCTTCAGGGCTTTCAAGAAGAAAATTAGCATTCAGTCTGGGACTCCCAAGGGTGGCAGTTGGCAAGCAGTAAATACAAGCCTATGAATGTTAAGCAGGACATCGACTAGGCATTTCAGTGCAGTATTGGCCTCTTATGTTTGGAATTCCTAAGTTCTGGGTTCAGGAGTTATTTTTGGTGAGGAATCAGGAGGATGATGAGGCTCAGGAAAGAATTAGAAAAGCTCTTGAATACTCACCTGTTTAGGAACACTGATCACACTTGCAGGAAAAGAGAGTTATAAAGAGCATTCTAAAGTTTATTTGGATCAGTAGCCCATAAGAACGTAGACAAAGTCAATCAAACAATGCTAGACTCTGGGGAGCCCCTTCTCTGTGTGTGGAGGCAGTATTACACACAGTTGAGGGTGTGCATTGAGCTGAGTGCTTTGAGGCATAACTTGGAGAGTGAGACCAGGACAAAGCCCCTGAGGAGTTGACAACCTAACGAAGAATATGGCACTGAATACCAGGTCCGGAAGTTAAGAAAAATGGCCCCGAGAAGATGGCATATGCACTGAGCCTTTAGTCATTACTGTGAGTTAAGCTTACAATGGTAAATGAGACTGATTAGGGCCCTGCTTTCAGTGTGCTAAACTTAAGCATATAAATAAACTAAAAAGAAAGAAGCCAATACTGAATACAATTAAGCAACGGGATTAAGCAATGGGATAGTGACTAGGGAGGGATGGCAATCAGATGATGAGCTGAGGGCAGCCCTCACTGAATAAGGGACATTGGAACTAAGACCTGAATGACAAGAAATTGTCAGCAAAGAAAAGATCAGGAGCCTAAAATTTAGGCAGAAGGAGCAGCAAATACTAAGAACCAGGCAGAGAAATGAGCTTGGGTTTTGGAGAAACATAAAGAAATCCACAGTAACTGGTGACACTACATGATGTCAAGGAAGAACCAGCTCAGATAGGGCTGTTTGGGGCCAAATTAGGAGTTTGGATTTTATCTTAAATGCAGCGAGAGTTCCCTGGAAGGTTTTCCACCAGGAAGTGATGTGATCTGATTTGTGTTTTTAAAATATCAATCTGGCTACTGCATAGAAAACGGTATGTGCAGGGTGAGTGAGAGAGGAGACTAGAGTTAATTTAAGGACTACTGGAGTCATTCAGGAGAAAAATGAAGGAGATTAAATAGAGCACACTGGATTGGGAGAGAAGTGGAAAGACTTGGGATGTATTTTGATCGTAGAGAGAACTTACTGATGGATTGGCTGTAGATGGTGAAAGAAAAAGAAAATGTGAAAAACAAAAAAGACCCTAGGTCTTTGTACTGAGCAATTTGAATAAATGGCTTGCCTCTGACCTAGAAGAAGTAGCTCAGAGAGGAGAACAAAAAATTCTCTGTTAACCATGATAAGTGTAGACTGTAAATTAAGCATTCAAGCAGCATTATCCAACAGGCAGTTGGATATTTGATTTCAGAGCTAAATGGGGAGACTAAGACTAGGGCCATAAATGTGGAAGCCATTAGTGGGATTAAAGGAGATCTTCTAGGGAAAGTAACTAAAGAACCAAAATTAGCAAGCCTAGGGACTTCCAAAATTAGAGACATCTGAAATAAAAAAAGCCACACAAAGACTGAGCCCTTACACATGAGGAGAACTTGAGATGGCAAAGGCATTTCATTCCTTCATTTAACAAATATCTCCGCCTAATATATGTCAGTCTTCTTGCTCTGTATTAAGAGTGATATGATGGGCCGGGAGCAGTGGCTCACACCTGTAATCCCAGCACTTTGGGAGGTGGAGACAGGCTGATCATGAGGTTAGGAGTTTAACACCAGCCTGGCCAACACAGTGAAACCCCATCTCTAGTAAAAATACAAACATTAGCCGGGCGTGGTGGTGGGTGCCTGTAGTCCCAGCTACTTGAGAGGCTGAGGCAAGAGAACTGCTTGAACCTGGGAGGCAGAGGTTGCAGTGAGCTGGGATCGCACCACTGCATTCAAGGGTGGATGACACAGAGAGACTCTGTCTCAAAAAAAAAAAAAAAAAAGAAAAAGATTGATATGATGAAGAAGATACACATGATCCTTACAACTGATGACCATTACATGAGAGTGTGGTAGAGAGAGCAGGAGAATCATGTTACATGTTCATATCATAAGGGGTGAAGGTGGTCAGGAAAGGATTCCCAGGTTCTATCTGATGTGGCCCATGAAGGGAGAGCAGGAGGCAAACAGATGAAAGAGTCAAGGGTGGTTTATTCTAGGCAAAGCTAGCTAGAAGTTAGTTTGGATTATATAATAAGTCGGAGCACAGAGTGCAGGGTTTATTTAGAGATAAACCTGGAGAGGTGAGAGGTAAAAGGTACCAGACCCAAGCCATGTTAAGGGGAGGACTTTAACCTAAGGGTAATTGGAAGCATTTGGAGATCAATGGGAAACTTTGAAGGGTTTTAATCAGAACAGATACATGTCTAAAAAAGTCACTACTGCAAAGAGAAGAGCCTACTGGGACAAAACAAAGCAGGAAGACTAGTTAGACTATTGCAGGTGATGGTTGGGAGATGGCCCAGGCTGTGGAAGTAGCAGAGAGGCTAGAGAAAAGTGGATTTATTCAAGTTTTATAGAATAGAGGTTCAAACAGATGTTTGGGTTATAAAATTGTAAAAGTTAAGGAAAGTTAGAAGTTAGGCAGGATGCCTAGGTTCATGCTTCAAATAACCAGATGAATGTCATTTCCATTCACTGAGCTAAGAAAGGTGTCTCTGGAGTCAGAATGCTGGTTCAAGTTTCATCTACCCCTCTTTCTGGCTTTGTGACCTGGAGAGGGTTATTTAGTGCTTGAACAGGTCATATAATCTTCTGAAACCTAAATTTTTTATGTGGAAAATATGAATAATGAGTACATTTAAATGGTTACTCAGATGATGAAATGAAATGATACTTACAAAACACATTGAATGTGTGTTAAGCACGGGGTGGCAGATAGCCTAATAGCCCCCAAAGATGTCCTAATCCCCGGAACCTGTGAATATGTTATCTTACACGGCAAAGGGAAATTAAGATTGCTAACCAAATAACCTTCTGTTGGTGAGAGTAGCCTGGCTTATCCAGGTGGTTCCAATGTAATCACCAGGGTCCTTATATGTAGAAGAGGAAGGCAGAAGAGAGAGCAATGAGACAGCAGCCTGCAAAGGACTTGTTCCCATGTCGCTGGCTTTGAATATGAAAGAAGAGGCCCTGGATCCAAGGAATGGGGGCGGCTTCTAAAAGCTGGAAGTGATAAGGAAACAGATTCTCTCCTAGAGCCTCCAGAAAGGAACAGGGTCCTATCCAAACCTTGATTTTAGTCCATTGAGACCCATGTCAGACTTCTGACCTACAGAACTGTAAGATCATTTGCATTATATTAAGCCACCAAGTGTGGGGAAATTTGTCACAGCTGCAACAGAAAACTAGCCCACACTACAATCGATGCTGGCTGTTAGGAAAATTACTATAGAAGTCTCAAGAAGAAGAAACAGGAGGGAGGGGAAAGGAGGGAAATTGAAAGAAGAGAACTTCTTGTTGAAAGTGAGTGCTTCCTATTAGGAAGGGATGAGAAAGTGCAGGGTGTGTTTAGGAAGCAGCAAATGATAGCACATGCCTTGATCATAAAGTTGATTATAAAGCTGAAAAATTAAAGTGAAGGGCTTTTAGTGCCAAGCTGAGATGCTTGGGTGTAATTGTACACTCAGTGCTGAATGATGTTTCAGGTAATCTGTGCCCATTGCAGTTTCCAAGTGTTCTTTCGTCTAATCCACCTTCTTTCCTTTAAGATATGAATCCTTCCAGCAATAGTTGCCTTTTCAAAGAGAACTTAGGAAGTCAAAAATATAATTTCTGGAGAGAAATTTTTGAGGAGTTAAGACATCAGGAATGGGGAGCACTAAAGCCATTTCATGTACATGGGGGTACTTCTCAAGTTATCTTACAACAGCAGAGCAATGAGGAAGGAATTTTTGAGGAAGGTGGACATGACAAAGAATGTATAGAGTCTCTGTAGCTCATTGGCAAGAATTGACTCTATCACGGCTCTATTAAAAACAAATGATTTTCGCTTGAACCCAGGAGGCAGAGGTTGCAGTGAGCCAAGATCACGTCATTGCACTCCAGCAGGCTGGGCAACAAGAGTGAAACTCCGTCAAAAAAAAACAAAAACAAAAACAAAAAACAACAACAACACAGATTATTTCCTTGGACAAGTCACTTCTCTTCTCAATGTCATCTGTGAAATGGGAATTGCAATTCTGGTCTTCTGGTCTAGCTTTCTGAAGAGATTGCTGAGATCAAAGGAGTTAACATAACTGCAAGAACTTTGTAAGCAGAAAGGCACAATACATCTGCCATCAGTGCTCATTAGTCCTCAGGCTCCCAACAGCATTGAGAGTGAATATGTCAGTCCTCCTGAGGCCGCAGAGCTGTCAGATTGCAGGTTTGATCATATATACACATAGCATACATCCTTCTCTTCATTTCTGTCTCTTATTGTCTTCCTCTTTTTCATATTCCTCTTCTAATCAACTGAACACTTTGATCACTATTTTGCCTTCTTGTTAAACAGATCTCTGAAATTCATTTATTTGCAAACTGGTTTTACAAGTCAAATTGCTCATGCATAATGTTCAAGCATGTCAGAGAAAGCCTGGGGGTGGCATTCACCTGGGAAGAATCAACAGGCAGCAAGGCTGGCTGTTCTTTGAAACCAGGGCATTTTACTGGGATAAATATCATTTTGGATTTATTCTCTATTTCAAGAAGAGGAAGGAGAAAAGCATAAAAGTTTTAAGAGGTAATTTCATTGGTTAAACATCAATAATAATTTCCTAATTAATCCAGATGATGATTGTTACTAAAATTATATGTTCAAAGTAAGTTTCAAGGGTTTGATTTTTGTTGAGTATATCTTCCCTTTCCATGGCCTCCTTTTCAGGCTTGAATTGGCTATTTGTAAGCAATAAAATTACACACTGCTTCTACCATGAAATGACCTCTGTCTTGTATAAATGAGGAGGTCTCCTTTCAAACTGTGCCCCCTCTCTTTTCCAATCTGGAGCCCTGGGCAGATGGCATGTTGGCTCACTCCCAGAAGGATCAAGCAGGTGAATTGGAAAAGAAGGAAAAGTGAGAAAGCCAAAGCTGGACACAGAATCTGCTCACTTGTGTGGGACACACACTGGGTAGGTTGATCCACTGCAGAGATGGATTCTGGAAGCACATCTAGGCAGGGAAATGGCCATCACCAAAGAATGGATGGAGGCATGTAGGGAGCTCAACTGTAATACAGGTATCTGCACCTGACACTGGACTACTTAGATGGGTGGAACTCAGCCCCAAGGATCCAAAACGAAGGGCCTGCCCCCCAGCAGGGCCAGCCACGGTTGGTAGTTCCCCCATTTTGGTCCATTCTTACCCACGGAGCATATCCTTCTAGCCACCGTCAGATGCTTCCAACCAACCCAAGCTCTACTAGAAGTTGCTCTGGAAGATGAACTGTTTATGTAGTTATCATATAGTTTAATTTTCTCACTTTACTACATTCCAGAGAGCTGTGCCAGTGAGTGGCAGAGTCAAGGACCCCTGATTTGCAGAATACAGCCCACCTGAGCCGAGTTGCTGTGTCAGCTCTTGCTGGAGCTTGGCTTTCTAAGCATTATCTTACCATGTGAAAAGCACGGTTTTATATCCCAGAATAGGAAATTTGAGCCTATTGGAGGTAAAAAAAAAAAAAAAAAAAAAAAAAAGCCTTCTGAGGTCTCCCTAAAACAGCCTCCATCACCACCAAAGACAATTCCCATGCATAGTTAAGTGAATCAATACAAATGGAGCAGGTTACTAGAAAGGTTTTCAAAATTACATTTTAAAGCCAGGAAATGGTCATTTCTCTGCAGTCAGAATCTTAGAGGAAATCCTGAGAGGGCTCTTTTGCTAAATTGGTATGTGGTTTGCATCCCAGGTCTCTCTTTCATCTGTCACTCAGGATTCAGTCATCGTGCCATGGGTCCAGCTGGGTGGGGAACTCAGTCTCAGAGCTCAGGAACTAGGCTTGTTAGCGAAAAACTCAATGTCTCAAGAAATTTTTTTTTTAGACATTTGCTTCTGCTTTCCTTGTTCTCTTACGACAAAGTGGCTCTCTCTCAGCCTCCAGCTACAGCCCTAGTCTGCTCCTGTCCCAAGTAAAGGCACAATATCGGGATAGATTAAGTGATTAAATAAACAAATATGTTAACCAATTTCATCACCATATCTTGGGTCAGGCTGTCTTCTCTACCAGGAAATCTTTCCCAACTCATTACCCATTCCTTCACCACTCTGCTGAAAAATTCATCCTTAATAGGTAAATCAGTAATGAAGTCTCTCTTGCCCTTACTGCTTGAATAACTTTGGAAGGCTTCCTTAGTGCTCCTACCATAGCTCATACAGTATTGCTTTCTGATAGTTTCTTGGCCTGTCTATATTGACATTGAGCCATGAGTTTCTTTCACACAGGGTTAGGGTCTGACTCGCCATAGTACAGGGCCTGCCAGGGTCAGCCCTTCAGAAATGTTTGTTGAGTTCATAGTAAATGAATGAGTGAATGACTCAAGCTCTGAATGCCCCTACAGCAGCTAAGGCTGGCTATCAGTACAAAGAAAACAATGGATCCTATTGGCTTCAGAAATAGTTTAGAGAAATGGGCTCCTGGCCACACTTCCAAAACTGTCTCAACATACACACACACACACACACACACACACACACAGAGAGAGAGAGAGAGAGAAATACACAAACTCATTCCTCAGAGCATATTTTAAAATCTGCACAGCACAGCTGTAGGTTAGAAGATATTAGAAATCCAGCCTGAGACCATTCTAGATAGTCAAAGAAGCCGTGAATCAAGGAAGTTACATAGTTTGAGGAAAGTCATGCAGCTGGCATTAGAATTAACATGTATTTAAGACAAAGAAACACTTAATACAGATTTTACACATTCTGTACAACCAAAATATCAGTGCCATCATATGAAACAAATAGGCCAAGTGAAAAATAAATAAATTATTGGTTTTTACATTTGAAATGCCATTAGAGTCCAAAATATCATACACAAAAACAACATCCCTGCCATGGGACACAAAGTAAACATCAACACCTAAAGTTGTGTAACAGAGAGGCCTTGGATACATTTAAGCGAAAAGTAGGAAAACTGCTCATTGAGTCCTGGATTTGTCTTACAGAAACGGGAGATCTGAGATTTGAACCCTGGAATTCCAACTGTCCAGTCTAGTGTTATTTTTATGTGAAATCAACTTACCCAAGGACAAGTAATTCCATAAACAGAAGAAAACACTTTCATTCTCAACAACATATGCTTGACTAATATCTGATTTCTGTTTAGAATAAATTTAGGTACACAGGTAAGGAAACACACTGTGATGCAAACACCACAGGACATTGAACCTGCAGACACAAATTCTAATACTCTCTCTAAGTAGCCATGTGAAGTTTGAATAAGTCTTTTCTTGATCATGCAAACTTGAGTATTAGTTTCCTCTTTTATAAAATGGAAACCTTCATACCTTTCAGTTGTGATATCAGGTTACAGATCTACAAACTCTTATCCAAATACATTTTGCTATAGTAATCATCATTATTACTATTTTGAAGAAGCCAAAAAAGGAAGAAGGGGGAAGAGAAGAATGAAAAATCCAGCGATGGAGATACCACTAGTTTCTACAGATGGCAGGACCTAGGGAGCAGGGAGAGGGGTCCAAAAAGAGGGGCCAGTGGACAGTTAAGGAAAGAGTCACAGACATGGCAGTCGGGGCTCAGGACTGAATCGCTTCCAACACACAGGATATGTGGACCGGTGGGATAGGAACTCCTTCAATAGTCTGGTCTCTTCATTATCTCTGTGTCTGATTAGAGGGAAAAATAATCTTTTTCCTTAGCCTAGGGAAAGACAAGAAGCACTGGAAGCTCCTCTATTGACATGAACCCAGAGTATAGAGAGAGTTTAGTTGTCCAAACTGAAATTGTGCCCTAAGCTCATCTCCAAATTGTCTGTACATCTGGGCTATGGACATAATAAGAACTCTGTCCTCTTTTAGAGAAAGTAGGAAATGTAGGAAGACAGAAGGAAAATGTCCAAAGCACTTTGGGGTAAGGATCCTTTGCCTAGAACCACAGAGAAGGAAGGAATCTAGACCTGCTTGCCTGTAAACTGTGCCAGATAAGAGACTTCATTTCCTCCAGGTCTCTTCAAGATTCAGCATGAGTCATTTCTTCTTGGAAACTTCCTCTGCCGTTTTGATGTTTCAGTAATAACCCCGTCCCATGCACCTTTCATCTATCGGTGAATTACCTCTATAATAGTTTTATATTGGGGTTGTATAGAAATCATCTTGGCTTAAATGTCCTCCAGAGTATAATGAGAGATGACTTTACATGGTCAGCACAGCTAGTAATGAATATATACACATGTGTTTGTAAGCACTTTCATATCTTTCATCTTATTTGAGTTTTACAACACCCAAGGAGGTAGGTATGGTAGTAATTCTTGATTTTACAAGTGAGGACCCTACAACTCAAACACAGAGCTTGTCTAAGCTGGTATGATAGGGAAACCTGACTCTAAATCCATAGGAATCATTCCAATGCCCTGACATGGATTTGATCCCCTGTTAGCGGAGACCCAAGTCATATGAGTGATCTCATCTAAAGCGTACATTCTCTCCTAAAGATTGTTCTCTGGTGTACATAGATTCTCTGCTTTAAAAGTCTATTATTGTCCATCGTTTTTCAGCCTAAAAAGCTATGGGACCTACTTAAACTAAAATTGCCTTTTCTTCAAAACCTAATAATCACTAGCTGCTATTAAAACACTTAATTGCAATTAACTCCTCATTAATGTATAATTAAGATGTCTGCCACTCCATAACCAGCCAATAGCCACAAATAAATGAGAATATAGCTGATGAGCCTTTCCAAACCTGCAGGATCAGGATGAAGTACCACTACCTGAGACTTGTTAAAATGCTCTGAGAACCTGATCCATTATTTTTCCCAAGAACATAATGGAGAATGCTTTGTGTATGTTTCAGTCTAGCTTGTTTCCCATAGCTATGGGGCAATAGATGCCTGTCAAGAAGTCAGATGAAGCCCTTCTGCCATTATAGATTTCAGGATAATGTAATGACTGCAGCCTGGGACGGAACTTAGGCACCATCTATTTAATCCTTCACTGTAGTCAGGCTCACAGAAGGGAGACTTGCCAAGGCCGATAAAGCAACCTAGCAGTGAAACTGGGATTGGAGCTTCAGGATCCAAATTCTGAGACTCATGCTCTTTCTTCTTCATTCTGATAAAGTTTAGGTAAATTCAGCTGAAATCAAAGCATTCTTAACTGAGAGGAAAGATGGATAAATAGATGATAGATAGATAGATAGATAGATAGATAGATAGATAGATAAATAGATGATATAGATTAGATAGATAGATAGATAGATGATATAGATTAGATAGATAGATAGATAGATAGATAGATAGATAGATAGATAGATAGATAGATACTGAGACAGACTTTAGCTCTTGTTGCCCAGGCTGGAGTGCAATGGCACCATCTCGGCTTACTGCAAACTCTGACTCCCAGGTTCAAGCAATTCTCCTGCCTCAGCCTCCCGGGTAGCTGGGATTACGGTGCCCACCAACACACCCAGCTAATTTCTGTATTTTTAGTAGAGACGGTGTTTCACCACGTTAGCCAGGCTGATCTCAAAGTCCTGACCTCAGGTGATCCACCCACCTCAGCCTCCCAAAGTGCTGGGCTGAGGGTATTTTAAATGAAGTATTTGTGTTTGAACAATTTGTCCCTCTCAAAATCCTTACTGGTGTCATGATTCAGCATGAAATACAGGTGAATTACAGGACAGAACAAGAGGGCAGCCATCTTAAGGAATTGGAGAAATAAATGCTGAACATTATTTATGTTTGTTTTAAAATACAAATGAAATGCAAATATAAGTCAGCTTCCAGGTTATGGCATTGTTAGGCAATTACAAGAGTAAAGGAGATTTCTCCAGAAGTTTATAGACACCAAAATTGAACAGAAAACCTCACTAGATCATGGAAATGAAGACATTCCTTCATGTTGCTCAAGTTGGACTAGATGAAGAGGAAGGACAAAACATCAGCGCCAGATGAATCTCAACATGGTCAGAATTAAGCCATCTACGGCCGGGAGCAGTGGCTCACACCTATAATCCCAGCACTTTGCAGGGCTGAGGCGGGCAGATCATGAGGTCAGGAGTTCAAGACCAGCGTGGCCAATATGGTGAAACCCCGTCTCTACTAAAAATACAAAAATTAGCCAGGTGTGGTGGCGTGTGCCTGCAGTCCCAGCTATTCGGGAGGCTGAGGTAGAAGAATCGCTTGAACCTGGGAGGCAGAGGTTTCAGTGAGCCGAGATCCTGCCATTGCACTCTAGCCTGGGCAACAGAACAAGATTCTGTTAAAAAAAAAAAAAATTAAGCCACTTATAACTAGAAGTCCACTCGATTGATTCCTAAAGACCTGAATGGGGATCCTAGTATTGCTCAGTACTAGTTTAGGTCTTTTTACCTTTCTAAACACTTACAAGCTATTATATTTACATCATGTAATTTTTCAGTCCTCCTAAAGTTACACCAGGCTACTGTGACAAGCCCCTTTGTAAAACTAAGCAACTTTGGAAAGAACCAGAATGGGCTGTGTTGGAAAGAACAGTCAACCTGGAGCCAGGTGACATGACTGCCAGATCATGGAGTTTGACCTAAGCTGGATTTGGGGTCATCATTTAACTTTACGCCCTCATCTGCAAGGCCCCAGCTCTGAATCTCAAGATCCCTGAATACAAAGGAGTGACTAAACTCAGGAGAAACAGCCATCTCCCAGGTGAAATGAACATGCTTATAGTGGACAGGTTAAGACACAAGCATATTCTAAGACACTCAGTGATAGGCAGAGTCGATTTGAAGTAGAATGTGGCAGACAAGTGGAATCCAGAATCATATGTCACTAGTTTCCATTCCTCTTCAGCCGTTTCTACCTGAGTGGCTTTGAACAAACTCTTTGACATTTCTGAACCTCATTCTCCCATATGCAAAGTGTTTTGTAAAATATTAGATCATCATGCAAACAAAAAGGATTATTTCTAATTTCTTGCTGTTCAGTTTTTCTCACACATTTTATGTACCATCTGCAGAAATGGTCGGCATCATAGGAAACATCTGTTCCCAACATCTACCTCCAAAATGCCCACTATCTAGAGGTATTGGGAACATTTAGGGGAGGCTGAAAGAGTTGATTTCCCCTTAGGTCCAGTTAATTTTGCCAGCACTGGCTGTTGTATCCTACATTTTGTTGTATTCATAACATGTTGTTGTATATTATGCAAATATGTATGCTCTTTGTAAACCAGCAGTAATTACAAGGCTGAAAAATCACTGTTGTGGTCCTATTTCCTGGGAGCACATATCAAGAGCCCAGTTACTGACCTTTTCATTTGTCTGAATAAATAGAAGGAAAATTATTGACTTTGTTTTTTAAATATTTACTCGCCTCCCTTTCAAAATAAATTACGTCAATAAAAATATCAGGCATTTGTTTTTACAGCATGTTTGGAATTTCACCCTACTCTAGGCTATTTTCCTTCTTGGACTCCAGCTGTTTAACAGTTTCTCTGTCATCAGAGAATGAAATTTGTATTTAAGATGTTATCTTCTGTAGGCTCAGTGCTGGAGTGAATCTTCTTAACATTACCATTGAAAGTAATTTTCTCCCCTCATGATTTTCTCACAATTCTGCTGAGACTGGGCTAGTTTTATTTACCCTAATTTTAAATGCTCTAATAATTTTTAAATACACTTGCCTTCATATGCACGATAGTACCCAGATGGATGTTATCAATAAGCTGAAGATTCATGTAACAAGGGTTATCAATCGAGTCTGTTGGGATTAGATAATTAATAAAAGGAAAGGTGCTTGACAAAAGGGATAGAATTTAAATTTTTAATGCTTTATCATGAATTGGTGAGTAGAATTTTAATGCGCAATTTAGCTTCTCACTCTTGGATTTGGCAAAGAAAAGGGAAAAGCAGATATTTTGTGGTTTCTGTGACAGCACAACGAGCTGGAGAGACCTGGCCTGGGAGTCAGGGGACCCATGCTCCAAGCCGAGACCTAGAGCAAGTTGTTGAACACTTCTAGCCCTTACCTAATCCATCTATACTTCCAGCAGCAGCAGCAGTGGCTAAAATTCCTGAACTCAAATTATTTGGTATCACAGACTAATAAAATTTCCCATACACACTCAGAGAAGGGGAGGAGGAGGCTGAGATAGGATTGTCAATTTTTATTTCTCCAAATAAAATGAGAAAATATTATTTGAACTTTAAAAACATGAAACAATTAAAATCTTAGATAACATTAAATTCTTTAAATTTAATATAACTGAGTTTATAAAAATTTGACTTTTTTTTCATTTATTCAGAATTGATAAAAATTTCCTCATGCATCAGAACCAAAATATGTCATTGTACTTGGGAACTCAGGTTACAGCACTTCTAAAAAGCATTAGAATACTGTAATTCTTTCAAAGTTCAGAATACTAGCAGATTTGAAAGAGTGTTTTTTGCTCCAAAATTCTATGGAATTCTGTAATTTGAGATGCTTCAAACCCATAATTATCTTTTTTTATTATAGACTCTTTTAAAAATGATTTTTTTAACTGAATGTTCTGTTTGCAGGTTGATAAGAGCAACTTTAAATGTGAAGATCGACTCATATTTTTTCCACTTTAGCCAAATGATTAATTTGATGGCAAAGGAACCTAAAAGTATTCAGTACATTTGCACTGTAAGGACTCAGCTACTATGCTCTGAAGTTTTTATCTCTCATTCATAAATGTGCTTAACAGAACTATATCTTCTGAAGAGTTTACTTATTGTTGTTATTTTTAATGTGTTCTACATATCAAAGAAAATCACAAATGTGAATCTTGGATTAAAACTACATGTTACCATGCTGTCCCCTGTAAAACGTGGATAAAAGTGACAGCACTCTCATATTGATTGAGGTAGCTGTGAAGCTTACATGAGTTATCTGAAATAATTTTGTGATCTAAAGAATTTTAAACTCTCAGTATTTTATAAAAACTCCTTAAAATCATAGATAACTTGGAAATTGTTTCAAAGAGTGCATGGTATTATGATATTATAGCATTTTAAAAGTAACAAAATACATTTTTAAAATATCTCATCAAAGATTTTTGAAAGAAATAATGGGGTTGAGGTTCTTTTATCCTTAAGATTGTAAAAAACAAATTTGTTATGCATGAGGGCAATGCCCTCAAGATATAAGTTTGTAGAAGAATGTAGAATATTTTAAGAACAATTAAATCAAATGAGGCAAAGTAAAATAGGATATAAATGAAGCCCATTTTAGGAAAATGTGACAGAAAATTCATGCTACATAGCTTTGCTAAATGTAGTAATTGGAATATTTTACAACCTAGCTTAAATTAGCATGTCCTAGAAAAATGATTTAATCTAATAGGGGAGGCTTAAATCTTCTGTTTTTATTTTTCTTGGAAACTAAGAAACAGTAGGTTGTTTTTTCATTTCTTGCATTTTTTTCTCCTGAATTTAAAATAATAATTACCTAGCACAGAAGAATATTAGTACAGCAGAAATGGGTAATGACTTAGAAAGTATCCAATATGGGTCGGGCGTGGTGGCTCACGCCTGTAATCCCAGCCCTTTGGGAGGCCGAGGCGGGCGGATCACAAAGTCAGGAGATCGAGACCATCCTGGCTAACACAGTGAAACCCCGTCTCTACTAAAAATACAAAAAATTAGCCAGGCGTGGTGGCGGGTGCCTGTAGTCCCAGCTACTCGGGAGGCTGAGGCAGGAGAATGGCGTGAACCCGGGGGGCGGAGCTTGCAGTGAGCCGAGATCGCGCCACTGCACTCCAGCCTGGGCGTCAGGGCGAGACTCCGTCAAAAAAAAAAAAAAAAGAAAGAAAGAAAGAAATTATCCAATATGGGACCAAATACAGTCCATCAGTGATTGGTGATCATTGATTCACTATTGGCAGAGGACAGTGAAGCTTCCTCTGAACCTCTCAGAAAAGAATCATAAACTTGTTTTTCATTTCTATGGCAGATGTTTATTGATTTTTATGATGCACGAAGAGTGTACCTGACACAGGTTGACAGTGGCAAAGATAACACTGCTCCTGCCCCTGGGGAGCCAGCAGCTTATTCCAATGAATGGGATGTTTTCCATGGTAAGTGAAATACATGATCCTTTGAAGGCACATTCCAAGAACATCTAACATAATCCAGAGCATCAGGGATGCCTCTGTGAAGGAATTAACCTAAAAACTGACTTTTGGAAGGTGTTAACTGGGAAAGAGATTGGTAATAAGGTGTTCCCCGGAAGGAAAGAGAAGAAAAGAGGCAAAGGCTCAGAGACGACCAGGGCCACACAGATGCTAAATACCATTCAGGATGCCCCACACAGAGAATGAGAGGGAAGTAGGGGACATGTATCAAAGGGCTGTGTATGATGTCTTAGCGGGAACTAAAAAATGCTTAATAAATAAGACATCCGCTGCAGCTACTGCTTCTTTATTCTGGAGGAATAACACAATTCATATATGGAGCAAGAGTCTGATGAGACAGAATGCTCAAATACCCAAGTTATAGAAAGCAGGTTTATTACTTACAAATAGGTAGCAAGGGACCACAGAAACCGGGATTCAGGGCAAGCTTGCTTCAGGACAAGGCTCAGGAAAGCTGCCCAGGGCAGATGTAGCCTCTTCTGTAAGTGCCCCAGGGTTTATACCCCAGGGAACATGACACACTGTGCTAAAGCTTTGAAGGACATCCTGTTTCTGGGAGGGACTGTAACAGAACCCAGGTTGTTCCAGACAGCTTCTGCTTATATCAGGATGTGCATTCCCAGAACATTCTACAGTTATTGTTGAAAACTACAAACAAGAAAAGGGGAAACTGGGTTGGTTCAAGACCACCTGGAGAACTGTCGTGTGGGAATCAGATGACCAGAAAAATCCTAAACCTACCAATAACCCTAAGATATAAAGAGCGAGATAGGTTCTGCGTGGAATGTGGGATTCAGCCATGCTGTTATTTTATTTTATTTTTGAGACAGAGTCTCGCTCTGTCGCCCAGGCTGGAGTGCAGTGGTGAGATCTCGACTCACTGCAGCCTTGACCTCCTAGGCTCCAGGGATCCTCCCATCTCAGCCTCCTGAGTAGCTGGGACTACAGACATGCACCAACCACACCTGACTAATTTTGTTTATTTCTTGTAGAGATGGGTCTCACTATGTTGCCCAGGCTGGTCTTGAACTTCTGGGCTCAAGCAATCCTCCCACCTCAGCCTCAGTGCTGGAATTACAAGCCTCAGCCACTGCACCCAGCCACCTGTAGTCTTTTTTAAGGATGTTTCTGTTAGCAACAAATTTTCATAGTTTTCCTTTATCTTAGGAGGCTTGCATTTTCCCTTCATTCCTGAAGGGTATTTTTGCTGCATATAAAATCCAGAGTTGATTGTTCTTTTCTTTTAGCACTTGATGCTTTGTGCCACTTTCTTTTGGCTTCCATGATTTCAGATGATAACTCTACTGCCGCTCTAATTGTTGTTCTTCTGTAGGCAATGCACTGCTTTTCTCTAGTTTCTTAACAACTAGCTATATCTGCAGTGGTCCTGTTTCCAAATAAAGTTAAATTCCGAGGTACTGAGGATTAAGACTTCAACACACAAATTTGAGGGGGATTCAGTTCAGCTGGTAACATCATGTTAGCTCTTTATTTAAGATTTTCAAAACTCTCTTATCAAGATTTTTCCATTATTTCCAGCAGCATTAGTGGTTCGCCCATCATTTTATTGAAAATAAGTCTTAATTATTGTTGGTTTATTCATTCAATCGTTTATACAATCATTGATTTATTTAGTTACGAAAATCTTGAGCTCCTATACTGTGCCAAGAAGTGGTGATAAAAAGTTTTTATATGACATCAGCATCTAAGAATTTATGGTCCATTACAGGGGCAAAAAAAGAGGCAGGTACACATATAGCCATATGAAAGTTTCAACAAGGTCAGTTCCATCAGAGTGGTAAGGAATGTGCTTTGGTGATTTTGAGGATGGAGATTATTTTCATGTTAAAAAGGGTATCAAGGAAAGCTTCATGGAGAGAGTAGTATTTTATTGACATTTTTAAAAATAGGCAAGATTTTAATACATGAAGATGAGAAGAAAAGGGAACTCCTAGTAGAAGAAAGAGATTAAACAAAGGCAAAGAGATGAGAAAATGTTTGATGTGCACAAGAAACAGGATTCTACTTGCTGCTTTTTGTTCATCAGGGCTAATTATGCCACCCACAAGTTTGGAAATTCTTTCAGAGCAGAAATAAGGTATTTGTGTATCAGAGAGAATGAGCCAGACTTTAGAATTAATCAGACCTCAGTCTAAATCCTAGCTCCCACACTTAATAGCTGTGTGCTCTCAGCTTCTCTCAGTCAGTTTCCTCACTACCGACCTTACAGATGGTCTTAAGGCCATAAGAAAGGAATACATGGTATTCAGCGTTCTACCTGTAATTTCCACTATAGCGACAGGCAGACAGAACCAATGTGCATGGTTGTTTACTTCACAGATGTTCCCGTTCTGTTGGCAAGTATGGGCTGCAATTCATCCCTCTCTTCACCTGCCAAGTTTGTGTCCTGGCTCAGGGCTGCATCCACCTCTGTGAAGCAATGCCTGCTTCTCCCTAGCAAATCCTCTTCCCATTGCCTAGCTGAATACCAATTCAGAAGCAGCACCTTTTTTTAATTCATGTAAAAGAACAATGAAGATGAGTCACAGCTTTGGGCACATGATGGGTATACGTGGTTAGGCCAAATAGATTATTGTCTCTAATTGACTTCATAATAAAAGCTTTCATGATAAAGACCAAGATGTCTAAAGACTTTGTTCAAATACCTGTGCATTTTGTTCATGACCTATGATTTTCCTGATTGAAAAAATCATAAAATTTTACCTCATATATTTGCTTTTTGGTTACAATCCTAGAATCTGAGGCACAATACAAGAAGCAAGAGATGATTTTTAAATCAAATCTAAGCATTCTTTGGTAGTGAGAAGAAAAAATTAACAGGGCTGTAGTGAAATGTGCACAAATCTGAATGGTGCTAAGACATGGAATATGTAAAGTTCAGTCATTACAACTGTTTGATTAGATAACTAATTATAATTACTTATGCTATATGGCTTAGTTAATATGATTAAATAAGGAATGTTTGATGCTATCCAGTTACACCCGAAATGGTAAAGTGATGTAAATGGGATTGAAGTGTCAGTAGAAATTTTTACTTAAGTACAGCGGTGTTGCCTCTGTGAAGGCTTCCTCACCATCTTTGAGCCTATCACATACTAGAGAAGAATCCTAATTCTAGAAATAAAATTACATGGACTTTAATTCTGATTGGCTATCTGCAAGCAGTGCAAACCATGAGCAAGTTATTGAACCTCTCTCAGCAATCAATTACTTTTTACATAGGCCTGCTGTGATGATTAAATGAGATGATTTATACAAACCACTTAGCAAGATTGCCTGGAATATGATAATCTCTCAATAGTTAGCATCTTCTAATATTAATATCACCCGATATTATTTTCTAATTTCCCCATTGTATCAGACTTGCTTGCACATCCATCTATGGTAGTCATTGCTTTCTCTAACCATATAGAATTCATTGTGGTTTTCAAAATCATGCTGAAATCACAGCTAGTGTAGTTGTAATCATAAAGCCTGGCCCCAGCTTTGAACTTCTAATGCTGTAGAAGTTACATGGAGCAGCCATAATGAATATTTGCAGAAGGAAGGGTATCCAAGAAGGACAGAGGGAAAGAGAACGAAACAGAGTTATGAAAACAGGTAAGCATTTGAAAGTTACAAGAAGACTGGAAGTCAAAGACTATATGTATTATCAAAGACCTGAGTTGAGGAAAAGCTGCATAAACTCATACATTTATATCAGCCACTATTAACTCTTTTGCCCCAATGAGTATATGTATGGAGCCAATGTTTTGAATACATACTTCCTTAAGCTACAACCCATACTTTCCTTTGAAGATAAATACAATAATTATTAAAATCTATTGGCAAAAGTCCAGGCACAGTGACTCACACCTGTAATCTCAGTACTTTGGGAGGTTGAGGTGGGCAGATCACTTGAGCCCAAGAGTTCAAGACCAGCCTAGGCAACATAGTGAGATCCCACCTCTACAAAAAATACAACAATTAGCCTGGCATGGTGGCAGGCACCTGTAGTCCCAGCTTACTTGGAAGGCCGAGGTGGGAGGATCACTTGAGTCAGGGAAACGGAGGTTGCAGTAAGATGAGCTCATGCCACTGCATTCCAGCCTGGATCACAGAGTAAGACCCTGTCCCAGAAAAAAAAAAATTAGTGGCAATCATTTTAACCATGTAATATGATCTACTGTATACTCTTGGTCAAGTACAAAGAACTGAAGACAATTGCTGATAATGGTTGTCTGTATAATTTTCAGCAGTAACACATCCATGTATGATAAGCTAGGCAAGTGTTGAAATAGACATAATTGTCCATCCTGAAGTTTACACTTCTAATTTACCACCTCACAATGGGACTTAAAGAACAGATAGCTTTCTTCTGATTTGAAAGCTAATTTATGTTGAATTTATCTGTTACAAAAATAAAGCAATTTCATGTTTTAGTTTTTTTTTTTAACCTCTGATCTAAGACAACAATTATTAAGATACACTAGCGTAGACTGTGGTAAAGAGAATAGCTTTAGGAGTCAAACAGACCTATGTTAAAATTCTAGATCTACCATGTACTGGTTATATAGAGTAAAAATTATAAGAACAGCCTCAAAGATGGGTAGTTTAAATTGAATAATGTATGACTCGCTTAGCATGGTGTCTGGAATGTTACAAGCCTCCAGTAAAGAGTAGCAATTGTTCTGCGACCAAAAATATCTATTATAGAGACAGCATTCAGATAATTGGTGCTAAAGACAGACTTCTAACAGGAATATTAATAGAAATAAAACACTAAGACAATTGTTAAAATGTGAGCTCCAGGAGACAGCACTATTTGTTCATTTTGTTCACTCCTTTATATCCTAAACATTTCTGACACAGAGCAAATGCTTAATAAACATTTGTTATATTAATTAATAAAAAGCTATAGAAAATTACATCCCAATAAAGACCCTATCGGCCCTGGGAAAGCACGACGGTGTCCGTCTTTCTTCTCCATCCTCCCAGCATGCTCTGTGCTAAGGGTTTCATCCTGGCTGTAAAGTAGGAGGCAGCCCTGCAGCTCAAAGCTTTTGTTTTGTTTTGCTTGAATTATAAATTGACAATTTATAATTTTATAAATTTATAGGGTACAAAGTGATGCTATGAGTTATGAATACAATGTGGCATAATTAAAACAAGCTTGTTAACATATCCAGCACCTCCAATAGTTAAGATTGTTTGTGGTGAAAACACTCGAAATTTACTCTCAGAAATTTTGAAATATACAATACTCTATTATTAACTATATTCACTATGCTGTGCAACATAACCCAAAAATGTATTTCTCCTAAGTTTTTATACACTTTGACCATCATGTCCCCCATTACCCCACCCTCCAGCCTCTGTAACCACCGTCCTACTCTCTGCTTCTGTGAGTTCAATTGATTTAGATTCTACATATAAGTGAGAATGTGGCATTTGTCTTTCTGTGCCTGGCTTATTTCACTTAGCATAACATTTCCAGTTCCATCCATGTTGTCACAAACATCAGGATTTCCTTCTCTTTTAAGGCCAAATAGTATTCCGGTTTGCGTACATAGCATATTTTTTTTTATTCATTCTTCTGTTGATGGACATAGGTTGATTCCATAACTTGGCTATTGTGAATAATCCTGCAAGGAACATAGAAGTGCAGATATCCCTTTGCCAAATTGATTTCATATCTTCTGGGTAACTATTCAGAAATGGGATTGCTGGATCATATGGCAATTCTATTTCTAGTTTTTCCAGGAACCTTCACACAGTTTTCCGTAATGGCTGTGTTAATTTACATTCCCACCAACAGCATGCAAGGGATCCCTTTTCTCCACATACTCATCAATACTTATATTTCTTCTTTTTGATAGTAGCCATTCTAACAGCATGAAGTGAGATTTTATTGTGGTTTTAGTTTGTATTTCCCTAATAATTAGTGATGTGGAGCACCTTTTCATACACCTGTTAACCATTTGTATGGCTTCTTCTAAAATTATCTATTCAGGTCCTTTGCCCATTTCTAAAACTGTGTTGTTTTCTTACTATTGAATTGTTTGAGTTCCTTATACATTATATTTTGGATAATTAGCTCCTTAGGACTTGTATGATTTGCAAATATATTCACTCATTCAGTAGGGTGTCTCTTTACTCTGTTGATTTCTTTCCTTTGCTATGCAGAAGCTTTACAGTTCAACATAATCCCATTTGTCTATTTTTGTTTTTATTGCCTGTGCTTCTGGGGTCAAATCTAAAAAATCATTGCCCATACAATGTCATGTAATTCCCCCCCTGTGTTTTCTTTTGGCAGCTTTACAGTTGTGGTCTTATGTTTACGTCTTTCATACATTTTGATTTGATTTTTGTATATGGTATGAAATAATTAACAGAACGAAGGGCAAAAACCATATATCTGATTATATGCAGATAAAGCTTTTGACAAAAATTCTAAATTCTTTCATAATTAAAAATTGTCACCAAATTAGATATAGAAGAAATGTACCTCAACTCAATAAAGGCCATGTGTGAGAAGCCCACAGCTAGCATTATACTCATTATTGAAAAACTGAAACCCTTACTTCTAAGACCTGGAACAAGACAAGGATGCCTACTCTCACAACTTCTATTTAACAGTAGTGGAAGAACTTGCCAGAGCAGTTAGGCAAGAGACAGAAATAAAGGTATCCAAGTAGGGAAGGAAGTAGTGAAATTGTCACCGTTTGGTGATGACATGATTTTATATATAGAAAACTATACAAACTCTCACCAAAGAAGTTTTAGAACTAATAATCAAATACAGTAAAGTCACAGGATACAAAATCAACACACAAAAGTCATTAGCATTTCTATACACTAACAACAAATGATTTGCAAAAGAAATCAAGAGAGCAATCGCATTTAGAAGAGCTACAAAAACTAAAATACTTAGGAATAAATTTAACCAAAGAGGTGAAAGACCTATACACTGAAAACTATAAAACTTTGATGAAAGAAATTGTAGAAGACACAAATAAATGGAAAGATATCCTGTGTTCATGGATTGAAAAAAATAATGTTTTGAAAATGTCCATACTATGTAAAGCAATCTATAAATTCAATGCAATTTCCATCAAAATTCCAACATTATTTTTCACAGAAAGAGAAAAAAAAACTGAAATTTATATGGAACTACAAAAATATCTGAATAGCCAAGGCAATCTAGAGCAAAAAGAACAAAGCTGGAGGTATCACATTACCTAATTTCAAGCAATACTACAAAGCAATAGTAATTAAAATACCATGGTACTGGCCAAAACATTAATAATAATAATAGATAACTTGACCAAGGGAATAATATAGAGAGCTCAGACATAAACCCGTACATATATGGCCAATTAATTTTTGGCAAAGGAGCCAAGTATTTGCAATGAAAAATAATAGTCTCTTTCATAAATAGTGCTGAGAAAACTAGATACCCACATACAGAAGAATGAAATTGGGGCTTAAAGCTTCTCAAACATGAAAAGAAATTTTCTGTACATTAAAAGCCTTCCAGTCAAGGAGCTCTTATTTATTTTTAGTCACCTAAATGGAAACTATTTTAATCTTTTTGGATAGAAAGTGAAGTCAGTGCCAAGGGCAAAGGACTTGGGTACTAAATATTTGGCTCTGGCCTCAAGCCTGCCATTCACTAGCTGTGCGGTCTTGAGGTCGCTGCAATAACCAACACCTGATGTAACTCAAGGGTTTATGTATGTTATAAGAAGCCAGAGATGTATTCAACAAGAGAGGGAAATAAAGTTATGAAACATCCTGTGAGTTGATTTCCTCCCCAGTAAAGAGAAATAACCTCTGATTTGTCTACACTATGATTCCTAAACGATTGCTCTACAAAAATAATATATATTCACTTTTCCGGGATAATACCACTTCATTACAATAATAGCTACAGCTTATTATAAATAATTTTTAAATCCCTTCTAAAGGAAAGGATTGAAATACCTGGACAACGAGTAAAGAAACAAACTGAAAAAAAAATTGGTGACATTAAATGACACAATGGTTTAAAATGCATTTCATTTCAGAGCATTTCTTAGAAATATTATTTTAACATTGAATTGTTACAGCAGCTACTTTTTCTTGTATTTGGGCCCTGAAAATAGTACACAAAAAAATCTTTCTGATCATGTTTTAAACTATTGTGAGGAAAAATAAAATGGTGATAGGGAAGGGAAGGAGAAGGTCAGTTTATTTTGATTATGAGTTTTGTCTATAAAAAAGGATTATAAACACAGGCTATACCTGTTAATCTTTCTATCTCTAGAAACAAAAATAAAGGATTCACAGAGAGAGTTCGTCTTCCTTTATCAGGAGGAAAAACTAGCTGAAAAATATAGTGATTTCAGACAATAAGATGCATACTCAGCAGATCTGCAACATTGCACCCTCCTCGTTAGTATCTCCCTTCTGATACTGGAATGGCTCCTGCCTTCAAGGTTGCCCGGCCTAAGGGAGGAAACAAGAGTGTAACAAATGTTCCAGAATACTGAGATTTGCTTTTTCAAAACAAAGGAAGTTGAAAACAAAGCATGAAGACTGACATGGGAAGACACCAGCACGACCAAGTACTGGGGACTGTTCCAAGAAGCTCTGGAATGTCTACATAGGGGAGTTTTGGGGATAGCCATTTGAGTAGAAGGGATAATGCTTACTTGACACAATAAAAACATGTTCAGGCCAGGCATGGTGGCTCACACCTGTAATCCCAGCACTTTGGGAGGCCGAGGCGGGCCTCGGTCAGGAGATCGAGACCATCCTGGCCAACATGGTGAAACACCATCTCTACTAAAAATACAAAAATTAGCTGGGCATGGTGGTGCAGGCCTGTAATTCCAGCTACCTGGGAGGCTGAGGCAGGAAAATCACTTGAACCAGGGAGTCAGAGGTTGCAGTGAGCCAAGATGGTGCCACTGCACTTCAGTCTGGCGATAGAGCTAGACTCCATCTCAAAAAACAAAAACAAAAACACAACAACAACAAAAACATGTTCAACTACAATTCTCAATGGTGATGTCTCCTCAGAAGTGAAATTTGAGATATGTGTGTGCAAGCACTGCACTTTTCTATTATTTTCCAAATATCCTATACTAAATCTTAAGTGTTTGTAGAAGAGAAAAAAGCAAATAACAATGTCATATTTCAAAAATTTATCCCAATGATATTGAGGAGATTTTTATATTGATTGCTTTTTTATAAAGTGATCTGTTTTTCAATTTAAGATACTTTCTTCATCATCTTAGACCATAAATCAGTTTCTTGAAGACATTGTTTGTTAAATAATCCCCCATCCCCAGCTCCTACTACAGTCTCTCAAAAATTGATTAGGTTACCACGTTCACCCCCCCACCCAGGAATTATTTCAACATTATTCTAAATGTGTAGGCAACACTTTGCTGTCATCTGCTTCTAATGAAGATGATAATGATGAAGATCACAGCATTGTGGGTTAAGACTCCATAAAAGTGTATGTGTTTATAAAACTGTGGATAATGACTTAGGTCACAGCTTCAGTAGAATGAGAGGTGTTGTAACATCATCTTTCAGTTTCTGCTTGTAAGGATTTCTGTTTATCTCCTAGACATGTAAGTTTGGGGTGTCAAAAAATCACCCCTCCATCCCAATTTCAAAGAACTGATAGTTAATGGTGATCCATATAACAGCATTGTTAATCTTCGAAATTGCATACAAGCCCTTGACATAGGGTTTCTTGATAAAATTGGTTTGGAAAGTACTACCTGGGCCCGAGAATAAATGGACACTGCCCTCCTCTCTTATGGTAATGGGACCTGAAGCAAAGTTTACCAGATTTTCTCACCAGTCACAAGCTAAAAATTTGCATTTGTACAGTGGGTACGTATAGTTTTATCACATTGGACAGAAAGCAGAAAACAATTCACTTCCCTTTTACTGAACCATGAGACAAGCAGAGAGAGAGAATCATGACTCTCAGCAACCATAACAGTATGGGCCCAAGCAAACTACTGGAGAGAAAAATCTGAAACTGCTCACTGCTCACTGCAATTCCCCACTCACAGAAAGGAGAGCAGAGTCTTCTTCAGCATGAAAGAGAAGGTTACTTGTTTCTCCTTCCTCTCCCTCACTTTTGTTCTTTCTTAACATTTGGTTCAAAGGCCAAGGCTTTGGTCAGCCAGGAGTATTGCTTTACTCATTTTCTTCATGGGGAAAAAGATCATTCGTGTAAAAAAGGTTCCTGCTTCTGCATATGAGACAGACCAACAACTGCCCTTCTGTGATATGGGCAGTTCAGCTGAAGAGCCAGAAGAGGACATTAATGAAATTAGCATTAAATGCTACATCCTACACCAAAAATTCATCACCTCTTTTATTTCAAATTATGCCCTGCCACATCATTCAAATATTGCTTATAAGATATACAATGAAGAGTAACACAAAAATGCCCTAAATTTATATGTGGATCTTCCCATTTTTACATTCTAAGAAAGGGTATAAAATTTAAAAAAATCATCTGTGCTTCATACATTCAAGTTTAAAGAACTGAAGTCAAAATTTCTTGCTCCCTGTATTAGGCAGAATAATTGTCCCATGTCCATATCCTAATCTCCAGAATCTGTGAAAATGTTACCTTACATGGCAAAGGAGAACTAAAGTTGCAGATAGAATTAAGGTTGCTAATTAAAATAGGGAGATTATCCTAGATTATCTGTGTGGGCCCAATGTAATAACAAGGGTCCTTAAAAGGGCAAGAGGAACTCAGAGCCACAGAGACAGCAGTGTGAGAAGAAATCAGCCTAGTGTTGCTGGCTCTGAAGGTATCTGAAGGGGCCATGAGCCAAGGAAGGTGGGCCGCTTTTAGAAGCTGCAAAAGGCAAGAGGATGGATTCTCCCCTAAAGCCTCTCGAAGGCAACAGAAAACCTGCCAATCTTAATGTTAGCCCAATGAGACCCATTTCAGACTTACAGAACAATAAGACCATACATTCATTTTGGGTTCAACCACCAAGTTTGTGGTACATTTTGAGTATCTCTTACTTGAAATGCTTGAAACCAGAAGTGTTTTGGATTTCTTTTTTTCTTTTTTTTTTTTTTTGGATTTTGAAATATTTGCATATACATAATGAAATATGTTGGGGATTGGACCTGAGTCTAAACAAGAAATTCATTTATGTTTCATGTACACATTATACACATAATCTGAATGTAGTTTTACACAATATTTTTACTAATCTTGTGCATGAAACACAAATTTGTTTCATGCACAAAATTCAGGTGTGGATTTTTCCACTTGTGGCCTCATGTCAGCACTCAGAAAGTCTCAGATTGTGGAGCGTTTTGGATTTTGGATGTTTAGATTAGGGATGATCAACCTTTCTTACAGCAGCCTAGAAAATAATATACTCCCTACTTCCTTATTCTGCTCTTCCTCAGACAGGTGAGTGTCACTCTGATGGAGTCTGTCTTCCGCAAAAGTAGCATCTTGGTCCACTTCTGCCAAATGATTACAGCCTTTAGCTCCTCCAAAATTGAGTTAGTGGAACTCCAAGTTTCTCATGATTGCCATTTTCTGTAGTATCAGCGGGAAGTACACATAGGAGTATCATGGAGCCAAACTCATACCAGCATTGTTTAGATGTCACAAATAAATGCTCAGCTTCTGAATCACCTACTGCATGCAGAGTCATGTTTTCTGATCCTAGTGCATAATTCGAAGAGTGACCAATGCTCACGGTGCTATCTCCAGCCACAAATGCTTAACACTGACTGAGAAAAAGGAGGAAATAGTTCTGGCTTTAGTTCTGCCCGGAGGCTGTTGTGTCTGTCCTGGGGTCATTATTTAAAACCAGTAAGGAGAAATCTTCTATTGAGAGGTTAATTGTGACCTTCTGATTTCTTGAAAGAAAAAAAAAAATCCATCTATCATACAGCCTCCCTAGGAGTAGCATTTGGGATTATCCTGACTTTTTGCAAGATTTAGACAGTTGCAGGTGGATACTCCCTCTTAGGGTCTTTCCCTCTGAAATTCCATCACCATTTTGAGCTGTATGTTCTTTAACTCAAAACCGAATTGTGGTGGACTCTGTCTAGTGAGTCTCTCACGAGGATGTTTCCTCACATGTATAACTTTTATAAACAGTCAGCTCTCCAAACTGCCTTGCTTTCTCTGAGCCATTCTTCACCCCCAGCAAGATTCCAAAGCATGTTGTATTTTCATGTACTAGTGGCTACTGATCTCACCTCTTGCTCTTGAGTTACCTAGACATACGAAGCTCATCTCTTGAAGGTAGTCTTCCTCGTTCTCCACATCTCTCTGTTCAAAATCACCTTTAGCAAATTCATGAACTTCCAAAAGCATGTGCACCTCCAGAGGCCAGCAATGATCAACATGCCCCAGACCATGTGCGCTCCCTGAAAATCTTCTCCTCTCTCAGAGTTTGAATTTTTCAGGCCTTGACTAACTTGTTCTCTTTTCCTGGCAGCAAAATGTCTTTCTTTTCCCATTTTTTTTTTTTTTTTTTATCACAGAAGGATTGTCTCTGAGAGCTCTGGTTCCTCTGTTTTCCTTTTCTTCCTTCTCGGCAGACTGAGTGAAGTTTAAAATGTTTAACCTACTTTCTAAGTTGCTTCTCTTTCTT
The DNA here is from genome assembly GCF_000001405.40 of Homo sapiens. Taxonomy (NCBI): domain Eukaryota; kingdom Metazoa; phylum Chordata; class Mammalia; order Primates; family Hominidae; genus Homo; species Homo sapiens. Next base: position 14,588,253 of record NC_000002.12, read on the forward strand.
CTTAACCACATGTGGAGCTAACCCTGTTTGCTAGATCACTCTGCTTTCCTTCCTTTCTCTTTGCTCTTGGGCCAGGCACACATGCCTCCAGCTTCTGTCTCATGATGTCCCCAGCATGAGAGAGAGGAATTCAGTCTGTTCCAGATCAGCCAAAAATAAATGCAGCCCACCACATGGATGGTCTCTTCCCAGCAGCCTACAGCAAATCTAGGCCCAGTTTAAATCTTACTGACATTTCTTGCTGAAACTGAGAATGCAATCTTCCCTGAATCCATCAACTTCATACATTTCCTAGCCATATCCCTCATAGCACATGCCATACCTGTTTCCCCACAAGTAGTTGTGCTACCTTGAAGTATGCTCTGCTGGTATTCACCTTAACAATCTGACCATCTCATTTAACCTCCTCATGTAGCTGTCTCAGATGTTAGGGTGGTATCTCATTTGCTCTTATGACTGGTTCCCCACTTACTACTAAGTGAAGGTCTCTCAATGGTGCTTAAGGCAGCCTTCCTCTGGGAAAACATTCTAGTTCCCTCTCTGAGAAGATACGGCCTAATAGTTGCCAAAATTTAGGGGAGAAATATAGCCTCCATTCTAGTAACAACTGAATCATCCTCTTCATTTTTAGTTGTTCCTCTGAAAGCAATTAGATACAGCAAAATCCTTTCCCATTTGTATCTGTGTGTTTCATAAGTTCTCAGTCTTCGGGTTAAGAAAATGCCTCTCTTGCTCCATTTCAATCAACACAGATTCCTTCATTTCTTTTCCCACATTTCCACTGCTCCTCTCTGACTTGACAACAAAAACCTGTCATTTTTAAAATGAATTCTGCTCCAATTCCTGAAAACAGTCTGTTTCACACATGGGCTGTTTTAATTTTTTCTCCATTTCATAGGCTTTCCATCTCAATCCACCAAAATGACACATTACTGATCTAGGAAGATATCCTATTTCTTTTTATCTTCTCATTGACTAAAAATGCAACATTTCTCTGTCATTGATCTCAGCACGGATCTCTGAAACCCACATTCATGTTTAGGGCTTCTGAAGGGAAGAATCTAGAACAAACCTGGGGCTCATGTGGGTAGGCGTGACTCCACCTCTGGAAGCCACATGCATGCAAGTCTCCTAGGAAAAGTTTCCTCTTCTCCCCGGATGAAATTCAAAACAAAACAGAGACAATATTTGAAAATGCTACTCTAGTACTCTGTCAAATCCCAAGTATTAACAATCTCAGGGCCAAAACATCACATAATAATATTTTATAGGTGCAATTTAGCTGCACTTTTGTAACTTAAAGTCCCAGTAATATAATGTCTGCCTGTCACTGCAATGCTATTGCATCCACACATAATCTACTGCAAACTTCTTGGCCTAAGGGGTGCCAAGGTTTGGCATATCAGCTCATATGAGCAAATATGTAGATTTTCCATAAGGAAACTTTCTTCCTAAAGAGGACAAAGATGGTTGATGTTCAAATACTATCACTTTCCCTCTTCCTGTCTTTCTGTCTAAATATCTAGTAAATAGAAGGATGACATGGTGAACTTGGATTTGAGATTGCTGAAACAGAACAGCCTAATCTATGCCTCACCTAAGTGATGCATCTGGATGCACAAGCAGGCTCACCTTGACATGCACTTGTGGTCTCAGACTGAAAAGTTGGAACAGGGTGTCTCTCCACCGTGTGAATAGGACCAGCTCAGATGAGCTTAATTCATTGAAAAATAAAGCAAAGGGGAACCCCCCACTGCCCTTCTTACTATTTCAAGAGACTTCCAGGGAAAGAACGTTTTGACTTAAAAAGATAGTTCTCCAGGTGTAGCCCCTCGTTAAGCATCAGCATCTCCTGGCAACTCGTTAGAAATGCAAATTTATTGGGCCCCAACCCAGACCCACCAAATCAGAACCTCTGGGGGTGAGCCCAGCAGTCTTTAGTTTAACACGCCCTCCAGGTGATTCTTGTGCACACCAAAATTGGAGAACCACTGGCCGTAATTATACTAATCAGGTTAGTTACTTCTGCACAAGTAAAGAGGAATGAGCAGGGCAAGAAAGAATCCCACTCCAAGATGTTCTCCTCATGGAGAGAGAAAGAGAAATCCTCTTAGCTACATTGTGAATATCAGATCTTCTCCTTTCTATTAGATTATCTTGGAGCAACATAAACATATGAGAAACTCACTTAGAAACAACCTGAATGATCAAATTAATCTTTTCACTATTGTGCAGTGTCCCTGTTGCTCCCAGGATTGTTTTCCTAAAAATCAAATCGGGCATTCCGTCTTACTAAAAGATTGTGGTTAGCTCCCTATTTCCTATGGGGTAAAGTCTAAACTATCTGGAAGAAAAAAGATCAGTCACAAACTTGCCCCAAAACATCTTCTCGACCTAATTTAAATGCATCTTTTATTGTATACCTCAAATGGAATAAGCGACTTTGAATAAAGAAGCAAAAGAAGGAAAGAATCTTCATCCTCGACAGCAGTTTCTTGTATCAGAAGCCCCCAGAAGAAGATTAGCAGTGCAGAGGTTCAGGTCTATCCCCAAAGATTCAGCTACAGCAGCTCTGGAACTGGCCTACGCATATACATCTTGTCAAGGGCCTCAAGTTAGTCAGCTGCAGGTGTCTGTAGATCACCTGTTAAAAAATCTTGCTCTCCATATTTAATAACTGTGATGGCTGCCATACACTAGACTTTTTAGCCAGTGCCTATTAACTGAGTGATGCCACAGTAATCATTTCCGCTTTTGGATATTTACTTTTTATAAAACACTGTAACCTCCCTCTTCAAACTATTCTGACATCTCACAACATGCAAATATTATTTTTTACATATCTAAAACATACAGTGAGGACAAATAGAGTCCACAGCATTTTTTACTGGGGTGTCTAATACTTAAATGCCTTAAAACTTGAAAGGTAAGGACTCCAGAGGAGGCACACCATTGAACGTGAAGGAACAAAGTCAGTAGAATTCCAGACGTGTCGATAAATCTACTTTCATTAATGTCTTTATGTGGGCTCCTTTCCCAAGGAGGGCTTCCATGTCTAACTTTAGATAGCTGTTCATAGCTGTTCTGTCAAAGCACTGCAGAGATCACTCCTTCGCTTAATTTTGCCATTAACTTTTCTTTTCCTCTGCAGAGTCTCAGAACAAATACATTCTGTTTGCATGAATAATACATCATGTTTCCAGGTACAAAGGAGAAGTCTAAGTCTGCACAGCTGTAAAAGGAAACTTCATCTTTTTCCAATGTTTTAGCATCAAAGGGATTGGGATTCATTTTATAAAAAAGTTGTAATTGTTGTTAATCTTTTGAAATTATTTTCCTTCCACACTCAGCATTTTAAATCAACCAAACATACACTTTTTTTTTTATCATTGATTAAAAGTCAGAAGGCTGTATCCTAGTTTTGGGTTTGCTACTAGCTGCTACATGACTTTGGGCAAAACATTTGACCTTTCTGAGACTTAGTTTTCTTATTAGCAAAAGGGGCCAAATGTGGCTGAGAATTGGGTGGTTTCTAAAATCCTTTTGTTCTACGTAGTGAAGAAAGGAGACATGAACTGCTACATTCAAATCCAGATCGTCTGAAGCAGGTCTTATTCTAATGTGGATGATCTTAGTCCTAGAAATTCACTACTTTGACAAAAATTTCAGGCTGAGACACTTGCACATACAAGACGTTAGGAGTTGAAGAAAATAAATTTTAATAGAATCAGAGCAATTTAATTGCCTGAGTAAGGTTAAGAATTGCCACAGTCCTTGCTAGTGTCTAGACATTTTTACCCTCTCCCAAATTAATCTGTTGAAATCTAATCCCAATGTGATAGTATTAAGAGATAAAACTACCCCGTCTCTACTAAAAAATACAACAAAAATTAGCCAGGCATGGTGGTATGCACCTGTAGTCCCAGCTACTGAGGAGGCTGAGGCAGGAGTATGGCGTGAACCCGGAAGGCGGAGCTTGCAATGAGCCGAGATCGCGCCACTGCACTCCAGCCTGGGCGACAGAGCGAGACTCCGTCTCAAAAAAAAAAAAAAAAAAAAGAGATAAAACTTCTGGGATCAGTGCCCTTATTTAAAAAAACAAAAAAAGAAAAAAGAAAAAAAAAAAGTCTTCAGAGAGCTCCTTACCCCTTCCACCATGGGAAGATAGTGAGAAGATGCTATCTATGAACCAGGAAATGGGCTCCTGCCAGACGCTAAATCTGCTGGCAGCTCCATCTTGAAATTCCCAGCCTCCAGAATTGTGAGCAATAAATCTGTTACTTATAAGGCACCCCAGTTATAGTATTTGTTATAGCAGCCCAAAGAGGCTAAGTTCTTATGCTTCTCTCATCTTCATTTCAACAGAGAATGTTGAGGTTTATCTGGGATCTGGAAACTCTGTTAACCTGGGATAAAAATGTAACCATGAATTAAGACACCCTGAAGTCAGTGGTTGCTGACCAAATGTATGAATTTGGCTCTTTGTTTATGCTATTAATGGCAGATTGGAAGACAGTGTGCAGAAACTGTTTCATTTCAGTTTTCCAGGCTCATCTAATATAGGTAATTAAGATTCACTGCCTAATTAACTTCAGATGGCTATACAGAGAATAACCTAATTCTGCTCCTTTCTAAATATCAAGGTTTATCCATATAGTAAAAACAAGATTATGTATAACCAAAGGCCTCACCATTTGTTCACGTTACATTGTTAATGATGTGCCATCCTCTTAGGACAACAGAATATCCATGTTGTGCCTTCCGTTTATAAAGAGAGGACAAGAGGGTCCCAGAGGTTAGTGACTACAGCAGGCCTCCCAGAGAGTTGGTGACAAAGGCAGGTCTTCAAGAAGTTCTCAGGGTAGATTTCTTTCAAGTTTGTTATTTAAAGAATAACTAATTCATCCTCATTTTTATAGAGAGAAATTATTTCTATTTTATCGTTCCTGGTTTACTGAGCAATTTCAGATCAAGCACATTTTTGACATTGGGCAGTAGTGGGGCAGGATTGGTGAGAAAGGAGGGAAGGTCTTTTTTTTTTTCAGATTTACTCAAATACAATTTATTTATTTTTAACAATATATCAACAAGGCAAGTGAAACCCTAGCCCTGTTATTCATGAGAAGATGACTTACAAAGACACATTATAGGAATAAATTAAATCAGAAAGAGTGTTGTCTAGGGTTTATTGAGTTCTGAGCAATTTGTAACAGAGAAGGTGTAGTAAGCACTGTTCCCTCCAGGGTGTTAAGGGGTTGATGGGCGGGGGGGAGGATAAGCCCTAGGATGGGTCTGGGGCTGTATGGAAAGGGAGTCAGACAGAGGGGCCAGGAGTGCCAGGGTCAAGGAATTGAGCACAGCCATATCCTAGGGGTGCCCAACACCAAGCTGGAGAAACTGAGTTCAGCCATCAGCTTTGAAGGCTGTCCTCCAGCCAGTAACAGGAAACAAAGTCCAAATGTCAGGAGCCAGGCAGATCCTGGGGAATTAGAGAAATATATAAAAATCAAATTTATTGCTAGACACATGTCTAGAATATCTATGACTTACTTACAAATTCCTGGACCCTTGAGTTTGGCATTGGAATGAATGAATCTATGGAGGGAGGCAGATTATCTGACAGGATTTTTTTTTAAAGAGTGCAATTACAGGTCATGTTACAATATTGGCAGGAATGAGAATCACTTTGGAATCCTAAGGGTGACCTACTCAGAAGGGTGGTCATTAGATTCACCTTCTTGAGGAAAAAATACCTGATGGGAACCTTTGCATTTTAAAGTTTTCAAAAGGAAATATTATCTTCAGGAAGGGAAAAGGATGGAGAATATGGGTTCTTGATGTAGCAAGTGCCTGAACATGTTTTAGCTCAGCCATTTGGAGAGGTAGCCATGTGGGAAGGCCGAAATGGTCAATCAGTAGAGCTATAACTCTGTTTTCTGACAGATGACATGAGAGACAGGAATATAATAGGACCAGTAGTAGACCCAGTCTCTGACCTGGGTGCTACGACTCCTGATAACTTCAGTCTTCTGCTAGAGAGACCTGCCCGCCACCTCCCTACATACCATCTGACATTCCTAATGCACCATGCCTAGTAAGTGGCAGCATTACCATTGACCTTCCTTCACCCAAATCTCTGCTGAGTGAACTTTAAACTACATTGCCTTTGCCAGTTTGATTGTCACCTCTTTCTAAGTACTAGCGAGTGGGCAGCCCCAAGCTGAAGTCTCATTACAGCAGAAATTGATGATGCCCTGACTCTGCAGCTACTATGGGAAAAGTATTTGAAACAGTTATTGTGCCTGGATGCAACTCACCAAGTTGACTTCTTTCTTAGCCACCACTTTGCGAAGTAGAAACGAATGCCCTTCTCCTGCCACCTTCATCCTCAAGACCCAAGACAAAGAGGAGAAAGAAACTGTATAGAGTTTTTGCTCATTATTGATGGGAGAGTTTGTGGGGCTTGCAGAGACTGATCATTGGTATTCTAGAGACAGAATGGACATGACAAGTGTGTTCTTTTACCATGTAGGAGTCACCCCATTTCAGAGCGAACAAATTAATTAATTAATGGATTAAGAAATTAGTATGTTCATAGTTGTTTTGTCCTGTTTTAAAAGTGCGGTTAGGGCACATTAGTTCTGGATTGTAACCATTCTTGTTTCTGCAAGATGTAGCATTAACACCACTAGCTAATGTCAGCCTTGGCTACAACCTCAAAAAGGATTTATTAAATGCAAGCTGATTGGATCTCAGCCATTTCCTAAGGATGCAGAAGATCAGGCCTAGAGCCCACAGTTTCTGTAACAGGTTCACTATCAGCCCTGTGTTACTGATATGTCAGCACTCAGTGCTTAATCAAGTTTGGTGGCCATTTGGAAAAGACAAGCTGAGGAAAGAGCAAGCCCTAGATTTCCCATCAAGAAACCCAGATTCTAAAGCACACCCCCATATATTATCCATGAGGACTCAATGGGAAAGTGAGGGAAGAGCTTTGTCTTTTGTTGTTTAATTCTCAAAACACACCCCATCACAGGAACTCCATAAAACAAAGAGGAGGGACTAGAGAGCCAGGGATGGAAGAAAAAACTGCTGGTTTCCTTCATGAACTAGCTATGGCAACTATATAGGAAAAAGCAGTGAAAATGCTTCGTACACTGCACACTGCTGTGTAAGCTTAAGAGCTCTGTGGGACAAAGGTTAGCCCCCAAATGCCATAATTTGAAGTTGAGTAAAAAATTTGACAATCTCACCTGGAAGGAGCCACACAGGATTTTCCTGTGTAGAACAAAACCTAGTTTATACAACGCACATGCTGCGTCACAGCCCCTCTTCTCTGGTATTGGGACACAAGAGATTGTTTTCCTTGGGTCTCTCTGGTCCAGGATCTACTGCGATGTAAACCTCTTGGTGGCAAAGCAGGTTTGCAAGTCATACACTGTTTCCACTCTTTTAGGAATAAACAGAGCTGAAGTCACAGGAACCAGACCCAGGAGGGGACTGTGACTGGCTGGGAGGCAAAGGTGGGTATTTATTGGCAGTAAGATGCGATGCCCAGCCAGGGGTCCCAATGCCTAACCACATTCACAGCTTTTGTTAGTCTTTAAAAAGAACACATTCTTAACCAATGTGTTAGGCTTTAGGCAGCATGAGTGAGTGGCCAAGAGAACAGATTCTACAACCAGACTGTTTGAGTTCAAATCATAGCTTTGTTTCCATCTAGCTCTAAACCTCAACAAGCCACTTAACTTCTCTGTGGATCTGGGGATGATAACAGTGCCTACCTTGTAGGATTGTTGGTAAGGTACTGAGGATGGTAACAGGCATATTCCAAGAACTTGGTAAATGTTTTCTCTCAGGACTCCTTCCAATTGTGCCCAGGTCAAACTCTTGAATCAAAATCAGGTCATTGTAATGAAACAGGCATTGATTAAGTATTAGCAATGTCCTCAAACAATATCTTTTCTAACCTCCTACAGCTCAGTCTCCACAGTGACTCTGTGAGGAAAGAATTATTTTCCTGGATATAGGTATAAAAACTGAAGTTCTAATTGGTGTTCACAGTGGCTCAGCTGACAGAGGCTAGATTCTAGAGTCAACCCAGGCCTTTTTCTTGAATAACAACGTAAGCAAGAGCCATGTTTGCTAACACAGATATCCAAAACTCAGGAGGATCTATACAGACAACACGGTTGTTTTTGAAGGAGGTCTGAGCCTGACTCCAATAGCATTCTGGAAACAAAATAGTCAGTAGATTGAGACAGAACATGGTGCCACAACCACAGAGGCAAAATAAAGGCCTCAAGCATGGATCACAAGGTGTGGGAGCTGTAGGCAGGGAGTTCTTTGACATGGGAGTTTAAAATGTTGCTTATAATCTTTAATTAAAGATAAAGGCTGAAAGCTCAAGCATCTCATCTTCTATTAAACATGGCTTCAGACTTGGCCAACTGAGTTGGGAAAACATCCAACTCAAAACCTCAACATATCTGGGGATATCAGACTCTTGCATTTTGCTGAAAACCAAGTGACGAAGGGTCCAGTCTTTGAGGAAGGCTTGATGAGGCCTGTGAACCCCAGACCCACCAGGAGCAAGGCCCCAGCAAGGACTTCTCCCGCTTCTCAGGCCATGGATTCAATGGTTGGAGACTGCCTCTGGGGGTTTGAGAAAGAAGAAGCCAGGCGCAGCAGGAATTATTAGCTAAGCCTTCCTATTCCTCAGTGACTTCTCTAATGAAGCCCTCTGTATGCCAAAAGGAGAAGATATTTTTATTCCTTGTTTTATAAACTTGCCTGATGCATAAAGGGCTGGCTCAGGGAACAACACTCTCCTGCTTCCTGACTCTGCTGGGACAGACAGAAATTATTATATGCTTTAATTTCATTTTTAATAGGAGGAGGAGTATTGCCAATAATATATGAAAGTATTTTGTTTAAAAACAGACAAGCATTATATAAATTTATACGCAAAGTTAGTGATAAGCGTTATAAAGATAAATGTTACACAACAAAGGAAAATTTAGAAAAACAAAACCTAAATTTTAGCAACAGGAGAATAGTTAGGTAAACTATGGTTTGTCTATATGATAGAAGGCTAGACAGCCATTAAAAGCCATTTTATGAAGAAATTTATAATGAAAGAAAATGTCGAGGACATAAAGTTATATGAAAATCATACCTTGCATGCCTGCAGGTAAGCTGGAAGGATGGATGGACATTTGAGGGACAGAGACAGAGACAATGAGAGGGAGAGGAAAGGAGGAAGAAATTACAGCAATCCATAAGCAAGAATTACCACAGTGGCTGTACCAGGGATGGGTTTTATGTTCTTTTTAATTTTTACTTCTTTAGTTACAACTGTCTTGTTCTAAAATCAATCTGAAGTTGTTTACAAAATACATGCAAGAAAAACTTAAATTTGAGAAAATGTAAAGAGATGTGGAATGAACGTAAGAAAGATAAGGTATAGCCAGCAGGGTGGCTAGTTTATGAAATGTATTCCAAGAAGCCCTACATATTAGCTAGAGATTGGACACAAATCCGCCCCTAAGCTTTCTAGCCACCAACACAGACAGGGAGACACAGTAGACTATGTGATTCATGAGGACAAAATGAAGCATTAACAGGAAAACAACAGCAACAAGCAACATTATTCCATTCCAGAAAATAGGAAGGAAACTTCTCCCATGGTTCTCTGCTCAAGAGGACTCTGTGGACAATGACGAATGGTGGGGGTAACATTTGTTGCCCTCCATAACCCAGGGAGTCACCTAGAGTTGTTCCTGGTGGCCTCTCTGTAACCAAGCAGTGGAGTGCCAAAAAATAAGTAAAATAGCAACAGCCACATGTGTGGATGGTTACCAATTCCCAGACTCTATGTTAAGCGACTCACCCATGCTCGCTCATCTAATCCTCACACAACCCTCCAATATTTCATTATTATCACTGAGAGACCCAATACAGGTGTGGAGAATGGCTCAGATTCAATGAGCAAGCAAATGGCAGACCCAGAATTCCAACTCCGCACACCCAGCACAATTCACCACCATGCTCTAGCGCTTCTCAATCCAGAAAGCAAACAATTTACCCTATCAGCCAATGGCACCATGCGAAAGTGCAGATCAGTGACAACAGCTCTACAGGAGATCATTTTACCCTCTATATTTTAAGTATTTTCCAAGCTTTAACCAATGATTATATTTTCTTTAAAATTATCTACCCTTTTGGAGTCCCCACATCACTACAGCCCACCTGGCTCCTTGATTTCAAGTTGATTTTAAGAGTAGTTTTAATTTTGTTGTGCCTTTTATTTTTAAATTTGTATAACTTTAAGGGGTACAAGTGCAATTTTGTTACATGAAGGTATTGCATAGCAGTAAAGTCTGAGCATTTAGTGTATCCATCACCCAAATAATGTACATCATGCCCATTAAGTGATTTCTCATCCTCCACGCCTACCATCTCCTGAGTCTCCAGTGCCTATCCTGAGGCACCTCTTTCTCGCTACCTGATAAGGAACCTCCCTTAGGGTGCATAAAATCACGGTTGTTTGTATGTGACTTAATCCTTATCCTAAAGCTTCAATAGTTAAAATGTAATATCCATCAAAGAGCTATATCTGTGAGTTGGATTCTCAAAATGAACTTAAATCAATTCCAAATGCATTACTGAGCCCCTACCAAGTGGAAAGCTCCTCTGCCTCACTTATCTCATTTAATCCTAACCACTTTCCCTTGAGTATACGTTTTATTGTACCCAGTGTACAGAGGAGGATATCAACTCTAGGAATTTTAAGTGATATTAAACTGGCTGAAACAGTATTTACTGGAACTGGTAATATTTATTGGAAATAAGTGTTATCATGCATTCATTTTTGGAGCATAACAAGAATAGCCTTCCTTCTGGAGGACAGTTTTTCAAAGTATGTCAACAGCAGTGACAATGTGCATAGCCTTTGACCCAGAAATTCCACTTGTGGATTTATTCTAAGGAGGCAAGTATAAATGAGTGCAAATTTTAGCGAGTAGTAAATTTCCAGCCACACTGTTATATTGGTTCCAGATCAGAAGCCAAGTGTTCAAAAATGAATTGTTTGTTTAAATGAATTGGAACGTATCCTTATAATGAAATAGCATGCATCCATATAAAAGCTATGTTGTAGAACTATATTTACTGAATTTAAGAGTATTTTTGTTTTGATATATTTAAAATTCAAAAATTGGGTTACAAAATAATCTGTGTAACATCATTTAAGCATTGTAAAGTGTATAAGACAAGATGAATATATGGATATACTCTAAATGTTAATAGTAATTATTTCTAGGAGTCAAGCATCACCAGTAGCTTCAATTTCTTCCCTTTGCATATCTGTGTTTTTAAAATGTATGAGTAGTGAATGAACATGTATTCCTTTGTGAAAAAAGAGTAATTTACAAATAAAACAGATAAAACATAACAGAGCCTTGGTTTGGCATTTCTGTCTCCATGGGAAAAAAGAGCCAAGATATAAATAACAAGGTTGATAAAGCCAGGTCAGAATATCCTTCTCTGTTTGTCTCTAGCAGGGCACTGCCATGGGCAGAGCTAAAGGTTTAAATATCTTTCTCACCAGGTGAGGGTTGATAGAAGACACCCATGTGAGGATAAAGCTGTCCCTTTAGGGACACCAACCTAGGTATGCCAAGAAAAATAACCCAAAGCCTTTCCTAATGCATTCATGTTAAATTCAGAGCCATGGCTAAACAGGGAGGTGGAAGTCAACTGAATTTTTCTAATGTTTGCAATAAATTTCCTTTCACTCAAACTTTCCCCATCTTGATTTTACAGAAACACACCTACCCCAACATACCCAGCAGTGGTTTATTATAGCTTTCATCCAAGCAGAAAGTACTTGGTAATCAAAGATAATTCTTCTCCCACGTGAATAAGTGTAGTTCGGACTTGTCTATCACTGAAAGACCTCAAAGGAATAGAAGACATAAATGGGTATAATTTTAGCTCTAAACTGTTTTTAAATATGTTCCAGCACGTTTAATAGCAGAAGGAGCTAATGTACATCAGCACTTCCTTTTCTTGAAAGCTGCTTACATGTGTTACTGGATTAACAGATGGATCCTGGTTTTTCATCTGAAATAGAATCCAATAAAGTGTCTTCATTTGCCCCTTTTCTTTTCTCTAGTTTTGGTAAACTTTCATCCTTTCATGCCACTATTAAAAATTTATTGAGTGCTACCAGAAAACAAATATGCCCATGTTCTACAGCCATGGATTTCCAACAGTACCTAGTGGAAGTTCTCTTCCCTTGTTTCAGCTACAGAAGGTGCAAAGTAAAATTTGAGCTTTCAGGTAAAAAGCCAAGGAGTTTTCAAAGCTTAAAAATGATAGAAAGCCACTGCCCAAAGGGCGGTGTGAGCTTCTCTCCACATTTCCACTACTCATTTTGATGATTTGCACATTTGCATGTCATCTAACTTGTTTCTCTCGCTCTCTCTCTCTCTCTCTCTTTCTCTCTCTGTCTTTGCCTCTGTGGCTTCTCACAATCTACTATCCCTACTAGAACCACCATGCTGTCCTTGACTGCCCAGGAAACGCCAACTCACTTGTTCTGGCATATCCTACTCTGTGAAGCGTTCAGTGAACCCTTCCTGTGATGGTTAATATTAGGTGTCAACTTGATTGGATTGAAGGATGCCTAGACGGCTGGTAAAGTATTGTTTCTGGGTGTGTCTGTGAAGGTGTTGCCAGAGGAGATTAATATTTGAGTCCCTAAACTTGGAGAGGAAGACCCACCCTCAGTGTGGGTGGGCACCATCCAATTGGCTGCCAGCACGGCTGGAACAGAGCAGGTGGAAGGTGGGATAAGCTGGTTTGATGAGTCTTCTGGCCTTCATCTTTCTCCTGTTCTGGATGCTTCCTGCCCTTGAATATCAGATTCCAGGTTCTTCTGCCTTTGGACTCTTGGACTTACACCAGTGGTTTGCCAGGGGCTCTCTGGCCTTCGGCCACAGATCAAAGCCTGCACTGTCGGCTTCCCTACTTTTGAAGCTTTTGGACTCAGACTCAGCCACTACTGGCTTCCTTCTTCCTCAGTTTGCAGACGGCCTATCATGGGACTTTGCCTTGTGATCATGTGAGTCAATTATCCTTAATAAACTCCCTTTCATATATACTGGTGTGAGTCAATTATCCTTAATAAACTGCCTTTCATACATACATGTATCCTATTAGTTCTCTCCTTCTGAAGAACCCTAACTAACAAGCTTCCCTTCCCACATTCCCCAGCAAGATTAACCACTCCTTCCTCTGGGTTACTTCCTGTACCTTACAGAGAATCTCATTATTTCATGAGTCACTCTTAGCTACACTAATTTGTTCCATATACATCATCTCTACCAGAAAGTAAGACTTTTGAGAGCCAAGTCTAGGTGCTACCTGTTTTGGATCCCAGTATTGGCATAGTACTTTTCTCAAACATAAAGTCCCAGTAAAACTTGGTTGGCTTGGACCAAAAGACTATGTCAGGCCGTCAGAGATGGTGAAGAAAAGGGGGAAAGTAAAGTAAGGGAAGGAAGAGGAGATGGAGAGAGTGGGAGAGGCAGGAGAGGAGCCAGAGTAAGAGGGGAGTATGGGGTCAAATGCTCAAGAGGTGATGGTTTTACTATCTTAAACTCGGATTTTTTGTGGCCAAAATGTTCTAATGTTCTTATGTTATACCCATTGTTTAACTGGTGTCAAAAGTAGATGAACAAATAGAATGATGGTATGAAAATGTATATGCTTCTAGGAGAAAGTCAAGTGTTAGGGAAGCTTTAGTTTGATATTGGCCAGCAAGGTGCTCTTAAAAGTATGGTAATTAGAGTTTTTTAACAACCTATGCTTGAGAATTATCATCAAATATCAAAATGTTTTCACATCTTTGTTCACCATGCCTTCAAATTACTCTATGACATTTCTCTAAGCATGTTCCACAAACTCGGTAGTGGGGAAATAAAAGATAAAATGATTCCTTGTTCAGAAATAATTTAGAACACAAGTGAAATGGCAAACTGTCTTTCTTTAATGCTACCCAGGTCTGTAAACGTCTCACTCTGTCACCCAAGCTGGTGTGCAATGGTGCTATCATAACTCACTGCAGCCTCAAACTCCTAGGCTCAAGTGATCCTCCAACCTCAGCCTTCCAAAGTGCTGGGATTATAGGCATGAGTCACTGTATCTTGCTTGTTATGCATTTTAAGTCTCTAAGAATATGCAGAATTTTTTAAACTCAAATTACCATAAAATTCCTTTTTGATACTTCATCCCCTGGGACTAGAATTCCTTGAAATACATCTTAGAAAATGAAGTTCTACATAGCAGAGTACCATTCTCCACCACTTATAAATAAAGACACAGACACTAAAGAAATAAAGTAATTCTTGAAAGCCACATGCTCCTCAAAGTCTCAAGAGCATGTGGCAAATAACAGTGAGGATTCAAAACAAGTATCAGAGGAATATGTTCACTATAACTCCTAATCACTTTGAATGTAATGCAAGTTACATCTTAGAAATGCTTATTTTGGCCTAAATCAAATTTCATACTTTAGGATTAGGTGAATGACCTTACGTATAGAGACCCACATGCACCCTTGGACCTGAAACTGGCTAATATAATGAGCAAAACCCCCAGTCTGGGCTGCAAGGTTAAAGTATTACACATAGATGGTGGAGCTACCTGCCCCCACAGTGACATGAGCCATGTAGAATAATCTCCCCCAGCATAAGAACAATTGTTGAAATGGAGACTTTTATAAATTTTAATAGAAATACACACTTACCGATGTCTAGATACTAAAATACATGATTAGATTAACAAAGAGGTTGGAAAAAGGAAGATATTCACATTGCAATGTAAGTTAACTTCTTTTGTCCTACAAAAGCACTGGAAATGAAAATATCTGGTCACAGTTTTCCTCACATAATAATAATTTCATGAAACAGATGTTCTTGAAGGCATAACCTCCTTTTCAGCTGATCATTATTTTTTCTCCAATGTATCACTGTAGATTCATATAATCTGTAGGAAAAGCAGTAGAGCAGAGATCAAGAGACTTGGCTCTGTTGTCAACTTGTTGTATGACCCTAGGTAAGTCCTTTGTTTCTCTAAAATTTTGTTGTTCTAAACCTAAGCTGTCTCCTACAGTAGCTACTAGACACATGTGGCTATGAATCACTTGAAATTAGGATAGTCCAAATTGAGATATATTGTACATGTACAACACACATCAACTTTTAAATTTTATATGAAGAAATTACTTATTAATAATTTTTATATTAAACACATATTGAAATGATAATATTCCTTATGTATTGAATTGATTAAAATATGTAATTAAAATTGATGTTATCTGTTTCTCTTTTAAAAGTAGCTACTAGAAAAATTAAAATTACATCCCATGGCTTGGTTTATATTTCTATTGACAGCCCCAGCCTGATCGATCAATGAGGTGGCTGTTCAAGACTACCTCAGAGTTGCCTTGCAGCTCTAAACTTTTAAGATGGAATGTGTGAAAAGGAGTGGAGCTGGGATGATCTGAGGCATAAATGTTAATAGAAAGAAGCAAACAAGATAATGTTCCCAAGGAGACTCAGAGCATTTAGAAGCACGTGGGAACCACAGGCTGGGGCAGGAGAAGGGAGGGGAGGGAAGGAAGCACTAAGTGGGAAGAAGAACAGAAACTCTCATGATGTTGTTAAGGGTTAGTATTGACAGATTCAACCAATTTTATGTCCTTTGTTTTGCTCCTTACTCCTTTACACAAGTACATACTGGTTGGAAGTTTCTGGAAAGAATTTTTTAATGTTAGTGGATTAATAAAAGGTTAAGTGGCTAAGGAAGAAGAAATAGAGAAAGAATTTCTGGCTCTATAACTTGCAACCCAGTCCTTCAATCTCCCACGCATCTTCCTCGAACCTCATTCTAAGCCCCTTGGGCAGACAGACCACAGAAGATTTCGTGGTGGAAAAGAGCATTGAAAAGGACTGTGAGAATAAATGGCATTTAGCTTGGTTAAGACAGCTCTGATGCAGGAGGAAAGTGCTTCTCATGACCTTTCTCTTTAGCAAAAAAAGACAAAGAAAATTCAAATGTGGTAAACTGACTCTGAAAACAAAAATGGCCAGAGAATGAAGCTATTTTACATATATGGTCACCACATAATTACAGACAAAATTTTCTGGAGCCCTGGCTTATAATTTCAGAGATGTCTGAGCAAGGAAAGATGAGAAATTCATACACTAGCATCTTGAATCTAACTTCTAGAGAAGTCTATCCAGAATGAGAAGAAGGAAAAGTTGTGAACTTGCTAGGGAAAGGCGAGACAAGGTTCAGGTGAGTCTTTTGAAGAATCGTAGTGACAGAGAAAACAACATTAGAGGTCATTTGCTAGTGTTTCTCAGAGGGGAAGGACTCATTAGCATTTTGATTGATACAGTTCTTTAGTTTGTGGGAAGTTTGACATATCTGGTCTCAGGCTTTCAACTGCCTTTAACACCTACCACCCACCACCCATTGTGACAGCTGAAAATGCCCTCACGATTTCCTAGAGGTCCTGTCTTCCTTTCTTCTTCCTGTCTCCTCTTGAGAACTACTGAAGCTACAACATCTCACCCCCTTCTGAAAAACCCACCCCAGTTTTACAAACAAGATTAAGTCAGAACCAAGTGGGGGGAAAAAGACTCTGAATAGTCTTTGGATTGGTTGGTGGTAGGCCTTCACTACAATCCAAGCCGTACAACTCTTAATCCACTGCATATTGTCTCAGGTTTGTTGAGAAAAACAGCATAGGATCGTAATACATTCTGGAAAACCTGTATTATCCAGGTGGCACTGCATTATGTCCAGACCATGACAAGGAAACTTCCAACAATCTTTTAACAGATAAACATCTGTTGATCACAGGGGATGAAGATCCAAAATTCATTTCTGATGTTTAAAAACCATTTCAAAATTTCTAGAAAGAAAAGATAATGCACAACAAGATGTTCCAAATAAATTACAATTTTTAAACACCAAAATACATATTATTCAATGTTTATTCCACAGAACCGATTAATCACGGCAACAACTTAACCTTGAAGTCTAAATCAACTTTGGCTTAGCTTTGGATGAACGAAGGTTTGTTCAGTTGTGACTGTTAGAATAGCCCCAGAAAGTTTCTGAAGTGGATCCTGTCATACAGAGAAGAATAAATGATAATGATGATTTTCTATATGAGGAACATAGTTTTACTAAGTTAGATGAGTTCTAGACAAGGAAAAACATCTGCTGGGGATAGAGGAAGCACTGTACTCACTAACATGCAATTTTTAATGGTAATTTTGGTTATACATATCAGTTTATTGAAATGTATTGGGGGGAAAAGTGTAAATCTCAAAAGCCAATCTCACAAGGGAGTCAGAGAAATTACACTTTAGCTATCATTTAATCCAATCTCATCATTTTAGGTACAGAGACACTGAGGCCAAGACTGGGAAATGAAATTACCTTTCTTCAAGAAATGACTCTAACCATCTATCACAAAGTTGGGACAGTATTATAATTAAGAAATGGGTCTTAAAGGAATCAGGAAATAAGAAAGATTGTTTTCCTCCAAGAAATATTTGGTAGCTTAATTTCGTGTGTGTGTTCCTTTTGCATGTTTTAAAATGACTGGTGAAACTGGTGACATTTGGTATTCAATCTTTTCCTCTTAAAAAAATGAAGCAAATACATTAAATCTCTTTCAAATGCAGAGATTAATAAAAACAGTTCTTCAACTGGGTTTAAAAACCTTTTTTCATGCTGTATAAAGAAAGTTATTTTATTTTTTGACTTAGAAATATCCGATTAGCTGCACTGTAACTGCTTGTAAGATCTTTACTACCCTCTTGTGATGGTTAATACTGAGTGTCAACCTGACTGGATTGAAGGATGCAAAGTATTGATCCTGGGTGTGTCCTTGATGGTGTTGCCAAGGAGATTAACATTTGAGTCAGTGGACTGGGAAAGGCAGACCCACTAATGTGGGTGGGCACCATCTAATCAGCTGCCAGCACGGCCAGGATATAAAGCAGGCAGAAAAACGTTAAAAGAGTAGACTGGTCTCGTCTCCCAGCCTCCATCTTTCTCCTGTGCTGGATGCTTCCTGCTGTCAAACATCGGACTCCACGTTTTTCAGTTTTGGGACTCGGACTTGTTCTCTTTGCTTCTCAGCTTGCAGATGGCCTATTGTGGGACTTTGTGATTGTGTGAGTTAATACTTAATAAACTTCCATATATATATATATATATATATGGATACCCTATTATAATATATATATATATATATATATATATATATATATATATATATCTCCTCTTAGTTCTGTCCCTCTAGAGAACCCTGACTAATACGCCTCCTGAAGTTATTTATTTGTTGGTTGGTTAGTTGTCTCTTCCCACATGGCCCACCTAGTGTTTTCAATTAATAATGTTGAATCTCCATTTCCATTAAACTTACAAATACATTTTGAGGATTTTTGCTTCTAAGAAAGAGGGAGATCTTCAAGACACAGCAACTATTCCACAAAAAAGCAATCAGAACAGCAAGATACATGAAAACAAACAAACAAATAAACATGTATTTCAAAGAATCAGAGAAGCAATGAAGAATGAAGACTGTAATTACCCCAAGAAGGAAGCCCCTTGAAGAGGCACCCTGAGCACTTTCAGCAATAGCTGGATGTGGTCATGGGTCTTGGGTGTGAGCTGAAAGTGGACTATCTGGTTAGAGGCAGGTGAGGGGCCTCTGCTGTGAGACAGAAACCAGTGGAGCTAATCTCAGTGCAAAGGATTGCGGGGACCAAATTAGACATTTGCATGCCCTCAAAGAGTCAGTTTTCATCAACCAAACATGTGCAAAATCCCAAACATAATACCATTCAAACATATACTAAAAGTGCATAGATCAGGAGACTAAAAGGTTAAGTCAAATTTTCAAAACAGCAGAATGGAACTTCCCTGCAGTCTCCCACGCTAAGGAAATAAAACCTACAGGAGAACCACAGATGAGAGTGGGAATGTCTTGAGACCTGGTGACTTTCACTGAGGCCTCCAACAACTTTTTTCCAGGGGACATTTGCCCATGTGGGGAGAGCTGGCAAAAGGCTGCTGTTGGGATATAAAGAAACTAGCAGAACTGAGGCCTTACCCCATTAACAGCAAGTCCTCATTTCTCCTCCCCCCAGCACCTGCCAATCCCTATTCTATTCTTTGTTTCTGTAAGTTTTACTATTTTAGATATTTCACAGAAGTGGAATCATGCAGTATTTGTTTTTCTGTGATTGGCTAGTTCATTTAGCGTAATATCCTCCAGGCTCATTCATGTTGTTGCATATGGCAGGGTTCCCTTCCATTTTATGGCTGAATAATATTCCATTATATGTATATACCACATTTTCCTTATCTATTTATCCATCTATGAACATTTTCTTGATATTTGCTATAAAACATTGTGTCTATAAAGTACTATATTGTGCATTTAAAAATTTAAGAGGGTAGATCTCATGTTAAGTGTTCTTGCTACAATGAAAAAAGATAAAAGAAAATAAAGGACATATAAAGCTCCTAAAATAATGCATAGCACATGGTAAGCAATAATAAATGTTAACTATTTTAACACCCACAAAAAAATAAAAATCAGAGGCTGGACATGGTGGCTCACACCTGTAAGCCCAGCACTTTGGGAGGCTGGGGCAGGTGGATCACCTGAGGTCAGGAGTTTGAGACCAGCTTGGCCAACATGGTGAAACCCCATCTCTACTAAATTACAAAAATTAACCGGGAGTGGTGGCAGGCACCGTTAATCCCAGTCACTCAGGAGGCTGAGGCAGGAGAATTGCTTGAACCCAGGAAGTGGAGGTTGCAGTGAGCTGAGATCATGCCACTGGACTCCAGCCTGGGCAACAGAAGTGAAACTACATCTCAAAAAAAAAAAAAAAAAATCAGAACTTTTGTGGTTACTTTGGGAGAAAGGAACAAAGGAAGGGATGTGAATGACCTAAAGATCCCAAGCTGGACTCTGCCTGAAGAAATTGGCTCCCTAAAGAGGTGAGACAAGCACCTCTCAAAAAGGCAGAGGGGAAATTCCCAGTCTCTCAGTTGTGAGCATACAAACAACTACCAGGCTCTCAAGTGACAATCTTGGTGGGTGACACGTCAGCAACAGGGGCAAACCAGAGGCAGACTACGTCTCACAAGCACTACCCACCTTGCCTTGTCCCAGCTTGGTCATGCAAAGTGGTCAGCAATTCATAAAATAAAACATCATTTGGGGATCCTACCAATTTGCATATAACATGTCTAGCCATCAATCAAAATTAATGGGGATGTGAATATACAGTACAGTATGACCAAAAACTAAAAGAAGATACCAGAAGCAGAGTTAAGAGCATTAGAGATTGCAGATATATACATTAAAATAACTATGATGAATATATTGGAGAAAATAATAAAAAAAAAGATGGAAGCTAGGTGCCGTAGCTCACTCCTGTCGTCCCACCTACTTGGGCTGAGGCAGGAGGATCACTTGAGCCCAGGAGATCCAGGTTGCTGTGAGCTTTGATCACGGCACTGCCCTCCAGCTTGGGTGAGAGAGTAAGATGCCGTCTCCTAAACAACAACAACAAAAATGGACAAAATAGACTAAAAAAACTGGAGAACTTACATAAGTAATTAAAAATTTTTAATAATTTCAATGGACAATGGGCAATATATTAATAAAAATATAATAAAATTTTAAACTCAATAAGTGGGTTTAACAAGATTGGACCCTGAAAAAGACAGGATTCATGAACTGGAGGACGGATTAATCGAAAATATTCAAACTACAATTTAGAGAGAAAAAACTGAAAAAACAAAACAAAACAAAAAAACCTACAGAATATAATGGCCTTGTGGGATACAGTCTATTTGTAGGTAAAAGGATTGTGCATGTAGAAAACACACACACAAAAAAACACTACAATCTGTTAGAATTAGTTAATTTAGCAAGGTTACTGGATATAAGGTTTTTATTTTTAAAATCAATTGTATTTCTATATATTAGCAGCAAAATACAAAATTTTAAAACTTTTAAAATGTTCCTAACACTCCTTCATTGGTTTTCAGGTATACCTTGAACAAAAGCTGTTCAAGTCACCTAAGGTCAGGCTAAAACTGAATCCAAGGGTTTCATTAGGTGAAGTCGTTACCTGCGGTGATGGAAGCAGGAAAACAGAGAGGTCTGGGCACTAAGCTGATCCCTCTAAACTGAGGTTGTGTCACTTCTCACCACCCTTCAATGCCCAGCTTCTGCTCTGGTCCACCTTAAAGCATGCCTTTCCTGAGCCTCTTCAACGACTGGTGCTTTCATTTTGCATGACACTAGCCACACCTCAGTGTAATGATCTGTCCATGTGTCTTTTTCTGTCCATGGCCTGTGACCTCCTTGAAAGTAGGCATGATATCTCCTTCATATCTGTGATGCCAGGGCTTAGCATAAGTGCTAATACATGTTTGCGAGATCATACATGAAAAAAAAATGTTGAAAAGTGGAAATATCTGTCCAAAAAGAACACTATGAGTCAAAATACAAAAATCAAACTTAGATTGGGAATAGAAACAAGATAGGAAAACAAAAGGCTAGCAACGAAACAGGTGAAATAACAGAGAGGGAAGTGGAGAATGAGAATCAGGTCCATTCACTAATTTTCTCATTTCCTTGACACACTACAGCACACATAAATTTGGCCATAGGTTCATAAAGCAGGATTAAGGTAATGGTCTTTTGAGTATGGGGTTAAATCTTAAGTGTACAGTTAATGTAGAATATCTCCATAGGCAGATTGCTAAAAATTTATTGACCTCAGTTTATTTAAAAAGGATAAAATAATATCTAGCTAGTAATAGCTACCCAAGAGGGTTGAGATGAGGATTCAAGGAGAGAACACTCATAAAACACATGGTGCATTGCCTGGCAAAGAGTGCTCTCATAAACAGTAGCCTAAACCAAATGAATCCTAGAGCCCCACAAGGCTCCATCTCAGAGCAAGATCACATTATAAACCAAAGAAAACAGGCCGAGTGCAGTGGCTCACGCCTGTAATCCCAGCACTTTGGGAGGCCGAGGCAGGCGGATCACGAGGTCAGGAGATCGAGACCATCCTGGCTAACACAGTGAAATCCTGTCTCTACTAAAAATACAAATACATATATATATATATGCCGGGCGTGGTGGCTGGCACCTGTAGTCCCAGCTACTCTGGAGGCTGAGGCAGGAGAATGGTGTGAACCCAGGAGGAGGAGCTTACAGTGAGCCAGGATTGCGCCGCTGCACTCCAGCCTGGGCGTGACAGAGCAAGACTCCATCTCAAAAAAAAAAAAAAAAAAAAATTAGCTCCATGCATGGTGGTTCACACTTGTAGTCCCAGCTACTTGGGAGGCTGAGGCACAAGAATGCTTGAACCGTGGAGGCGGAGGTTGCAGTGAGCCTAGATCATGCCACTGCACTCCAGCCTGGGCAACAGAGCAAGACTCCGCCTCAGAAAAAATAAATAAAAATAAATAAATAAACCAAAGAAAACAAAGAAAAAAATTAAAAACACGGTTTACTACCACCAACTAAATATTATGAAGTACAGCACTTAAAATCTCTACAGTCTCTTGAGAAAATACCCTTTTAAGACAGAATAAATATATTTTCTTACCCTTTCTCTTTCACTATTGATGCCCTTCTTAATATCCTTTACAATAATAGTGATTCATTTTCGAAATTCCCCTAATTCTCTACCTCAAAAGCCGTCTCTGACACCCACCTCGGTGGCCCTTTGTCTCTTTTCTCCTACTCCACTCTCACTATTCATTTACTATTTGACAAATAACTGAGTAACTTGTGCCAAGCGTTAGGTATGAGTTGGTGAATTATGCACCATCGATCTTTGCTTTTCTAACTGTTGTAATCTCTCTATTTTGTAGGTTCTCTTAGCCTTTCTGTTCACTCTTCCAAAGAAGATGTCCCATTTTTTGACACTTATAAAACAACAAAAAAGGAA